>NC_000016.10:20910728-21213758 GCF_000001405.40 Homo sapiens
ATGCCACTGTACTCCAGCCTGGGTGACAGAGCGAGACCCTGCCTCTAAAAAAAAAAACAACAACAACAAAAAACCTTGCTGCTGATTGAATATGCCTGACCTTGGTCACTTTTCTCAAGTGTCTTGCAGTCAAGGAAGTTCCGTCTGTTAATGACAGGGAAGTGAAGCAATCATTAAGAGATGTTAGTTACAGACTCCCTGTACCTCACAGGAACTGACTCATGTATTTTCATATGAAACCATGGAGTTTTAGGGAGAGCCAGAAACTCAGAAACCTGTTTCCTTACCAGGAAAAATGTCATCATCTCATCTGGGTTTTTATTACAATAAGCCACAAAGCATGATGTTCTCTCTTGGTTTTTATGAATTCCTTGTAAGCATTTTTTTCTGTGCAGCCTCATAGACTCAGAATTGGTATTGAATATAACTTTGGTCCTTTTAACCTTTGAATTAGGTGAAGTAGTATTTGAAGCTTTTCATCAGTTGGCTCATTCTTTACTCAAGAATAAACCTCAAGAAACGTCATCAGGGTCAGAGTAAGTGCTCATATTGGAAAGAGAAATTCTCTGTAAGTTGAATTCCTTGCAAGTACTTAGAATTTTGAGGTAAACGTGCCCACTTCCAGCTCCAATCTGCATTCTTTAGCTGCTCAAATTCTCATAATTTCAGGACTACCCTAAAGCATATTATCTCCACCTCTTATGCCTTTCCCTCCATAAGTTGAAAATGGATCATGTTCCCAAAAGCAAGCAGTGAGCAGCTTACTTCCCGATCCTGATGAGCCTGTTAGAGGAAAACCCAGAACTCAGAATGAGGTGTCCAGCTGCCTGGCCTTGCTACTTACTCACCAAATCTGCCCTCCTTGTCTTCCCACCCTGTCTTCTGGTTCAAGGCTGTACAATATTCATTGTTCTAATTCTGACTAATCAGAATCTTCCAGTAGTGGGACTTTTTTTTTTCTAGCTTCCCTGAATTTATTTTAGATATAGAAATGTAAATAGTTATGAAAAAAGGAGAGGGGGGGCTGAAATACTTTGTTTTTTCATTTTTATAGAGATAGGGTCTCTTTATATTGCCCAGGCTGGTCCTGAACTCCTGGCCTCAAATGATCCTTCCATCTCAGCCTCCCAAAGTACTGGGATTATAGGAATGAGCCACTGGAGCCAGCCTGAAGTTTTTAAATAAGTTGTTGGGGTTTGCTTGTTTGTTTTTGAGATGGGGTCTCACTCTGTCACCCAGGCTGGAGTGCAGGGGCTCAGTCTTGGCTTGTAGTGCAATCTCAGCTTACTTTAGCCTCCCGGGCTCATACGATCCTCCCACCTCAGCCTCCCAAGTAGCTAGGACTACAGGCACATGCCATCAGCCCTGTCCAATTTTTGTATTTTTTTACAAAATGAATGTTTTGTTAAAAACATGTTACCGAGGTGGGTCTCAAACTCCAGAGCTTAAGTGACCTGCCTGTCCCAGCCTCCCAAAGTGCTGGGATTACAGGCATGAGCCACTGCACGTGGCCTTAAATAAATTTTTGTTGGTATTTTTGGGTTTTTTTTGTTTTTTTTGAGATGGAGTCTCACTCTGTCACCCAGGCTAGAGTGCAGTGGCGCAATCTCGGCTCACTGCCAGCTCCGCCTCCCGGGTTCACGCCATTCTCCTGCCTCAGCCTCCCGATTAGCTGGGACAGGCGCCCACCACCATGCCCGGCTAATTTTTTTTTGTGTATTTTTAGTAGAGACGGGGTTTCACCTTGTTAGCCAGGATGGTCTTGATCTCCTGACTTTGTCATCTGCCTGTCTTGGCTTCCCAAAGTGCTGGGATTACAGGCATGAGCCACCGCGCCCAGCCGGCCTTAAATAATTTTTTTTAAAAAGGAAACACCTAATATCCATCAGCAAAATAGATAGTACATTGGGATATCTTCATACAGCAGGCTGAATTGCAGCACTGAGAATATATGAACCAGAGCCATGTGTAACAACATGGATGAATCTTATGAATGTTATGGGCAAATAAAGCAAATTGCAGAACTTACCTATAAACTTTTTAAACTTGCAAAGCAGGCGGGGTGCGGTGGCTCATGCCTGTAATCCCAGCACTTTGGGAGGCTGAGGCAGGTGGATCATCTGAGGTCAGGAGCTCGAGACCAGCCTGACCAACATGGTGAAACCCCATCTCTACTAAAAATACGAAATTAGCCAGGCGTGATGGTGCGCACCTGTAATCCCAGCTAATTGGGAGGCTGAGTCAGGATAATCACTTGAACCTGGGAGGCGGAGGTTGCAGTGAGCCGAGATTGCGCCATTGCACTCCAGCCTGGGCAACAAAAGCGAAACTCTGTCTCAAAAATAATAATAATAATAATAATAATAATAATTAAATAAATAAATAAAACTTGCAAAGCAATACTATAAATGTTATGTGTAAAGATATGCACAATAAACAATAAATTCAGCATAGTGATTCCTTCTAGGAGAGGAAGGGAAATGTTATTTGGAAGGGGTACAGTGGGGGTTTCTACTGGATACATAATTTATTCTTTAAGGTCTGTTGTAACTGTATGGCTATTATATTGGTCTCAGTATCTTTTCTTTGTTTTTTTTTTTTTTTTGGAGACAGAGTCACTGTTGCCCAGGCTGGAATACAGTGGCGTGATCTTGGCACACTGCAACCTTCACCTCCTGGGTTCAGGTGATTCTCGTGCCTCAGCCTCCAAATAGCTGGGATTACAGGTGGTTGCCACCACACCTGGCTAATTTTTGTATTTTTAGTAGAGACTGGGTTTCACCATGTTGCCCAGGCTGGTCTTGAACTCCTTACCTCAAGTGATCCACCTGCCTCGGCCTCCCAAACTGCTGGGATTACAGGCATGAGCCACTGTACCTGGCCTCTATATCTTTTTGTATCTGAAATATTTTGTAATAAGAATTTAAAGATACTGGGAATTATGCTTTTGAAAAATACAATTAGCTTTACAGAATATACCTACGTCCGTTCTCTCTTGGCCACATCTTCTGAAATTAAAACTGATGTTTGAGACTAAAAACCCAGAGGGGCCTTGAGATCTTCAGTCATCAGAAAGATTTTTTTTTTTTCTTTTTTTTGAGACAGAGTCTCGCTCTGTCACCCAGGCTGGAGTGCAGTGGCCGGATCTCAGCTTACTGCAAGCTCCGCCTCCCGGGTTCATACCATTCTCCTGCCTCAGCCTTCTGAGTAGCTGGGACGATAGGCACTCACCACAACGCCCAGCTAATTTTTTGTATTTTTAGTAGAGACGGGGTTTCACCGTGTTAGCCAGGATGGTCTCAATCTCCTGACCTCGTGATCCACCCACCTCAGCCTCCCAAAGTGCTGGGATAACAGGCATGAGCCACTGCACCCGGCCAGTCATCAGAAAGATTTTTAATTATACTTATTGGACAAGAAAGTAGACCAACGATTTTGAGAAATATTTCCAAAAAGGTTGTGACAGACTAAAAGAGAGGTTGCAACCTGACAACCTCTGGGTGGAACTGAGCCTACAGACTCATTTTGTTTGGCCTGTACAGTCGTCACTTTTTTTTTTTTTTTTTTTTTTCTTTTTGGAGACGGAGTTTCACTCTGTTGCCCAGGCTGGAGTGCAATGGTGCAATCTTGGCTCACTGCAACCTCTGCCTCTGGGGTTCAAGCAATTCTCCTGACTCAGCCTCCCAAGTAGCTGGGACTACAGGCACATGCCGCCACACCTGGCTAATTTTTTTTTTTTTTTTTTTGTATTTTAGTAGAGACAAGGTTTCACCATGTTGCCCAGGCTAGTCTTGAACTCCCGAGGTCAAGCAATCCACTTGCCTCAGCCTCCCAGAGTGCTAGGATTACAGGCGTGAGCCACCACGCCTGGCCTCACATTTTCAAAAATAATGACTTAGTGTGTTTTTTTGAGATGTCATATTTTTAAAATCTGGATTGCCACCTATTTTTAAGCTATCAGGAAATCTGGCATTCCTAGGCACTTCTTTCTACATGGCAGCTGCTGGCTGGAGCTGAATGGCAACTGTTCCCTTTCAAGGGGGCATTTCCTGTCCAGGTGGCCACTGTCCCCATCCAAGCAAGTCCTCTCATTTATATTACCTGCCAGGCCGCAGAGGCACTTGAGTTTGTAACCAGTGGATTAAATTCCATTTCTCCCTTAACTAGAAAATTCAGTTATCAAAAATATGCCTTCACCTAGGCATTCAGGTGAGTAATATAATTTTACTGGACTGGCTTAAAGAATAATAAGTGTGAGCTTTGGTTTTGCCGTGTTCATAAATGTGGCCACCATGGCAAACGATGTGGTTAAGCAACCCTCAACCTCGGGATGAATTACAAAGCCAGTTGAGAGATACGGTGTTTCTATTAGATGGTTTCAGCAATGCTACCCAACAGATTTGTTGAGAAAGAGCAATTATTTCTAGACTAATTAAAGGTCTTAATTAAAAAACTGTACATCAGCTGGGCACGGTGGCTCACGCTTGTAATCCCAGCACTTTGGGAGGCCGAGGCGGGCAGATCACGAGGTCAGGAGATCGAGACCACGGTGAAACCCTGTCTCTACTAAAAATACAAAAAATTAGCCAGGCGTGGTGGCGGGCGCCTGTAGTCCCAGCTACTCGGGCGGCTGAGGCAGGAGAATGGCGTGAACCCGGGAGGCGGAGCTTCCAGTGAGCCGAGATTGCACCACTGCACTACAGCCTGGGCGACAGAGCAAGACTCCGTCTCAAAAAAAAAAAAAAAAAACTGTACATCTGCCTGGTGCCTCCTGTCAAGTTGCATTTTTATGCAAATTTTCCCTCTTCTATTTTGGTGGGTCTGAAGATGACAACGGCAACACGACAAGAAGTCCTTGGCCTCTACCGCAGCATTTTCAGGCTTGCGAGGAAATGGCAGGCGACATCAGGGCAGATGGAAGACACCATCAAAGAAAAACAGTACATACTAAATGAAGCCAGAACGCTGTTCCGGAAAAACAAAAATGTAAGTAGGCCCCACTTGGAGATTGTGCAGAGGAGAGTTGTTCCTTATGATATTTGTTTATTTCTTTTCGGTCTTTAATCAAGAGGGCTGAGCCGCACAGTCATGGTGGCAGAACTTGGGGCAGGAAGGGGCCAGTGCACAGCTTGGCTAGCTTGCCTGACCACTGGGAAGCCTGTGTTTCTCTCTTCACTTGTTCCAGGTCTCAAGCCAGCCAGTAAGTGGCTCAGTGTCCTCAGAAGACCCTATGAGCCAGGTGACATGAGCAGGCCAATGAGTTTTCAGAGGAGGAGCCAGTCCTCATACTGTACCAGTTGCTGGCCACTCCCATAGGAGGTGTGCAGGAAAGTGGTTTTTTGTTGTTGTTGTTGTTTTTTTTTTCAATTCATAAACTATTCAAAGCCTCTAAATATAAACCCATTTAGAAGGAAGAGAATAGGATTAAGACACAGGGTTTCCTTCATAACAGCTTTGAACTCAAGCCTCTTTGGCTAGCAGAGTGAGATTGCCCTTTGGGACCACAGAACTGGGTAAAATAGTGTCTCCATTAGCTGGTTTAAGGGAACTGCACACACAGCAGGGAGCCAGATTGGACCACCCCCCTACAAACCCTAAAGCGTTAGCTGTTAGCTCCGGGGAAGACCTCCCGGCACTAAGCATGGAAAAAGGCTTTCACACCCGACTTCTCTTCCGTCTCCTCACTGATCTAATGGATTCAGCGCGGTCACTGCTCCCCTCATGAAACTTCCTAACAGTCTACTCTCACCACTTTTCCCTCTCTGACCTCTGACTGTCTCTCTTCAGCCGTGTCATCACACACCCTCCCGCCAGCTGCAGGGGTCCTCTGAAGGTCAGCCCTCTGTGCTGAGGCCTGTGCAACATGCAGCCACCTTGTGATTTAAGCTGTCACATCTGAATCCCCAGCTTTGGCCTCTGCCTGGCCACCTGAAGGACCTCACCACGGCTCAATGGTCCAAAGCAGGGTCATCTTTCTACAGGAGTGCCTCCCCTTCCCCACTGGCCCATTGGTGTCACAGCTCCTGTCACCACTCTGCAACTCTTTGTTCTCATTCCTCACTCAACAAATATTTGATTGCCCACTATGTGCCAAACACAAGACTAGATGTCGAAGACAAACATAAGCCAAACCAAGACACATCTGTCAAAGGCATTTGAGTTAGATGGAAAGAAATATAAAATTACAGTTGGGAAAAGTGCTACAAAGGCTGGACATGGTGGCTCACGCCTGTAATCCTACCACTTTGGGAGGCCAAGGCTGGAGGGTCAGTTGAGCCCAGGAGTTCGAGACAAACCTGGGCAACATAGCGAGTCCCTGTCTCTTAAAAAAAAAAAAAAAAAAGCGTTACTACAGAAGCCCTCCTAATCTGCAGCAACTTCCCCTTCTCTGAATCCCTGATGCCTCTAGCTTTTCAAGGCTGACTTATGAAGTTTCTCTCTACCCTGCTGACCTTCCTCCAAACCCAGGTTCCCCAAACTTTTTCTGCTCTTAGCATAGACCATGCTTGCCAAACCAGAGTATATGTACCCCATGAGGTCCTTAAACAATCCTCTAAGGAATGGAAATAAAATACAACTGCTATTTCTATTTATCCTTTCATCTTTCTAAAAAGTCTGTCTGGTACACAGTTACAATGAACTTGTTAGTACATATATATAATTTATAAATTAATACATTTATAAATTAATATAAATACATATATGGGGCTGTGGGCTCAGAAATATTTCAATGAAAAGAGTAGGTGATTGGCCAGGTGTGGTGGCTCACGCCTATAATCCTTACACTTTGGGAGGCTGAGGCTGGTGGATCACTTGAGGTCAGAAGTTTAAGATGAGCCTGGCCAACATGGTGAAACCCTGTCTACTAAAAATACAAAAATTAGCTGGGTGTGGTGGTGCACACCTGTAGTTCCAGCTACTCAGGAGGCTGAGGCACGAGAATTTCTTGAACCCAGGAGGCAGAGGTTACAGTGAGCCAAGATCATGCCACTGCACCCCAGCCTGGGCAACAGAGGAAGACTCTGTCACCAAAAAAACCAAAAAAAGAGTAGATGATCAAAAGGCTTGGAGATCCCTAAATAGTTGTTTATATTCTCCTTTTTTCTTCTTTATTTTATTTATGTTGGCATGGTTTTCCCAACCAGATCATCAGTTCCTTGAACATATAGACACGTTCTTATACTTATCTAGTATATCCCAAGGGACCTCCTTGTGGTTGTCACTAAATGAATGAGCAGCTATAAATACTTTGATTTAACTGACCTCCTCCAGGAAATCTTCCTCAGTTTCTCTGCTTCCCCCTCAACCCCATGCTGGCCGCCTGTTCTGAATTCCTATAGCTGTCTGTAGCAGTCACTGCATCCATTGATTATATACCACTGTGCCTTTTCTGTAGCTTCAGGTATCAGAGTTGTTCTGCCCAAGTAATAACTTTGATAGTTGAAGGCACTGTCCAGCCTGCGGTATTGGGGATATCATAGTACATGCCCAATAAACCTTTGCAAGCTCACTCACCTGAAGACTACTCAAGAGTTTCGGTTTTCAGTTATCGCAATAACCCTTCCTTTGCCTCGGCTTGGATTGGCTCGAGGAGTGAGCCAGAGGGAGGTGTATGTGCCACTGATGGTACATGAGATTATTTGGGAGTGGGCGGAAGAGGTACATGGGTTCTTAATTTTAAGATACGTACTTGCTTTAGCATGTGTTATAAAGGACAGAGAATATTAGACCACAGTTTCACAAATGCTATTGCTTAAGAGAGTCCATTTAATGAAAAATTTTAACATTAGTATAAGTAGTATGTGGATATGGCAGAATCATGCAGCCAGCCCGTGAATGACTGAATTTGGAGTACTGTAGCCCAAGCTTGTTCAGATAGACAGCTGAAGCCCCAGAAGCCCCAACCCCCTTAACCATATCTTTGTCAAGGGCTTTTTCTTTCTTCCTAGTCCCTCATGCAGACATAATGAGTTTCTTGTAACTTTGATTACTCTTAAGAGTTTAATAATCCAAAGGTATCCCATGAACTGCTCTGAATCTCAGTGGGCAAATGGGAACATGGAACTCTTTTCCAACACAGACAGCAAATCAGTGGCTTCTGAGAAGCACAGAGGTCAGAAAGTTGGGCCTCTGCCACAAGGGACTCACAGCTGTGGTTCTCTGCATTGCTGTTCCTGGAACTCTTCTCTGCTCCAAGAGGTACCATAGGACAGGAACGCCCTTGAAATTTCCAAGCCACATGGACCCAGACTTTGCTGCGTGGGTGTCATCTGGTGCTGATGCAATCCTAGCTCAGCTTTGAAGTCCACTTGCAAACTCCTAGCAGAGCCACGTCTTGATTCATTTTCCTACCTCATAATGAAAGAGTTTCTCCCTTTTTCCTACTTGGCTGTTTTTCAGAATGAACTTTTTATTCCTTTAATTGAGAGTGGATTACCATGATTTGACTATTTTGGAATTTCAAAAGCCCTTTGTTCCCCTTACTAATGAGCCAAGGCAGTTGACAGTTTAAGAGGTGTAGATCATTCTCCAGTGTCCTACTCTGGGGGTTTCAGGACAGCACTTGCAGAAACCATGGGGTTACTTTAAAGTTTAATCAACATGAGGGGGGTGTGAAGAAGCACTCTCAGTCAGTGTCGGTGAGAATATAATTTATAGATTGTTGGTAGGAATGTAAATTGGTGTGAACTCTAGAGAGTAATCTGGGAATATCTGTGAGAATTAAAAATGCATGAATCTATGCCTTTGTCCTAGCAGTCCTCTCTCTCTAGGAATTCATCTTTTAGATACATATGCATGTAAGCAAAGTAATTTTAGAGAGATCCATAGCGGAATCATTTATAATAGCAAAAAATTGGAAATAACTTAATTATCCATGGGTAGGAGATTGGTGAAATTATAATAAAGCCTTCTGTTGGAATTTTATATAGCTGTTAAAAAGAAGGGAGCAGCTCTATAGATAGAATATAGAAGGAACCTCAAGTTATGTTCATGAAAAAGCAAGGTTCAGAACAAAGGGAGCTATTGTTTGTGTGAGAAAAATAATCAGCTTCTACATACATGTGCATTTTCACATATACATAGAATACCCCTGCAAGAACACACAAGAAACTGCTAATTGTTGTCTCCGAGATGAGGAACTGGAATAGAGGAGTAAGAGGGAAACGTAGTTCTTATGTTACATCCTTTTGTATTATTTGAATTATTTTTACCTACTTTAACGATTTTAAAAGTTTATGGTAAGCTTTAATATTAAATTGCTTTTGATTTTCCAAATTAGTAACATTTCATTTACTGGCTAGTGAACTAAAAAAGTTTGAGAAAATGTATACCTATACTCTATGTACCATTAGAAAGATACTATCAGCCTCATTTCTTTCTCCCTTTTAATAGCTCACGGACACAGACCTAATTAAACAGTGTATAGATGAATGCACAGCCAGGATTGAAATTGGACTGCATTACAAGATTCCTTACCCAAGGCCAGTAAGTGTGACTCCGGTTAACAAGTGCTGGGTACTTACCCTCATCAACCTGGTTATTTCCAAGAATGTGTAACAAGAGGGCGAGTGCTTGCTGAGAAGCCCAGAGCTGCTGTGGGAGGCATGTTGGAAATAAGCTATCATTGCATGCTGCCAGCCCATCACAACAAAGTAAAATGTCAATGAATGCATGACGTATCCTGCTTACATAGCTTTCCACGTATGGAAGGGAAAACCAGCTCACACTGTAGAGCTTTTTCTCTTTTCACTTTCATCTTTTTTATGGAAATGTGTTTAATTATAAAAGGCAGGTTTGTTGTTACTAAAAGAATAAAGTTCAAACATGAAAGGAATGCATAAAGTAGAAAGTAAAAATGGTCAAAAATTCTCATCCAGGCTAGGCACTGCGGCTCATGCCTATAATCCTAGCACTTTGGGAGGCCAAGGCAGGAGGATCACTTGAGGTTAGGAGTTTGAGACCAGCCTGGGCAACACAGTGAGACCCCATTGCTATACAAAATTTAAAAATTAGCCAGGCATAGTGACACACTCCTGTATTCCCAGCTACTTGGGGAACTGAGGTGGGAGAATTGCTTCAGCCCAGGAGGTTGAGGCAGCAGTGACCCATGATCACACCACTGCGCTCCAGCCTGGGTGACAGAGTGAGACCCTGTCTCAAAAAATAAATAAAACTTAAATTTATATATATAAATTTAAAATAAAAAAATTATATAAACTTAATACATTCAGAAAGTTAAGAAACAAAATAAATTTCAAATTTATATGAATTTAAAATAATAAATGTATATAAATTTATGTTTTCTTAAATTCTTTCATACCATAAATTTAAAACAATAATTTAATTTAAAAGAAGTTTTATTTATTTATTTATTTGTGGAGACTGAGTCTTCGCTTCATCACCCAAGCTAGGTACAGTGGTACAGTCATGGCCCACTGCAGCCTTGACCTCCCAGGCTAAAGTGATTCTCCCACCTCACTTCCCCAAGTAGCTGGGACTACAAGCATGTGCCACCACGCCCAGCTAATGTTTTAATTTTTTGTAGAGATGGAGGTCTCACTGTGTTGCCCAGGCTGGTCTTGAACTCCTGGGCTCAAGCAATCCTCCCACCTCAGCCTCCCAAAGCTCTGGGATAACAGGCATGAGCCACCGTGCCTGGCCAGAAATCTTTTTTGTTTGTTCGTTTTTTTGGAGACAGAGTCTTACTCTGTCGCCCAGGCTGGAGTGCAGCATGATTTCTGCTCACTACAACCTCTGCCTTCCCAGTTCAAGTGATTCTCATTCCTCAACCTCTCGAATAGGTGGAACTACAGTCGTGCACCACCACACCCAGCTAATTTTTTGTATTTTAATAGAAACAGGGTTTCACCATGTTGCCCAGGCTGGTCTTGAACTCCTGAGCTTAGGCAATCTGCCCACCGTGGCCTCCAAAAGTGCTAGGATGACAGGCGTAAGCCACTGCGCCCAGCCCAAATTTCTTAAAAAAAAAAAAAAAAAAAAAAAATTTCTCATTGTGCAGAGGGTGAACACTTTAACTGTTAAATGGAAAATTGCCAATATTCAACTCTTTTAGCTACAAAAACAGCAATTTTATATTGTAGTGGCTCAACCTAATTAGTTTGGTAGTATACCCTTTTAGTCTTTTTTTCTGTATTCATGTACCTACATTTTCTTTACATATGTAGGATTCTGGATATAATGTTATACTGCGTACTTATTTTACTTCATGTCTTCTGCACATCTTTGTATGTAGCTCTCCCTCAATCTTTTTTTTTTTTTGAGACAGAGCCTCACTCTGTCACCCAGTCTGGAGTGCAGTGACGCAATCTTGGCTCACTGCAGCCTCCTGGGTTCAAGGGATTCACCTGCCTCAGCCTCCTGAGTAGCTGGGATTACAGATTACAGGTACACCACCACACCCACCTAATTTTTGTATTTTTAGTAGTAACAGGGTTTCACCATGTTGGCCAGGCTGGTCTCGAACTCCTGGCCTCAAGTGATCCGCCTGCCTTGGCCTCCTAAAGTGCTGGGATTATAGGTATGAGCCACCACGCCCAGCCCAATCTTTTTTAAATGATTGCATTGTATGCTATTGTAAGAATGTGCCATTGTGTTAGGGTTCTTCAAAGAAACAGAACCAGTAGAATGAAGATATGTACATCTAGGGACAGCTAGATGTATATGTGAAGAGATTTATTATGAGGAATTGGCTCTCTATTTATCTAGACAGAGATACATCTAGATACGCCTGAAAGGAGTTTTTTTGGTTCTTTTTTTTTAGACGGAGTCTCGCACTGTCACCCGGGCTGGAGTGCAGTGGCACGATCTCGGCTCACTGCAACCTCCACCTCCTGGGTTCAAGCGATTCTCCTGCCTCACCCTCCCAAGTAGCTGGGATTACAGGCCCCCGCCACCATGCCAGCTAATTTTTTGTACTTTTAGTAGATATAGGGTTTCACTATGTTGGCCAGGCTGGTCTCAAACTCCTGACTTGGTGATCCGCCCACCTCAGCTTCCCAAAGTGCTGGGATTACAGGCGTGAGCCACTGTGCCCGGCTGAAAGGAGATTTATTATAAGGAATTGGTGCATGTGATTATAGAGGCTGAGAAGTCCTAGGATTTGCCGTCTGCAAGCTGGAGACCCAGAAGAAAGCTGGTGGTATTACTCAGTTTGAGTCCACAGGCCTGAGAACCCAAGGGGCCAATGGTAGAAATCCCCAGTCTGAGGCCCAGAGAAGATGAGGTGTCCCAGCTCAAACAGGCAGGAAGCAAAAGGAGCCGCTTCCCCTTCTTCTGCCTGTTTGTTCTATTCAGGCCCTCCATGGATTGGATGATGCCCATTCACACTGGGGAGGGCCATGTGCTTTACTAAGTCCACTGATTCAAATGCTAATCTCATCCAGAAACACCCTCACAGATACACCTAGAAATGATGTTTAATCTGGGCACCCATTGCCAATCAGATTGACACAAAAATTAAGCATCCTAGGCCAGGCACGGTGGCTCATGCCTGTAATCCCAGCACTATGGGAGGCCAAGGCAGGTGGATCACTTGAGGTCAGGAATTCGAGACCAGCCTGGCTAACATGGCAAAACCCCATATCTATTAAAAATACAAAAATTAGCCGGGCGTGGTGGCGAGCACCTATAATCCCAGCTACTCGGGAGGCTGAGACAGAGAATCACTTGAACCTGGGAGGCCGAGGTTGCAGTGAACTGAGATCATGCCACTGCACTCCAGCCTGGGTGACAGAGTGAAACTGTGTCTCAAAAAAAAAAAAAAAGAAAGAAAGAAAAATTAACCATCCCAGCCATAATTTAACCAGCCCCTCTCTTGCTAGGCAGTTAGTTTGATCCCAGTTTTCTACTATGCACAGAACATCTTTATATACACACACTTTTCTCCCCTTCTTTGGATTCTCAACTTGCTATGTGATCCATGCTCGTTTTTTCTCCTCTATGCAGGCGATATAGCAAAGAGCACAGGCTCTGGAATCTGACAGATCTGGGTTCAAATCCTGGCTTCCCTTCTTAATGTATAACCTTAAGCAAGTTTTTTAACTTCTCTGAGGTTTCATTTCCTCATCTGTAAATATTAGAATAATAATCCCTTATGAGGTTGTTGTAGGATTAACTTGTGTAAAGATTAATGAATCAATGTAGATACAGCACTTAGCAGAGAATATGGTACTTTCTGAGTAGATCCTCAGTGAATATGAGCTGCTGCAATGATGATGAATATGATTCTTCATATTATTGTTCTTATTCAGATTCATCTGCCTCCAATGGGCCTTACCCCACTCCGAGGCCGGGGACTTCGAAGCCAAGAGAAACTGAGGAAACTTTCCAAACCAGTATATCTCAGATCTCATGATGAAGTTTCCTAATCTAGAGGAAAGTTTATTTCTGCAAATGATGAGCCAACTAGTTATTGAATGTAAACCAGATGGCAAAACACTTCTTGATTAGGGGCAAAAATTCAAATGTCTTCTTAAAACCTCCACAATTGATTCTCCCCCTGTGATGTAAACTTAGATATCCCTAGAGTTTCTCAGCATCTTTCTTCCTGAGTGGATGGCATTATCCCTAGAGGTCATGGACCTTACATCCTCACTGCAGTCACCTTTGGAAACAAGACCGAGGCCTGTAGAAGGAAAGCGGAAGGATGTAAGAGCTGTTCATGGGAATTCCATTCACCACACATGCCAGCTGATGCAAAGAAATTTGCCAGTCACTGGAAGTTACTGTGGCTACTATAAAACTATGTACCACTCTCAGAATATTCTTAGGCTTTTTTTTTTTCAAGTTATAGATTTGCTTAAAGTGAGGTTTTTTGGTGTGTGCTTTTTTGTTGTCTTTTGACCCTTCCAGTTTCCAGACAAACTTGTCTTAAAAAGTGCATCATTGGATTGACCATGGTTTTTCATGAAATTTTATGAGATTTCTGCCTTAACAAAATGCATATATTCCTTATCTTAAAGCCTGTCATTACTTAGGATGCACTTATAGGATCTGAAAAGCTCACTTTAAACTCATACTACATTCGTTACGAGTATTTTACGTTAACATAATTGAAAAGTACAAGGTCCAAGCTGGCTTTCAAATTATGTCTAAACAGAAATGGGACAAATAGACTTGAAAATAGAAGGGATTTATTCCACCCCTGCAAGGGTAGAGTCAGGTGAGAGTCCCTTGGTGAGTCATTTGTACATCAGTGTCATTTCTTCTTAACCTCTGAAGAAGATGGGCATCAGAAATAAAGACAAAGCACTATCAATTTTTGTCTGTCTATTCTTTTTCAAAATGGACTCCTGACCCTCAGAAGAAATAGCTGGAACCTACTCCTATGAGGAAGAGCACACGTTTTCACACTCACTCAAGGTAACTTATCACAGGGTTTGGCAATAACGTAGGGAACAAATATGATGCTGTATCAGTGGAGTAATAGTATATGTATATATATAAAATTTTTTTTTTTGAAACGGAGTTTTGCTCACATTGCCCAGGCTGGAATGCAATGGTGCAATCTCAGCTCACCGCAACCTCTGCCTCTTGGGTTCAAGCAATTCTCCTGCCTCAGCCGCTCGAGTAGCTGGGATTACAGGCATGTGCCACCATGCCTGGCTAATTTCGTATTTTTAGTAGAGACGGGGTTTCTCCATGTTGGTCAGGCTGGTCTTGAACTCCTGACCTCAGGTGATCCGCCCGCCTCAGCCTCCCAAAGTGCTGGGATTACAGGCGTGAGCCACCACGCCAGGCCTCAGTGTGTGCATATTTAACACAAATGCAACTAGTACACTTTGTGCTGCTATAATGGAATATCTAACACTAGGTACTTTATGAAAAACAGAGATTTATGTCTTAACAGTGCTGGAGGCCAGGAACTACAAGATTGAGGAGTCTGCACCTGGTGAGGGCCTTCTTGCTGTGTCGTTATAAGGCAGAAGGCATCACATGGTGAGAGAGAGTGAGAGAGGGCCAAACTCACTTTTATAACAAACCCAGTCTCGTGATAATGAACTCACACCTGCCATTATGACATTCATTCATGAGGGCAGAGCTCTCATGATCTAATCCCCTCTTAAAAGCCCTACTTCTCAACACTGTTGCAATGGTGATTAAGTTTCCAACACATGAACTTCAGACGACACATTTAAATCATAGCATTCTATCCCTGGCCCCCAAAACTCATGTCATTCTCACATGCAAAATACATTCTATCCCAGTAGCCCAGAAGTTTCAACTTGTTTCAGTGTCAACTCAAAAGTCCAAATTCCAGACTGATCTAAATCAGATATGGGTGAGGCTCAAGGCACAATTCATCCTGAGGTAAATTTCCCTCCAGCTGTGAGCCTGTTTTATCTACTACCAGGATACAATTGCAGGACAGGCATCAAATAGGCATTCCCATTCCAAAAGGAAGAAATAGGCAAGAAGAAAGGGGTAACTTCCCAAGTGAGTGTAAAACCCAAGATAGAAAACAATATCAAATCTTAAGATAGGCCAGACATGGTGGCTCACGCCTGTAATCCCAGCACTTGGGGAGGCCGAGGCAGGTGGATCACGAGGTCAAGAGATCAAGACCATCCTGGCCAACATGATGAAACCCTGTCTTTACTAAAAATACAAAAAATAGCTGGGTGTGGTGGCACACACCTGTAATCCCAGCTACTCGGGAGGCTGAGTCAGGAGAATTGCTTGAACCCAGGAGGTGGAGGTTGCAGTGAGCCAAGATCACGCCACTGCACTCCAGCCTGGCAACACAGCGAGACTCCATCTCAAAAAAAAAACAACAAAAAAAAAAACTGAAGATATCAGAATACTCATCTTTGACTGCATGTCCTAAATCCTGGGCACACTGGGGTAGGAAATTGGCCCCCCAAGGCCTCAGGCAGCTGGACTCGGTCTATGCAGCATCTCTCATGGGTTGGAATCTCATGCCTGCAGCTATCTCAGGCTGGAGTTACACACTGGCGGCCTTACAGTTTGGGGCCTCAAGAACTGCCCCACTCTCATGGCTCCACTAGCCATTGCCCTAGTGGGGACTCTGAAATGGCCCTGCCCCTGTGACAAATGTCTTCCTGAGTCCCCAGACTGTCTGCAACATCCTTTGAGATGGAGGTGGAGCCTGCCAAGGCACCACAGCACTTGTTTTCTGTGCACCTGTAGAATTAGCATCACATGGATGCTGCCAAGGTTCACGGCTTGTACTTTTACAAAAATTATCTTTTTAATTGACACATTGTATCTAAACAGAAATGGGACAAATTGTACATTATAATTGTATATATTTATAGGGTGCAATTTGATGTTTCAATACATATATATATATATATATAATGATACTGATCTACAGCTTGTACTTTCTGGAGTGGCAGGACCCATGTGGGCCCATTTGAGCCATGGCTGGGGCAGCTGAGCTTGGAATTTATCTGCACCTCTCTGGAAACCTTGCCCTCAAGGTCCTAGCTTGCCTCAAAGATCTCTGAAATGCCTTTGGGGTTATTTTCCCATTGTCTTGATGAATAAACCCTGGCTTCCTTCTACTCATATTAATCTCTTTTAAAAGGGCTGCTTGACCAAACCCTTAATTTTCTCTACTGAACATGCTTTTTAAAAATTCTTTAAATCCAGGCACAGTGGCTCATGCCTGTAATCCCAGCACTTTGGGAGGCCGAGGTGGGTGGATCACCTGAGATCAGGAGTTCGAGATCAGGCCAACACGGCAAAACCCCGTTTCTACTAAAAATACAAAAATTAGCTGGGCGTGGTGGCGGGTGCCTGTAATCCCAGATACTTGGGAGGCTGAGGCAGGAGAATCGCTTGAACCCAGGAGGCAGAGGTTGCAGTGAGCAGAGATCATGCCACTGCATTCCAGCCTGGGCAACAGGCTGAGAATTTTCCAAATCTTATTCTGCTTCCTTTTTCATCACACATTCCATCTTTAAGTCATTTCTTTCTTCTCTCATTTTACTATAAGCCACCAAAAGAAGCCATTCAAAGCCTTGAATGCTTTGCTGCTTAGATATTTTTTTTTTTTTTGCCAGATATGTTCATCACTCTTAAGTTCTGCCTTCCACAAAGTCCTAGGACATAGACATGGTTCCACCAAGTTATTAGCAACTGTATAACAAAGATGGACTTTACTCCAGTTTCTAATACCTTGTTCCTCATTTCCATCTGAGACCTCATCAGAATGGTCTTTACTATCCAATTTTCTACCAACATTTTGATCACAACAACTTAAGTAGTCTCTAAAAGATTTAGGCTCCTACTACAGCTCCCGTCTTCTGAGCCCTCACCAGAATTGCCCTTAATGCTCCATTCACAGCAACCTAGGCTTTTTCTAGCCTGCTCCTCCAAATTCTTCCAGCCTCTACCCATTACCCAGTTCCAAAGCTGCCTCCACATTTTCAGGTTCTTGTTATTGCAGCAGCCCTACTTCTTGGTACCAATTTTCTGTCTTAGTTCATTTCGTGCTGCTGTAACAGAATACCTGAGACTGGGTAATTTATAAAGAACAGAGATTTCTCTCTTACAGTTCTAGAGGCCACGAAGTCCAAATTTGAGGAGCCCACATCTGGCGAGGGCTTTCTTTCTGTGTCATCATATGGCAGAAGTCATCACATGGTGAAAGACAGTGAGAGAGAGAGCTGAACTTTTATTTTTTAATTTTTATTTATTTATTTTTTTCCTCTGATAACAGAGTTTTGCCCTTGCTGCCCAGGCTGGAGTGCAATGGCACGATCTCAGCTCACTGCAACCTCTGCCTCCTGGGTTCAAGCAATTCTCCTGCCTCAGCCTCCCAAACAGCTGGGATTACAGGCGCCTGCCACTACACTCGGCTAATTTTGTGTGTGTGTGTGTGTGTTTTGTTGTTTTTTTGTTTGTTTGTTTTCTTGACAAGTCTCGCTCTGTCACCCAGGCTAGAGTGCAGTGGCGCGATCTCGGCTCACTGCAAGCTCCGCCTCCTGGGTTCAGGCCATTCTCCTGCCTCAGCCTCCCAAGTAGCTGGGACTACAGGCGCCCACCACTACGCTTGGCTAATTTTTTTTTTTTTTTTTTTTTTTTTGCATTTTTAATAGAGACGGGTTTCACTATGTTGCCCAGGCTGGTCTCGAACTCCTGACCTCAGATGATCCACCTGCCTCGGCATCCTGCAGTGCTGGGATTACAGGAGTGAGCCACTGCGCCCGGTCTGAACTGACTTTTATAACAAACCCACTCTGGCAATAACATTATCTGTGACCTCCTGACCTAATCACCTCCTAAAGGTTGCACTTCTCAACACTGTTGCTTGGGGATTTTCTAACACATAAACTTTGGGGGATACATTCAAACCACAGCAAAGCCTTTGGTGAAAAGAGACAGAGAAATGTAAATATGCTGGCAGGTGTTCTGGCCTTCCCATGGCCATTCAGTGAGCACATAGCCCAGCCTAGCTTGAATTGAGAGACATGAATCTGCTGTTCCTTCAGCCACTCTCCTTCCAGCTGGTCTCATTGTAGAGGCATTTCCCTGTCCAGAGATGGTTCTAATGTCTAAAATTAATTGTTTCCCATGCAACATAGGGCTTATGAAATCAAGCCAACTACTTCATCTGGTGGTCAGCCAGTGAAACCCATCTGTTTCTGCTTGGAGGAAAAACTGGCTGTGCTGGACCAAGTGAGACATGTCTCTCATCTCCATCATGGGAGATGGGAAAGTTCCTTTCTAAGTAACTCAAGGTGATTTTAATTATTTGCATTTTTGCCTTACTCTACTGAGTGTAGAAATCAGCCTTCTCACCCAGCCTTTTCAGGATGAAAGTCCATCTCATTGCTAGCCAGCCTTTGAGCATCTTCCATTTGCCTTAGTGTGAATTTTACATGCCTAGCCCCTTTGCAAACATGTGTATACTGTTACACAAAAGCATAATTGTCAATTTACTCTCAAACCTTCCATGTAACCTGTGTTCTGTTCTTAATAGTATTTTCCTCACTTTCTCTCCAAAACTATAAAATCCCCATCTTGAGTCTCTCAAAGGCAGAACCCACCTTCCCTACATCCCCACCTTCAATGTAATTATCTTCCAACACTGATAAGGACTGAACCTAACTGCTTACCCAAGAGCTAGATTTTTTTTTTTTTTTTGAGACAGAGTTTCACTGTTGTCACCCAGGCTGGAGTGCAGTGGCACAATCTTGGCTCACTGCAACCTCCACCTCCCAGGTTCAAGCAATTCTCGTGCCTCAGCCTCCTGAGTAGCTGGGATTACAGGCGCCCGCCACCACACCCAGCTAATTTTTGTATTTTTAGTAGAGACGACGTTTCACCATGTTGGCCAGGCTAGTCTTGAACTCCTGACCTCAGGTGATCCGCCTGCCTCAGCTTCTCAAAGTGCTGGGATTACAGGAGTGAGCCACCGCACCCGGCCCCCAAGAGCTAGATTTTTAAAGAACAAGGACTAGCTTGGTGACAAGGTTTGTCTGATGTCATCTGCTGAGCTATTTATAGGCAAGGCCTGCAGCTTCTCACCGAGCTGATCTCTGGCCATCTCTTCCCCAGGACTCCAGCCTCTAACTCACCATGATTTCTGAATAGCATATTGCTCTTTCACAGGAGGAGACATTAACTACCACATTGGCCCGAATAGAAAATGACCTCAAATTTCAAGCAGTCTTTCTCTTCAAAGTAGAGAACATTTTTTAAATTACAAAAATTTAATCCATCATATGAAAACAGTCTGTCCCTTGACCCCTGAGGAATGAGACCAGTCCCTGCCTCCCTCAGCTTTTTGTTGCTGAAGCTGTGGTTGGAGAACTATAATTAAAATTCAGTTGTTCTCTTAGCAACCCCCTCACTGACAGCTCCTTTACAGCTTGCGTTGTGATTTACCTACCAGTCCAAGAATCAGGGATTTGAGATCCTGACCATCCTTCTATCCAAAATGACTAACAATCTTATTTGGAACAATAGGATAGTTCCAGCTATCTGTTCATTCTGATTTTTCCCCCATTGGAGAACATTTATATTTCTTTCTTGAAAAAATAGCTTTTGACCGGGTGCAGTGGCTCATGCCTGTAATCCCAGCACTTTGGGAGGCCAAGATGGGTGGATCACTTGAGGTCAGGAGTTTGAGACCACCCTGGCCAACATGGTGAAACCCTGTCTCTACTAAAAATATAAAAAAATTAGCCAGGCATGGTGGCAGGCACCTGTAATCCCAGCTACATGGGAGGCTGAGGCAGGAGAATTGCCTGAACCTGGGAGGCGAAGGTTGCAGTGAGCCAAAATTGTGCCACTGCACTCCAGCCTAGGTGAGAGAGCAAGACTGTCTCAACAACAACAAAAAAGAAATCAAAGACCCTGATTCAAAACATTTCTTCTAGTGAAGAGGCAGAGAAGCCAAGGCCAGACACATGAAAACCCCCAAACAGTCTCATGTCTTTGCTCAACTACGAAGTGACCAAGACAGGGCCCTGAAATAAGCCACTTAGTGCCACAAGACTACATGAGAGAGTTAGTGAAGAAGTAATGCATCAAGAATGTGATTTTTATCTCCCTCAAGAGTCTCTTCCAGCTGGCCCTGGGGAGAAACAAGTGATTGAAATTTCTTGGACATAGTTGTGTAGTTGGAGCTACACATCTCTTCTAAGATTCTACATCAAAACAGAGCCAAGTCCTTGGCAGGGAGGCAGCGTGTGGCGGTGAAAAATGCATGGGTTCAAGAGCCAGACCAGCACAAACCAGGCTTTGCAGTGTGAAAAAGCTGAGCGATTTTAGGGACGATAATCTCTCTGAACCTCCAAGGGAGAGGACAGGCCTTCCCACCACAGAGGATCAAGTGAGAAATCTAAAGGCCTGGGCACAAAGCATGGCATATAGTAGGCATGCAATAAAGATTGCTTCTCTCACCTCCCCTTTCCTCGGGAAATTTCCACCCATCTGTGCAGGCTAGTAGAGAAACAATTGCGTCCCAGTTCTATCACTGACTAGCTGTGGAACTTTGGGCTAGTTTTCTAAATCTCTGCATTTTCCTCTGTAAAGTGGAGATAATGATAACACCTCCCATCTAAGATTGTTGTGAAAAGTGCATTTTATTTTTTGCCCTTAAATACCAAAAAGAGTCCATTTTAAATGTATCAAGGGGCTTAGCAAATAAAAGTGGCCCAAACCTCTGTCAACCTTTGAGAGGCCTTGGTGGTCTCCCTTATGGATAGACTAGGAAAGAAGTGATTGAAATTCAATGACAGTTACAGCAAAATAAAAAGAAAAAAAATAAGACTGGGTGCGATGGCTCACGACTGTAATCCCAGCACTTTGGGAGGCCAAGGCGGGCGGATCACTTGAGGCCAGGAATTCGAGACCAGCCTGGCCAACATAGCAAAACCCCGTCTCTACTAAAAGTGCAAAAATTAGCCAGGCATGGTGGTGCACACCTGTAATCCCAGCTATTTGGGAGGCTGAGGCACGAGAATCACTTGAACCTGGGAGGCGGAGGTTGCAGTGAGCCGAGATTGTGCCACTGCACTCCAGCCAGGGCAGCAGAGCAAGAAACTGTCTCAGAAGAAGAAAATCACCATAAGGGAGCTTAGCCAACTGACCAAGAGTCTGTGTTGAAGAGTCCCACTGCCTGTATTCAGATACTACTTGAGTAGCTATCTGATTTGGGGGAGATTACTTATCTTCTCTGTATCATGGTTTCTGCAGCCATAAAATGAGGATAATAATAATAATGTACTTTATAGAGTTGCTAGGAAATACCTGGCTCATAGCAATTGCTTTATTAATATAATTGTCATCAACATCATCACCACCACCATCATCAAGAATGAAATGCCTTCGTTCTCACTCATAGGTCGGAATTGAACAATGAGAACACTTGGACACAGGAAAGGGAACATCACACACCTGGGCCTGTCGTGGGGTGGGGAGGGTGGGGGGGGAAGGATAGCATTAGGAGATACACCTAATGTAAATGATGAGTTAATGGGTGCAGCACACCAACATGGCACATGTATACGTATGTAACAAACCTGCACGTTGTGCACATGTACCCTAGAACTTAAAGTATAATAATAAAATAAAATAAAAAGAATGAAATGCCTTTTGGCCAGGCGCGGTGGCGCCTGTAATCCCAGCACTTTGGGAGGCCAAAGGGGGAGTGGATTGCCTGAGCTCAGGAGTTCGAGACCAGCCTGGGCGACATGGCAAAAGCCCTGTCTCTACTGAAAATACAAAAAAATAGCCTGGCATTGTGGTGTGTGCCTGTAATCCCAGCTACTCAGGAGGCTGAGGCACGAGAATCACTTGAACCTGGAAGGCGGAAGGTGCAGTGAGCTGATTTCATGCCACTGCACTCCAGCCTGGGTGACAGAGCAAGACTGTCTCAAAACAAAAAGAATGAAATGCTTTTTATTTTCTGTCTTGAGACAAATGCCATCAGTTATCCAGCTGGCACAGTGAGGCCACCCCTCGGTTTATCCAGTGCTTCTGGGGCATGTCTGTTGGAAGCTCAATGGAGAGGACATAGTTGGTAGAGTGGCCTGTGGTGGAGAGGGTTCCTCTGCGGGCACTTGTTTTGTAGACTGGACACACATAGATGTCCTGATGCAGAAACATTGCGCTCTCCCCAGGTTTCAGCCAAATGATGGGCAGTGGGTCATAGAGGATTTTGGGGAGAGATTCCCCAATCTGCATCGTTTTCCTGTCCCAACGGGCACCTTCTAAGAAGAGCCCTTTGATGTAGGCCCCATCTTCGGGGTTATTCTCCATCACTGTTTCTTGTGGGGTTACCTGGAAGAATAAAAAGCTATGAGCTCCATTGCCTGCCATTTTCCTACATGGGCAGCTTTAAGAGCCTGGAATCTTCTGATACTCAAAGTGCAACCTGGTTGCAATATCTACCTCTCCCAGGATCCAGGGACAATGGGGCTTCTGTGATAATATTCCTGCCCACCATACATGGGCCAGGCCTGACTCCTGGTCAGTATGCTGCCCTTCCCAATGGTGGGCTAGAGAATGCACTCAAGTAGGAGTCACATTATTCTAACACATTACCTCTAACTAGCTTAGTGATTGCACAATCCCTTCCCTTTCTGGATCTGGATTTATAAAGTGAGGGGTTAGATTCAGATACAGAGACAGACTGGATAAACAGTTCTGGAGATGAGTGTGGGGAGAATAAAGCCTTGATTTCTAGTTTTTGTGGTATAAAGACTTCCACCATGGTCAATTTCAGCCTACCAACTATTTAACAACCAGCTCACAAAATTCCTGAAAATGTAACAGTTGGCCCTGGTGAGCTGATATGAGTGAGCTCCAGCACACCACTGCTTAGATTCAGAGGTGGTAAACTCAAATTCCTTTAGGTAATTGCAGAAAATGGACAAAGCATAGGAGAATAGGGAGGGGTGGGGATTATGGTGAACCAGAGAGCACAAACTCCATTTAAAATCATTCAAATTATACTTTAAAAAATTTTTATGGTGAATGGAATTTTTTCCCATTTCTAATTCTAAGTATATATTGGAAGAATAGGAAAAGGCTATTGATTTTTATAAATTTAACCAATATCCAGTGACCTTGTGAATTCTTCTACAGATGCTCCTCAACTTACAATGGGGTTATGTCCTGATAAACCCATCATAAGTTGAACATATTGTAAGCCAAAACTGCATTTAATATACCTAACCTACAACAAATATCATAGCTTAGCCTAGCCTCCCTTAAATGTGCTTAGAACACTTACATTAGCCTATAGTGGGCAGGAATCATCTAACACAAAGTCTGTTTTATAGTAAAGTGTTGAGTATCTTATGTAATTTATCAAATACTATACTAAAAGTGAAAAATGGAATGGGTGTATGGGTACTCAAGGTGTGGTTTCTCCTGAATGTGTACTGATTTCACATCATGAAGTCAAAAAATTGTAAGTTGAACCATTGCAAGTAAAGGACTCTATGTTTTTAATCACTTCGGATTTCTAGGTATACAATCATTTCAACATCAAGAAAGATGGTTTTATCTTTTTTTCAATGTTTATCCTAGTCATTTTTTTTCTTGTTGTATTTATTTTGGCTTAACATTGTCTTCAAAGGCTAATCAAGTTAAGTTCATTCATAAACTGATTTAAGACATAGGGCAACCAGTTTGTGACCTCTGGACTAGATGATTTCAAAGGATCTTTCCGTATAATTTAAAATTCTACAATGCTCTGTAACAGTCAATCGTAGCCATTCTACTCTCTATATATGACAGGCTGATGCTTGACTGTTGGCCATGCTTTTAACTTTACTCCAAGCAAAGGACTACCTAAGGGCATTAACATTCTTGTAAATGAAGAGTCCACCACATTGAACAAACAGAGTGGGAGAGTGCCTTCATTTTTCTTGGTGTTCTGACGGAATCTGGAAAGATTCCCTTTTTGTATACACAGAGACAAAGCATTGGGAATCCTCTAATTATTTTAGGAGTAGCTTTTAGAGCTACTGTAAATTATGCTAAATGCTTCATATGTACCATTTCAGAAGCATTTGGGTCTTAACACATCCACATTTTTTGACTCATAAGGAAATTGGCAACATTGCTTTCTCTGGTCAGCCCCTTGAGTGAGCCTAACCCAAAGCACCCCTACCTCAAACTCAAATCCAATGTGGTCAATGGGGATGGTATATTTCCGGGCATAATTTTGAGAGACGCCAGTCAAAAAAGACTGTGTGAAGTAGAATCCAGAGATCCAAAATACCACAGGGGGCCCCTTGTCAATCCATTCCTGGAGAGCCACAGAAATCAAGATTCAAAATCAACAACACATCAAAGATAGTTCAAATGCAAGTAATGTAACGAGTACCATATAAAATATGTTTTTTCATATTTTTCTTGAAACAGCCCTCTTGGTTTAGCTTCTATCTTCCCACTTTTGAAATAAGGGTACAAAGAAATATATTTACACTTTAAGAAACGCCTAGGTACTACAAAAATTAGCCAGGCGTGGTGGTGGGCACCTGCAGTCCCAGCTGCTTGGGAAGCTGAGGCAGGAGAATCGCTTGAACCCAGGAGGCAGAGGTTGCAGTGAGCCAAGATCATGCCATTGCACTCCAGCCTGAGTGACAAGAGTGAAACTTCATCTCAAAAAAAAAAAAAAAAGCCCAGGTGCAAGCTGATATCAGGGATACAACAGAGAGTGGTGGGGACTGTAGCAGTGGAGAATATGTACCTTGTCTAAACTGAGCAGCTGCCACTCATCTCCAGCAATAGTCGCCATGCCATGCGAGAACGCAGGTGCATTGTTTCAGGTCTTCTATTTTTTGCAGTACAAACATCGGATTTTTATATGTAAAAAATCAATGTTTACATGCTGGCTCAAAAATGTTTAAATTACCAGGTAGCCAAACCAAACATAATTATTGTCCAAATCTATCTCATGAGCCACCAGTTTGTGACATTTTTTTTCTTTTTAGACGGAGTCTTGCTCTGTCGCCCAGGCTGGAGTGAAATGGCGTGATCTCGGCTCACTGCAACCTCTGCCTCCCAGGTTCAAGCCATTTTCCTGCCTCAGCCTCCCAGGTAGCTGAGACTACAGGCATAAGCCACTATGCCCTGCTGATTTTTTTGGTATTTTTAGTAGAGACGGGGTTTCACCATGCTGGCCAGGCTGGTGTCGAACTCCTGACCTCAAGTGATCCGCCTGCCTCGGCCTCCCAGAGTGCTGGCAATACAGATGTGAGCCACTGCGCCCGGCCGGCTATAATCTTTTCCAGGACTTTCAAGTCTCCCTCCTGCTTCTAACTCCAGGAAGACTGTTTCCAGAGGCTCAATCCAGGATGTTCTGTGGCTGCCTGCCCTCCTCCCCCTGCCTCTAGTCTGCCATTTCAGAATGTCCTCTCCACCTAAGCAAGCATGCCAGGTTCCCGGTTACCCCTGACTCCCAGGTACCTGGAAGAAGGTCAGGCGGGCCAGCAGGTCAGCCACGTAGCCCCCCAGAGGCTTCAGTGATGGGTAAGACTTGGCTGCCCACATGGCTGGCACTTTACCCACAAGCATGCTGTTAAAGACTTCCTCTAGCTCCGAGGACATCAGGACCTGTCCTTTGATGGCTCGGCCAAGATTGATGAGGCTCCTCCGAACCACTTTGGTCAGCCTGCAAGAACAGAGGAGCTGGCTGAGCTGGGCTCTCCGGTGGCCACATTCTACCCAAGTCCACTGACTGCTGTCCCCTTTAAAATGTCAGTTAATTAATGCACAGTCATTAAATGAGGAAAAATTAAATCACCCGTTACCTTGCTACCTAAAGATAACGTTGATGTATATCTTTCCAGATTTTTCTCTATGTGAACACAAATTATTTTTAATGAGATCATACTATATTATCTTTCCGTAATCTGTTTTTCTTTCTTAGCATATAGGAAACATCTTTCCAATTCAATAGAGACCTAAATTGTCCTTTTTTTCTTTTTTTTAGAGATGGGGTTTCACTCTGTCATTCAGGCTGGAGTAAGTAGTGAGATCAGAGCTCACTGCAGCCTCAAACTCCTGGGCTCAAGTGATCCTCCTGCCTCAGCCTCTGGAGTAGCTGGGACTACAGGTGTGCATCACCATGCCTGTCCTTTGTAACGACTGCAAAATGTTCCATTTTGTTTAACTATTCCTCTATTGTTGACGTGTTATTTCTAGATTGTTGTCACTATCAACAACATTGCTAGCAAAATTCATCCATCTCAATCTTTTTGCAAATTTTAAATTATTATTAAAAATATTTCTAGGTCAAAGAGCACGCACAGTTTTAAGGCTTTCAATTCATATTGTCAAAGTTGTTCTTTTTTTTTTTTTTTTTTTGAGACAGAGTCTTGCCCTGTCACCCAGGGAAGTGCAGTGGTGGAGTCATGGCTCACTGCAGCCTCGATCTCCCAGGCTCAAGGAATCCTCCCACCTCAGTCTCCTGAGTAGCTGGGACTACAGGCACATGCCACTATGCCCACCTGATTTTTTTTTAAGTAGAGACAAGGTCTCCCTATGTTGCCCAGGCTGGTCTCAAACTCCTAAACTCAAGTAATCCTCCCACCTCAGCCTCCCAAAGTGCTGGGATTACAGATGAGCTACCACGCCTGGCCAAAGGTCCTTTTTTATCGACTATAAGGTGCACGCCTGAGAAAAGGCAACTGAAGGGCAGCCTGGGAGATGTCAAATTCACCTGCCTCTCCCTCTGACCTTTATGTTACGAGGCCCAGCCAAGCCCGGAGGTAATTCACCTGAGGAGACCAAAGAATCTGCCACTACAAAGAGCTTTTCATCTCCAAAGCTTTATGGAATCTCAACTGAATGGACATGAGAATGATCACATGCAGGAAGAGGATTTCTGGATGTGTAACCACTAAACCATTGTATCAAGAGGAATGTAGCTGGGTGTGGGGGCTCACGCCTGTAATCCCAGCACTTTGAAAGGCAGAGGTGGGTGGATCACTTGAGGTCAGGAGTTTGAGACCAGCCTGGCCAACATGGTTAAACCCCGTCTGTACTAAAAATACAAAATTAGCTGAGCATGCGCGCCTGTAATTCCAGCTACTCAGGAGGCTGAGGCAGGAGAATCGCTTGAACCCAGAAGGTGGAGGTTGCAGTGAGCCGAGCTAAGATCACGCCATTGCACTCCAGCCTGGGCGACAAGAGTGAAACTCTGTCTCAATTAAAAAAAAAAAAAGGAATGTAAAATTCAGACATGTGTTTGCTAAGCAGTCAAGGGTAAAAGCTGCCATCTGAGGGATTACACCACAGACCTCTATTATACCTAAAGACCTACTTGCAAAGATTCTCTTTCTATTCTTGCAACTATGAGCTCTGCTAGTTTTAAGGTTTTAGTACCCAAGGAAAGAACACTTGCCCAGAAGACACAGTCACAGTTCCCCTGAAGCTGAACTGTCGCTGAATCATTCTGGGCTTCCTATATCACTGGGTGAAAAGGCAAAAAAAAAAAAAAAAAAGGGAAAGAAAAAAAATAGTGGGGAGGAACGTTAGAGTACTGCTTGAGATGATTAATCCTGACCATCATTGGAAAATAAGATTGCTTTCCCTGTTCTTTTTTTCTTTTGAGACAGGGTCTCATTCTCTTGCCCAGGCTGAAGTGCAGTGGCACAATCTTGGCTCACTGCAACCTCCACTTCCCAGGCCCAAGCAATCCTCCCTCCTCAGTCTCCTGAGTAGCTGGTTCTACAATGCCCAGATAATTTTATGTATTTTTGGTAGAGATGGGGTTTTGCCATGTTGCCCAAGCTGATCTCCAACTCCTGAGCAATCTGCCTGCCTCAGCCTCCTAAAGTGCTGGGATTACAGTGCTGGGTGGAGTGAGCCACGGCACCTGGCTTGCTGTCCTTTATAGAATGCCCAGTGGTGAAGGCCAGTGAAAGCCCCTGCAACCACCAAGAAAGAGCTCCAGTGGCCTTAGAGGAGAATGACAGCAGAGGAGGGAAGCCATTAGTTTTGGTGTCCAGTTGGACAGTCCAGGACTACAGTCCATCATGCCAAGGTGTCTCACAACAGAGGTGGCCTCGTCCTAGGCTCACACCCCATACCTTGCTTGGTCCCTGCTACGGCCAACTGCCTGTTGACTCTAAAGAGTAACCCTAGGCCGGGCACAGTGGCTTACACCTGTAATCCCAGCACTTTGGGAGGCCAAGGTGGGCGGATCACCTGAGGTCAGGAGTTCGAGACCAGCCTGGCCAACATGGCGAAATCCTGTCTCTACTAAAAGTACAGAAATTAGCTGGGCGTGGTGGCAGGCACCTGTAATCCCAGCTACTTGGGAGGCTGAGGCAGGAGAATCTCTTGAACCTGGGAGGTGGAGGTCGCAGTGAGCCGAGATCGCGCCACTGCACTCCAGTCTGGGTGACAAGAGTGAGACTCTGTCTCAAAAAAAAAAAAAAAAAAGTAACTTTAAAATTCAGGAAGCCTAACAACTCTCAAATAACACTCCTCCAGTCCCCTGGTCCTCTGGAATCAGGGCTGTCCTTAAAATGAAGCAGTGACCCAATGACACAGAATAGAGGCAGTAACACATGCAGTGTCTGGAGCAGCAAGACCTTGGTCTTGGAAGCAGAAGTGATAAGTTTTAGCCCACTTGGCTCTGAGTCACTTGAGACCTACATCAAATCACAGTCATCTCTGGACCTCAGTTTCCTCATCTGGCCTAGATGGTCTTTGATAACCCTTTCAGTTTTGACTATTCAAAAATCAAATCCAGGTGATCCCACTGGGCTCCATGCTGTAGTAACTGGAGAAGAGGACTAGAATACAAGGCCAGAGATCCTTGCCCCATGGCCAGCCTATAATACCCCTAACTGTGTGGTAGAGGCACTAGGATGAACGTCTCCCACCCCTTTCTAGATTTACCCAGATTTCACATATTGGATAAGTACACGGGCTCTGGAATCAGACTTAGTTCTGGGTTTAAACTGAGTTTTCCCGTTGAATGATTGAATAACTGAGCAACCTTGGGCAAGTCTTAACCCTTCTGAATCTCAGAGTTTTTTTTTATTTTCTTTAAGAGATGGGGTCT
This sequence comes from Homo sapiens, assembly GCF_000001405.40. NCBI lineage: Eukaryota > Metazoa > Chordata > Mammalia > Primates > Hominidae > Homo > Homo sapiens. The sequence goes on from NC_000016.10 coordinate 20,940,259, forward strand.
TGCCATATTGCCCAGGCTGGTCTTAAACCCCTGGGTTCAAGCAATCCTCCCGGCTTGCCTCCCAAAGTGCTGGGATTGTAGGCGTGAGTGATCATGCTCAGCCTCAGTTTTCTTACTTGTAAAATGCTGGTAGCAGGATTAGTAACTGGACGTATTTCAAAAGACTATTGTGTAATTTTTTTTTAAGGGATAGGGTCTTTCTCTGTCACCCAGGCTGGAGTGCAGTGGCAAGATCATAGCTCACTGCCGCCTCGAGCTCCTGGCCTCCAAGAGATCCTCCCACTTCACCCTCCCAAGTAGCTGGGACTGTAGACGTGCACCACCATGCCTGCCTTTTTTTTTTTTTTCTTTTTTGGAGAGATGGGGTCTTGCTTTGTTGCCCAGGCTGGTCTTGGACTCCTGGCCTCAGGTGATCCTCCCTACTCTGCTTCTCAAAGTGCTGGAATTACAGGCGTTAGCCACTGTGCCCAGCCCTATTACAGACTTTGAATGAGACCCATGCATAGTGCTTAGAACCGTATCTGTCCCTAAAGGCTCAATACAAATGGCTCTAGGCCAGGTGCAGTGGCTCCCACCTGTAATCCCACCACTTTACGAGGCCAAGGCTGGAGGCCTGCTTGAGGCCAGGAGTTCAAGACCAGCCTGGCCAACATGTCAAAACTCCATCTCTATAAAAAATAAAAAATAAAAAAATTAGCCAGCATGGTGGCCTGTGTCTGTAGACTCAGCTACTCAGGAGGCTGAGGTGGGAGGACTGCTTGAGCCCAGGAGTTCGAGGCTGCAATGAGTCATGATCACACCACTGCACTCCAACTTGAGCGACAGAGAGAGACCTCAACTCAGGAAAGAAAAATGAAAGTGGCTCTAATGACTACTTTTACTATTAGCCTGTGCTTGATACTGGTTTTAGCCTAACTTTATAGATGTCACATGAATGAATGGGAATGAATGAATAGAAGGAATGATTCAACCCAGGGTCAGCATGTGCTGGGGATGGTCCTATTCACAGCCCCTATTCACACCCCTAATACGGGTGGGGCAAACCACTTCCTCTGCATAGCAACCCCTTCTCAGCTACTGCCTGTTAGATCCTACTCCTCACGTTCCAACTCCCAGGATTCAAGCTACATCATCTGGCCCACCTGTTGAATCTGATGAGCTCCTGCCTTAGGACGGTATTCATGGATTCTTCATAGACCACGGGGTACAACTTCATGACCTCTTCCAGGTCAAAGTCTCTGGGAAGCTTGGAGAGAATGTCTTGTGCCAACTCCTCAACCACTTCCTTAAAATGCAGGCAGAAGAGAGGTGAGTGAGAAGCAAGCCCTACAGGCTGTGGCTTTGGATAAACTTTAAGTACTGAGCATCTGACTTTTCAAATGTATTCTGTGGGACTTTCCTGAGAACTCTCCAACAGAAGCCATTTCTGCCTCCAGTGGGGAAAGGAGTCCCTCATCACCCCACCAGCCTTGGGGAGGGCATCGCCTCTTGGTCCAGAAGAGTAGAGTCCTGTCCTTGGCAGAGCACGGTGGCTCACGCCTGTAATCCCAGCACTTTAGGAGGCCGAAGTGGGTGGATCGCTTGAGTCCAGGAGTTTGAGACCAGCCTGGGAAACATAGCGAAACCCAGTTTCTACAAAAAATACAAAAATTAGCCATTAGCCATGCATGATGCTGCATGCCTATGGTCCCAGCTATTTGGGAGGCTGAAGCAGGAGAATCACTTGAACCCAGGAGGCGGATGTTGCAGTGAGCTGAGATCTGGCCGCTGCACTCCAGCCTGGGTGACAGAGGAACACCTGTCTAAAAGTTAAAAAAAAAAAAAAAAAGAGTCGTGTCCTGACACCTCAGGCAAGAGCCGAAGGGCCAGGAAGGGAACTCTTGCTCAGCCAGGTAGCTTCAGGGCAGCACTAAGCCTCTGTCTTCAATGTCACACCCAGGTGAGAATCTCCCACAGCCTCTGACCCCTGAGGATTAGCTCCTGGTGCCATGGGGCCCTTTCTCAGTGCCCGTGACACCTGGGAAAGCAGCAGGCCATTCTTCAGCATTGGAGCAAGAAAAGCACAGAACCCTCAGCTTAGCCAAGTAGGGAGGGGACAGGCCTCGAGGCTCAAGGAGGAACAAGACCTGAGTGTGGGAGAGACAGACACCCTGTGGTCCTGTGGATGTGGGAGGCTGGGATGTATAATTCTTTCCCTCTTCCCACTGTGAGGGGAATTTCCACTCCTACATCGGGATACACCAACCAGGCTGGTTTACCTTCATACCAGTGATACTTAATGGCACTAGGAACCAAATCATGAAAGCAAATTAGCAAATTCTACAGTTGGGAGGGGTTAAACAGGAGGTAGCTTGGAAGGTGGAGAAGGGAAGGGATGGGAGAGGAAGCGGGTGGAGTCAGGAGACGGTGGCTCTGGTTCTGGCTCCGTCCTTGATTTTATGAAAGCCTGGAAGCCGGTCACTTTCTCTCTCAGGATTTGTTTCTCTCTTCATTTGTAGACTTAGGAGGGTGGCCTGGGTCAGGTCATCACAAAGAGTGCACTGGGACTACTAGAGGTACCCAGGATTTTAGGTGTTTCCAGGACACAGAAAAATCATGTTGAGTCACATGGTGAGAAAGTTACTCTTTCAGGTTTTGGGTTTTTTTTCATTGTTGTTGTTACTGTTTTGAGATAGTGTCTCACTCTGTCGTCCAGGTGGGAGTGCAAAGGCATGATCACAGCCTCGTGATCACAGCCTCACTGCAGCCTCGACCTCCTGGGTTCAAGTGATCCTCCTGCCGCAGCCCCCTTAGTAGCTGGGACTACAGGCACGCACCACCACACCCAGTTAACTTTTTTTAAGACAGGGTCTCACTCTGTCGCCTAGGCTGGAGTGCAGTGGCATGATCTCAGCTCACTGCAGCCTCAACAGCCCAGAATCAAGCGATCCTCCCACCTCAGCTTCCTGAGTAGCTGGGATTACAGGTGCACGCCACTGAGCTCAGCTATTTTTTTTTTTTGTATAGACGGCGTTTTGCTATGTTGCTCAGGCTGGTCTCCAACTCCTTGGCTCAAGCAATCCACCCACCTTGGCCTCCCAAAGTGCTAGGGTTATAGGCATGAGCCATGGCACCCAGCCCTCGGTTAACTTAAAAAAAATTTTTTTGTAGTGATGCGGTCTCCTTATGTTGCCCAGGCTGGCCTCGAACTCCTGGCCTCAAGTGCTCCTCCTGCTTCAGCCTCCCAAAGTGCTGGGACTACAGGTGCGATTCACTGCACCTGGCCTCTTTTCCAGTTCTGACCATCTTTCTCTTTTCATTCCTCTCAAAAAGACAGTTTCGGGTCAGTGCCAATTCTTTGACACTCACACATCTTTCTCCTTTTAACAAGAAGCCAGCAAAGCCTCAGCTCAGGGGCTTTGGCCAGCAACATCATCTGGGAAGAACTTAACAACTGTTAACGCTGGGAGCAGTGGCTCACGCCTGTAATCCCAGCACTTTTGGAAGCCAACGCAAGCAGATTGCTTGAGCCCAGGAGTTTGAGACGATCCTGGACAATATGATGAAACACTGTCTCTACAGAAAATACAAAAAAATTTAGCTGGGCATGGTGGCATGTGCTTGTAGTCCCAGCTACTCGGGAGGCTGAGGCAGGAGAATTGCTTGAGCCTGGGAGGCGGAGGTTGCAGTGAGACAAGATCACGCCACTGCGCTCCAGCCTAGGTAACCGAGCCAAACCGTGTCTCAAAAAAAAAAAAGAAAAGAAAAGAAAAACAGCAACAACAACAAACAGAAACCAAAAAACACCAACTGTTCACTGTTCAGCTTTCATTTTCTTTTTGTGCGTATCATGACTTTATGGAAATGATACTGGGTTTCCACTTATGGTTCTGATGTGCAATCTTTTAAATTAAAAAAAAAAGAGAGTTAGTTTTAAAACATTATGTAGAAAAAAAAGCAAAAGAAAAAAAAAAAGAATAAAACCCATTATGTAAATGGAGTATAGGTGATAGGTGGATATAGCAGAAAACATGAAGGTTATACAGGAATAGCTGACATTTTGGAAACACTGGTTCCCTTGCAGCTCTGGATATAAGGACTCCCGGCAGTAAGGCCACAGTGCTCCTTCCCTGCCCTTGGCCAGGAGGCTGCCAGGCCCCCACTCTCTGCCTCTTGGTCACCCTCCAATCCTGTGTGCCCACTGGATGAAGAACTGCCTGGGAAATAGGATTAAGCCCCCTTTCCCGAGCCCAGTTACCTGAGGGGACTTGCCACTTCCTCCTGACTGTCTAGGGAGGGTCAGCAGGACCCCCTCAAACAGCTGGTTGGTTTCCTGGTTGTCTTTGGTGATGTCTGCGTTCTCATGGAGGCCGAACACTTCTGGGTGGGCTGTGATGGGGAGATTCCTGAGATAGTCGATATAGGACTGGAAGGGAAATCTTCAGTTGAAATCAACGAGGGACCCCAGAATCCCACAGATGACTCCAGGCTTAGCAGAACCCAATCAGAACAGGAATCATACTGTATCAGTAGCACAGGACACACACACACACACACACACACACGCTGGGAGAACACAACCCTAGCCCTCCCTCATACAGTTTTCTGGGGAGTGGGCATGAAAGCAGATGAGACTGAATTACCTCTCGCCCACCCTGGCTTCCTCTCTGCTCCCCCAGTGGGCCTGGCTTTGGACCCAAACAGAACTGAGTTTGGATCCTAGCTCCATCCCAAACTGTCAGAGGCATTCGAACCAGAGCAACTCCATCTTGTATAGGGACTGGGTAAAATAAGGCTGACACCTAGTGGGCTGCATTCTTAGGAGGTGAGGGCATTCTAAGTCACAGGATGAGACAGGAGTCAGCACAAGATACAGGTCACAAAGACCTTGCTGATAAAACAGGTTGTGGTAAAGAAGCCAGTCAAATATCCCCAAACCAAGATGGCCACGGAAGTGACCTCTAGTTGACCTCACTGCTCATTACACACTAATTATAATGCATTAGCATGCTATGAGACACTCCCACCAGCGCCATGACTGTTTACAGATGTCATGACAATGTCAGGAAGTTGCCCTATATAGTCTAGAAAGGGGAGGAACCCTCACTTCTTGGAATTGCCCACCCCTTTCCCGGAAAACTCATGAATAATCCACCCCTTGTTTAGCATATAATCAAGAAATAACTGTAAGTATAATCAGTTGAGCAGCAACCCATGTCATTGCTCTGTCTATGAAGTAGCCATTCTTTATTCCTTTACTTTTTTTTTTTTTTGAGACAGATTCTTGCTGTCTGCCAGGCTGGAGTGCAGTGGTACTATCTTGGCTCACTGTAACCTCCGCCTCCTGGATTCAAGCAATTCTACTGCCTCAGCCTCCCTAGTAGCTGGGATTATAGGCATATGCCATCATGCCCGGCTAATTTTTTGTATTTTTAGTAGCGACGGGGTTTCACTGCGTTAGCCAGGATGGTCTCGATCTCTTAACCTTGTGATCCGACCTCTTTGGCCTCCCAAGGTACTGGGATTACAGGCATGAGCCACTGCGCCCGGCCTCCTTTACTTTCTTAATTAACTTGCTTTTGTTGTACTCTATAGACTCGCCCCGAATTCTTTCTTGTGCAAGATCCAAGAACCATCCCTTTGGGTCTGGATCTGGACCCCCTTCCGATAATAAAACTATGTACCCTTGAACTTGTCATCTGAAACCCCAGTTTCCTTATCTGTAAATAGAAAAACAAGTGTAGTTATGAAGTATAAACCAAAAGTAAAATCTTAAGACCCTCCAACCATCTGAATGGACTTCCTCCTTGTCCGGGGCACTCTAAAATTTAACCTGAAAGCCTGGTTCAGGCCATGACGGGAAGTGGGGGTCAGACATGCCTCATTATGCCCCTCCAGCATTACCATCAACACAGACCTTAAGTCTGATAAGAAACATTTACAATCTATTCTCTCTGAAGCCTGCTGCCTGGAGGTTTCATCTGCATGATAAAACTTGGGTCTGCACAACCTCTTATCATAACCCAGGCATTCCTTTCTATTGATAACTCTTTCAACCAATTGCCAATCAGAAAACGTTTAAATCTACCTATAACCTGCTGGCCTCCACTTCGAGTTTTCCCGTCTTTCTGGACTGAACCAATGGATATCCTAAATGTATTTGACTGATGCCTCGCGTCTCCCTAAAATGTATAAAATCAAGCCCTGACCACCTGGGGCACATGCTCTCAGGATCTCCTGAGGGCTGTGTCACGGGCCATGGTCACTCATATTTGGCTCAGTATAAATCTCTTCAAATATTTTACAGGGTAAGAAAGAGACTCTTTTCATCCACAGAAGGAATCAGGCCTTGGCATGTGACAGGTTGTGGTGTAATATACATATATATCTACTGGTTTTCATCCATGGTTCCTGGCTTCTAACTCCCCTAGCCCTTGTTACAGTCACCTGTTATAATGTTGGGTGTGTTAGGCCTTAGGGGCAGGCCGCAGGAAACAGAATCTCTCTGACCTTCTCTTTCCCTCCTTTTACCTGCCCCCAAGCAAGACTCAAATCTTCCCCTGCCTTTCTGATTGTGAGTCCTTTTTTTTTTTTTTTTTTTTTTTTTGAGACAGGGTCACTCTGTGGCCCAGGCTGGAGTGCAGTGGTGGGACCTTGGTTCACTGCAACCTATGCCTCCTGGGCTCAAGCGATCTTCCCACCTCCGCCTCCTGAGTAGTTGGGACTACAAGTGCATGCCATCACACCCGGCTAATTTTTGTATTTTTAGTAGAGACAGAATTTCACCACATTGGCCAGGCTGGTCTCAAACTCCTGACCCCAAGCCATCCACCAGCCTCAGCCTCCCAAAGTGCTGGGATTACAGGCATGAGCCACTGCACCTGACCTGATTGTGAGTCTTAAGACTCCACCTAGAGAGAGAGGGTGCTGCCCTATACTCTGGGGAATGTCATACAGCTTTCATAAAAACCCAAGAAGACTGGGTGCGGGGAGCTTCTGGATAGCTGACCACGTGGAGGTTCCTGGAGGGTATTTCACCCAGGGAGGGCATGGAAGTTCTCACTCCTTCCGCCATACTTCACCCTATGCATCTCTTCATCTATATCTTTTGTAATATTCCTTTAATAAACCAATAAACCTAAGTATTTCTCTGAGTTCTGTGAGCTGCTCCAGCAAATTAATTGAATTAATTTCAATTAAAGGGGGAGTGGTGAGAACCCCAACGTGAAGCTGGTTGGTCAGTTCTTGAGGCTGGGACTTGTGACTGGTGTCTGGGTTGGGGGAAAGAATTGGGGACTGAGCCCTCAACCCGTGGGATCTGACACTATCACCAGGTAGATGGTATTGGAATTGAATTAGAGGACACCCAGTTGGTGTCCACTGCTTAATGTGTGGGGAAGGGGTAACCTCCACACATTTGGTCACAGAAGTCTTCTTCTGTATTGATGGTGGTGGTGGTTGTGGTGAGACAGTAGTAGAAAAATACAATTTCAGAGTTTTTCTGTTCCACAGGTCATCAATAAAAGTAAGTGGTTTTTTTTGTTTGTTTGTTTGTTTTTTTGAGACAGTTTCACTGTCACTCAGGCTGGAGTGCAGTGGCATGGTCTCAGCTCACCACAACCTCCACCTCCCAGTTCAAGCAATTCCCCTGCCTCAGCCTCCCAAGTAGTTGGGATTACAGGCAGGCGCCACCACACCTGGTTAATTTTTATATTTTTAGAAGAGATGGGGTTTCACCATGTTGGTCAGGCTGGTCTCAAACTCCTGAGCTTAAGTGATCCACCCGCCTCAGCCTCCCAAAGTGCTGAGATTACAGGCGTGAGCCACAGCATCCAACCTGTAAGCTCTTTTCTATCCCTCAGATTGTTTTCATCTTCCTTTTGTCATTCCCTGCCCAGTTTTTCTGTTCCTCCCTTTTTGCCACCTTCTGAATCTTCGTCTTCAAGTAGCAATTTCCATCTTGCTCACTTCCAAGGCTCCATCTTAATCATCGTTCTCTCTCCTTCCTCCACCCAGATGGATCCTATATTTTGAAACACCTTGTCTACCAAATACCGACCCCCTCCTTAAACAGTAGCCATGTCTCTCTTGCAGGCTTTTGGGAATATTGGGAATAGCTTATGGATTCAATTCAGGAAGCCCAAGGTCACCCCTGGGATCCCTGGCTACACTGCAGCCCTGTAGCCATATAGAGATGACGGAGCCCTGTGGGGGAAAGAGGTAGGCCTCCCTGCCCACCCCTTACCTGGTAGGAGCCATGAGGAGGGATGTAGTAAGTGTCTCCAGGAGCGAGGGAGTAATAGTCCTCCTCAATTTCCTTACAGTAGAACATGGACAGAAGTGACAGCAGGAGACGCCGGTCTTTGTCATCAGTCACTCTGCCTCCGTAATTACATTCCCCTGGGGACAACCAACAGAAGGAGAGGTTGAGCCCAGGGAAGGTCATCACGAGCTTGGTGGTTGATGTAAAACACGGCATTCTTCCGGCCAAAGATCTCTGCTGGGACATAGTGATAGGGACAGCAAGCAGGAAAATTCCGGGCAGAAGATGGCGGGTCCCCTGCAAGGGCCCCACCCTCAAGCTGAAAAGCCTGAAACCATGGCCCAAAGTGAGAACTTACATCCCTGTTTTCCCACTTGAATGTTGCCTTTTCCAAAACCACCCATGACCTGCCCCACCCCCACAACCCATGCCCATCAAAACCCCAGGCTCAGCCAGCAGAGAGAGAGAAGCAGCTGGACATCAGAGAGAAGAGGCTTGACTTCAGGGGAACAGCCTTTTCAGCTCCCTTTCCCGCTGAGAGCCACTTTCTTCGGCAATAAAATCCCCCACATTTACCATCTTCCATTCGTTTGTGCGACCCCATTCCTCCTGGACACTGGACAAGAGCTTGGGTGCCATGAGTGCAAGTGCCAAAGTCTGTCACGCTGACCCACCACTGGGCGGTTAATACTTGAGCTGTCTGGACCGCAGAGCTACAAGAGTACTGTAAACCTTCCTCTGGGTGACAGAGGGAGACTGTCTCAAAAAAAAAAAAAAAAAAAAAGACCTGCACTCCAGCCTGGGCAACAAGAGCGAAACTTCGTCTCAAAAAATAAATAAATAAATAAATATAAATAAAAACAGAAACAAAAAAAAAGACATTTAAAGAGCGAGGGAGAGACCACATTCATATAACTTTTATTATAGCATATTGTAATTGTTCTATTTTATTACTGTTGTTGTTAATCTCTCGCTGTGCCTAATTTATAAATTAAACTTTATCATAGGTATGTATGTATAGGATAAAAAATAGTATATATGGGGTTCGGTAAAATCCGCAGTTTCAGGCATCCACTGGGGGTCTTGGAACATATCCCTGGTGGATAAAGAGGGACTAGTGTATATGTTGAGATGGTGGCAGTAACAGTGGTTGGAGCCTTTGCTAACTGTGCCCCTGATAGAGAATTACAACGAGCAAAGACTCTTGCTAATTCATGCTGGAAATGTAGAGTGGGCAAGAAATGGATCTATGATGTCTTTTATACCCTTGAGGTTTGAGGATTGTTTGTTATCTCAGCCTAACTAGCCTATCCTGACTGGAACAGTTGGAAGGTAACTACTCTCAAGCTGGCTGGTTTATGACCGGCAGGCAGTTGGTTTATGGCTTGCAGGCAGTTCTCTAAGCAGACCATATCCCAGGGCAATCATGCACTCATGCTATGGTCTGAAGAGGAACCCTAGGATGTGCTTCTGCATGACCTGGAACTGTGGGAATATGGTTCACTTCTATTTATTATTATTACTAGTTTTAGAGACGGGATCTTGCTGTTTTGCCCAGGCTGGTCTTGAATCCCTGGGTCCAAGTAATCCTTCGGCATCAGCCTCCTGAGTAGCTGGGACTATGGGTGCAAGCCACTGTGTCCAGCTCCAGGCGCACTTCTTTGGAGATGTTCTTTCACCAAACTGAGACCCACTGTATGCGTACTGTGTGTGTCATTTGGGGCTTTGTTTTAGGGAACACTCTACTGAGTTAAGGTCAATGTGACCTTCTGGCACTGAACTTAATCACTGTAAAGAACAGTCTTTCAACCTTGGCACTCTTAACATGTTGGACTGGATAGTTCTGTGTTGTGGGGACCACCTTGTACATCGTAGACTGTTCAGTAGCATCCCTAGCCTCCACTACTATAACTGCCAGTAGCACGCACTATGACATCCAAAACCATCTCCAGACATTGCCAAATAGCCACTGGGGGCTGAAATCACCCACAGTTAGAACCACTCCTTTAAGCCTCTGTCTTCCCAGCTGTAAAATGGGGTTATTAACATGGAGCTCATAAAATTAGCATGAAGACTCAATGCATTAATCACAGGTATACAGTGTCTGCCACGTGCCTGGGGAAGGGATTCTAACAAACTCCTTAACATATGGAGCTGAAGAGGAAATTGGGTGTGATCTTGATGCCCCGGTGTTTTAATTAAGCTGCATTTTGACCTTCAGCCATGATATTCCATTCATTTAGCACATGTCTATTCTTATTCCTGTCTCTGGGACTATACGGCACGTTCCTTGAAGTTAGTGGTCACGTTTTTTTGGTTGTATGTGTGTATGTTTTTTAAGAGATGGGGTCTTGCTCTGTCACCCAGGCTGGAGTGCAGTGGTGTGATCATAGCTCACTACAGCCTTGACATCCTGTGCTCATGCGATCCTCCTGCCTCAGCCTCCTGATTACCTGGGGCTACAGGTGCACAACACCATATCCAGCTCATTTTTATTTTATTTCTTTGTAGAGATGTGGCCCAGACTGGTCTCAGACTCCTGGGCTCAAGCAATCTTCCCACCTTGGCCTCCAAAAGTGCTGGGATTACAGACATGACCCACCGCACAGAGCCTATGATCAAGTTTTACACATTTACATTCTTCCATATTATGTACTTGTACATATCGTGGACTAATAAAAGGTTGCTGATTGATTGCTTTAATACAAAACAGCTAGTGCCATTTCTACCTCAGGATCACTTTGCTGGGAATGTTCTCCTTCCTCTATGCCCCACCCAGTCCATTCTTTTCCACTCATAAAACTCCTACTCACCCCCAAAACCCATCTCTTATGCCTTTAAGAAGTTTGCCACGATCATCTCCTCCTCCTACCCCAAGATTTAATCATTATGCTGCCCTTCTACTTATAAATGTTTCTCTTGTTGAACTTATTACTATGTTACCTTTTTTTTTTTTTCTTCTGAGACAGGATCTCGCTCTGTCACCCAGGCTGGAGTGGGGTGGCACGATCAGAGCTCACCGCACCTCCACATCCGGGGCTCAAGCAATCCTCCCACCTTAGTCCCCTGAGTAGCTAGGACTACAGGCATGTGTCACCACGCCTGGCTAATTTTTGTATTTTTTGTAGAGATGGGATTTTGCCCCAGCCGGTCTTAAACTTCTGGCCTCAAGTGATCCATCGCCTCGGTCTCCCAAAGTGCTGGGATTACAGGCATGATCCACTGCGCCTGGCCCGTATTTTTTTTTTTTTTTTTTTTTTTTGAGATAGAGTCTCTGTCACCCAGGCTAGAATGCAGTGGCGCAATTTCAGTTCACTGCAACCTCTGCCTCCCCACTTCATGCAATTCTCCTGTCTCAGCCTCCCAAGGAGTAGCTGGGACTACAGGCACTGGCCACCATGCCCGGCTAATTTTTTATATTTTTAGTAGAGACAGGTTTTCACCGTGTTACCCAGGATGGTCTCGATCTCCTGACCTCGTGATCCGCCTGCCTCAGCCTCCCAAAGTGCTGGGCTTACAGGCGTGAGCCACCACGCCTGGCCAATTTTTTAATTTTTAGTAGAGATGGGGTTTCAATATGTTGGTCGGGCTGGTCTCAAACTCTTGACCTCAGGTGATCCACCTGCCGTGGCCTTCCAAAGTGCTGAGATTACAGGCATGAGCCACTGTGCCCCGCTGGCCTGTATCATTTTTTAAAATATTTTTCTTCTTTTGGAGACTGTGAGTCACTCAAGGGTAAAGATTCTATCTTAATTTTTTTTGTTTGTTTGTTTCCTTACAATATCTAGCATGATGACCAGCATTAGTAAGAGCTCGATGTTTATGGTGAGGGAGGGAGGGAGTACATAAGTGAATGGAAATGGGAGGAGAACAGCAGGAGGGTGGAACATGATACTGGAGGTTTACAGTGGAAAAACTCCTCCCGTAAATACCTGTCAGGTAGGTCAGAGCATCAAAGGGCACCTCCTTGTAGTCATTGAGAAACATCTGGATCTGCCACATACTAATCCTCAGGTCAGATTCGTTGAATTCATAGGGAATATTCCACCCTGCGTGTGGGAGAGCAGAGAGAGGCTTCAGTGCTGAGAGCTCTTAATTTCCACTCAAAGACCAAGCCGAGGGAGTTAAGCATCATTATGGATCAAAAGCCTCTTTCAGGCTCATGAATATCAAGCACCGAGGCCAACTATTAGCCTGGACGTTTACCACCAACATGGGAGCCATTCTGCCTGAGAAAACATCCATTCTAAAATCAATTTCCTTATATACCTCCCCATTTGTTAAGGAAGATGTTAATGTCCTGGGATTTGTGGAATGAGAATTATTCAGCCTGGCAGGAATATGGCGGTAATGCACGGAGCTCCAAAAATAACACCGCGGCATGGCTAGACAGCAGGAGCTACGACTGGGCAACAGAGCCACGTTGGTTCTGAGAATTCCCCTCCTCGAGCTCACGGGAAAAACTGAATGGCCAGCCTTAAAGAAATGACCACTCGTATTTCCAAGGGTGTAATGATAAATGCCCATTGGGGGCTGAACAAGTGACATACATGTGTAAACCAGGCATGGTGCAGGATACAAGAAAGAGTATGGGGAAACCTGTGCTCAATAGGGAAGTTTTTTGTTTGTTTTGCTTTTGTTTGTTTTGTTTTTTTGTTTGTTGTTTTTTTTTTTTGGAGACAGAGTCTCGCTCTGTCCCACAAGCTGGAATGCAGTGTCGTGATCTCGGCTGACTGCAACCTCCACCTCCTGGGTTCAAGAGATTCTCCTGTCTCAGCCTCCTGAGTGGCTGGGATTACAGGCACGTGCCACCACGCCCAGCTAGTTTACGTAGTTTTAGTAGAGACGGGGATTCGCCATGTTGGCCAGGCTGGTCTTGAACTCCTGATCGCAAGTGATCCGCCTGCCTCGGCCTCCCAAAGTGCTGGGATTACAGGTGTGAACCATCGCGCCCAGGTTCAATAGAGAAGTTTAATTTCCTCCCAAACACTCGCTTTCAAATTATAACAAAATAATAAAATTCGTGTGCCAGCAAACGAAGCATGACTGGCAGTTAGTTGCAAGCCAAACATTTGCATGGCTTTTTTTTTTTGAGAGACTGGATCTCGTTCTTTTGCCCAGTCTAGAGTGGTATGATCTCCCTTCACTGCAGCCTCGAACTCCCAGGCTCAAGTGATCCTCCCACCTCAGCCTCCCAAGTAGCTGGGACTACAGGCTTGTGCTACTATGTCAGGCTATTTTATTTATTTTAATTTTTTTTTTGAGACAATGTCTTACTTTGTCATCCAGTTTGGAGTGCAGTGGCACAATCTTGGCTCACTGCAGCCTCCACCTTCTCGCCTCAAGCGATCCTCCCACCTCAGCCTCCCAAAGTACTGGGATTACAGGCTTGCACCATTGTGCCTGGCATGACTGGTTTATTTCACTTAGCGTAATGTCCTCTAATGTCCTCAGGTTCATCCACGTTGTAGTGTATGTCAGAATTTTCTTCCTCTTTAAGGTTGATTAATATTCAGGAGTTCTAGACCAGCCTGGCCAACACGGTGAAACCCCATCTCTACTAAAAATACAAAAATTAACCGGGTGTGGTGGCATGCTTGTAGTTCCAGCTACTGGGGAGGCTGAAGTGGGAGGATCGCTTGAACCTGAGAGGTGGAGGTTGCAATGAGCCAAGATCACAACACCACACTCCAGCGTGGGTGACAGAGTGAGACCCTATCTCAAAAAAAAAAAAAAAAATTCGTTGTATGAATATATAACATTTTGCTTATGTATTAATCTACCTATAGACTTTTTTTTTTTTTTTTTGAGACAGGGTCTCACTCTGTCACCCAGGCTGGAGTGTGGTGGTGTGATATGGGCTCACTACAAACTCCACCTCCCGGTTGAAGCCATTCTCATGCCTCAGCTTCCCAAATAGCTGGGATTATAGGCGGGCACCACCACACCCGGCTAATTTTTGTGTTTTTAGTAGAGATGGGGTTTTACCATGTTACCCAGGCTGGTCTCGAACTCCTGGCCTCAAGGATTCTGCCTCCCTTGGCCTCCCTAAGTGCTGGGATTAAAGGCACAAGTCACCACGCCCAGCCAGGTTGTCAGATTTAGCAAATAAAAATACAGTGAGAGTTTAATATTAGTTAAATAATAAATCATTTAGTATAAGTATGTTCCAAATATTGCCTGGAAAATATTTATACCGTATCTTACTGGCAACCCTATCTGAGCGCAAGCTTAAACACGCACCTGGAAACACACCTATATGTGTCTGATATCCTTTCCCTCAGGCCACTCAGGTGCACTGTCATCGCTTACCTAGGGGGCCGAAGTTTCTTCTCTCTTGAACAACGGCGTGGAAGAAACAAAGGCCAAATAACATCTTTTGCCACATCACCGCCTTTGCACAGCTTTGGAAGAACACAGGATCTGAGATGGGGTCATTGAGGTAGGAGCGCAACAGGTTGGCCCGGAGCCCTTTGGGGGGCTCATTGGTCATTTTGATTCCATTCTGGAGAATGCTGACTGGAAACTTCTCTGATGGATAGCTGGTTAGCCAGAGTCTGGAAGAACAATGGACCCAACGTTTTAGAGCAATACAATAAGTTATAGTGAAAAGCAACAACAAAAACAAAACAATAACAATAACAAAACAGACCAGCCTGGGTAACATGGTAAAACCCCATCTCTATGAAAAACATTATTTTATTGATAAATTAAAAAAAAATAACAAAAAAGAATAGCTATGATTAAATACTACCAGAGCCAAAACTATGCTAAGCATTTAACATATGTCCTTTTATTTCCCTTAAGCCTCACAGCCACCTGATGAGGAGGGACTTACTACCTCTTTTACCAGTGAGGAAGCGGAGGCATGGCAAGGTCAGGTGGGTTTTTCAAGGACACACCACTTGGCAGTAGTTGAACCAAGATGTGAACTCAGGACTCTCTGACTCCAAAGCTCCTACTCTTTTTTTTTTTTTAATGTAGAGATGGAGTCCCTCTATGTTGCCCAGGCTGGTCTCGAACTCCAGGGCTCAAGTGATCCTCCCACCTCACCATCCCACAGTGCTGGGATTACAGGTGTGAGTCCCCGTGCCTGGCCCTAAGGCTGCTTTCTCCCTACAACCAGAGTTGAATAGTTGCAACAGAGACAATATGGCCACAAACCCTGAAATATTTACTATTGGCCCTTTACAGAAAAAGTTTGCTGATGCCTGTCATATAAGAAATGGCATTTGAAATGTGCCTTGAAAAATAGGGAGAAATTCTTTTTTAAATGCAAGTGTATCTATGCCCACAAAAAATGGAAACATATGTAAAAGTGTTTAGAAGAAACTAGAATTGATAATTTTACCACCTATAGGTTAACATCTTGGCACATTGCATCTGAGGCTCTTTTTTTTCATTTTTATTATTTTTATCTTATTTTATTTTTATTTTCATTTTTTTGAGACAAGGTCTCACTCTGTCACCCAGGCTGCAGTACAGGGGTGCATCTCGGCTCACTGCAACCTCCACCTCCCAGGTTCAAGTGATTCTCCTGCCTCAGCCTCCCGAGTAGCTGGGACTACAGGTGCCCGCCACTATGCCCGGCTAATTTTTGTATTTTTAGTAGAGACAGGGTTTCACCATGATAGCCAGGCTGGCTTTGAACTCCTGACCTCAGGTGATCCACCCACCTCGGCCCCCCAAAGTGCTAGGATTTACAGGTGTGAGCCACTGCGCCCGGCCAGAGTTGCTAACGTTTAAAAACCTAAGGCTTTCTTTTACAGTTCTAGATTCCCATCTTCCCTTTAAAATTGTTAGAAAGTCTGATCCTACATGGCAACAGTTAGCTAGTATTAAACAGTGACCGCTCTCCTTGCCAGAGCATGTGCCCAGTTCACTGCAAGCCCCACCATTCCCTATTGTGTCTGACACTGAGGCTGACTACCCATGAGGATTGTTGCTGTACTGTGGAACGTGGACTATTTCTTGTATCCAGCCCTCTTCACTCATTTATGTTACATGCCTGGCCCCTATAGGCACTTGAGAACTTGAGTTCATGATTTTTGGGTCAGGATCATATTACAGTAGAACTTAAAATGTCAACATAAATAACTTTTTCTTCTTTGAGTGTGTCATTAATGGCCAATGAATTCACTCACTATCCCAAACCAAACAACATTCTTTTCTTTTTTTTAAAGATTAAGGCACAACGCTTTTAGGTTTTTTTGTTGTTTGTTTTTTAATTTATTTATGTTTGGGACAGAGTCTCACTCTGTCACCCAGGCTGGAGTGCAGTGGTGCAATCTCAGTTCACTGCAACTTCCACCTCCTGGGTTCAAGGAATTCTTGTGGCTCAGCCTCCCAAGTAGCTGGGATTACAGACATGCACCACCGCACCTGGCTAATTTTTGTATTTTTAGTAGAGACAGGGTTTCACCATGTTGCCAGGCTGGTCTTGAACTCCTGGCCTCATGTGATCCGCCTGCCTTGACCTCCCAAAGTGCTGGGATTACAGGTGTGAGCCACCTCACTCGGCCCCAAACAGCATTCTTGAAACTAATGGACTTCTCTTAAACTCTCTCTCTTTTGGAAGTTTTATATGAAGACAAATCAACTGTGGCCTAATCCGACTTTGTAAATAAGCACCAAACACTTTCCCTCTTTTCTGGCAGACGACTGAGATGAAAATAACCAGCTAGTTTTGTTGGATAGAGCAGGGGTTGACAAATTTTTTTCTGTAAAGGACCAAATAGTACATATTTTAGACTTTGTGAGCCCACATGATCTCTGCTGCAACTACTTGTCATACAAAAGTAGCCATAGACAATATATGAATAAGCATGATGTTTTTCAATAAAACTTTATTTATGGACACTAAAATTTGAATTTCATAGAAGTTTCATGTATTATGAAACATGATTCTTTAGTTTCTTCCCCACACTGTTTAGTTAGCTTGCAAGCTATACAAAAAAAACTGGCAGCAGGGTGCATTTGGCTATCGGGCCATAGGTTGCTGCTCTCTGCCCTGGTATAAGAGAATCCCTTGGCTGGGTGTGGTGGCTCACGCCTGTAATCCCAGCACTTTGGGAGGCTGAGGTGGGCGGATCACCTAAGGTTGGGAGTTCAAGACCAGCCTGACCAACATGGAGAAACCCCATCTCTACTAAAAATTCAAAATTAGCCATGCATGGTGGTGCATGCCTGTAGTAGCCTCAGGAGGCCGAGGCAGGAGAATCGCTTGAACCCGGGAGGCAGAGGTCACAGTGAGTGGAGATCGCGTCATTGCACTCCAGCCTGGGCAATAAGAGCGAAACTCCATCTCCAAAAAAAAAAAAAAAAAAAAAAAAAAAAAAAAAAAAAAAAAGAGAATCCCTGAACATTTGAGTTAAAATGGACTTTAAAGTCTGTTTGGTTCAACTCATTATTTTATGAATGCAAAAACTGAGGTTTAGCTTTGTTGGGCTTTAAAATTCCCAAAAAACAAATAGCTGTTTCCAATGTTGATTAAAATTCCGAAGAACCCCAGAAATGTAGGATAGAGGCAGGAGGCGGGAGGCAGGACAAATGATACCTGGAAAACAGTAGAATTTTTTTTTTTTTTTTTTGAGACAGGGTCTCACTCTGTCGCCCAGGCTGGAGTGCAGTGGTGTGATCACTGCTCACTGCAGGCTCGACTTCTCAGGCTCAGGTGATTCTCCCAGTTCAGCCTCCCAAGTTGCTGGGACTACAAATGTGCGCCACCATGCCCAGCTCATTTTTTGTATTTTTAGTAGAGATGGGGTTTTGCCATGTTGCCCAAACTGGCCTTGAACTCCTGGGTTCAAGCAATCCACCTGTCTCAGCCTTTCAAAATGCTGAGATTACAGGCGTGAGCCACCATGCCTGGACAGAATTTTTTTTAGACAAATAATAATTTTTAAAAATCAGACTTGCTCACATTGAATCTACCTTTCCAGCTACGTCTCCTATTACCTTCTCCAACAACTTTTCATGGCATATACCAGAGCTGTAAGATAACTTCTCAGGATTTCCTTAATACCTCTCTTTGCTTTTCCAATACCTCTCTTTGCTTTTCCAAATGCTGTCTCTTCTGCCTAGAACATCCTTCCTGGCAAACTCCTATTCATTTTTCAAAATCCTGGGCCATTGTCAGGCCTCCAAGACTTCCCCAACCTTCCCATCCCTTCTCTGTATTCCATGGTTCTTGTTCAAATAGTGAGTAAATCAGGTATGACATGGTATCAACATTATTCATCTATGGCCTGCCTTCTGCTATACTGAAGAGCTTCTTTCTTTTTTAGAGAGGAAGTCTCACTCTGTCGCCCAGGCTGGAGTGCAGTGATACGATCCCTGCTCGCTACAACCTCTGCCTCCTGGGTTCAAGCAATTCTCCCACCTCAGCCTCCTGAGTAGCTGGGATTACAGGTGTGCGCCACTATGCCTGGCTAATTTTTGTATTTTTAGTAGAGACAGTGTTTTGCAATGTTGGCCAGGCTAGTTTCGAACTCCTGACCTCAGGTGATCCACCCACCTCAGCTTTCCAAAGTGCTGGGATTACAGACATGAGCCACCCTGCCTGGCCTAGACTGAAAGTTTCTAAGGGGCAGGACTGTGTCTTGGTCATCTTCCCAGCCACCATCCTGATGTCTGGAGGTTGGGTCCCAGAGAAGGCAGTGGTGGGACAGCATCTCACCTGAATCTGGCATTGGTGCTCTCAGGAACAATCACCTCCTCACAAATCTTCTCCAGGGTAGGCATCCAGCTTGCGGCCAGGTGGCAGTTCTGTAAGACCACCCAGGTCCCGTCTTTGATGGCATTGTTGATCATTTTGGCAGCAATAGGGCCTTGGCCTTGGCCAAGGGAGATGGTCTGTGTTCTGGTACCTCCCATACCAAGATCATCAGCAAACTTCAGCAGGCCTGAGACCAGGAAGAAAGGAGGCTTTTGAAAGACGACAGGCCAGCTAACAGTAACAGAACAGCTATATCAACAATAACAACATGGCTGGGTGTGGTGGCTCACACCTGTAATCCCAACACTTTGGGAGGCCGAGGTGGGAGGATCACTTGAGCTCAGGAGTTGGAGACCAGCCTGGGCAACACAGTGAGACCTTGTCTCTATTTAAACACACACACACACACACACACACACACACACACACACACACACACCCCAACACAAAAGGTGGGGTTCACATTAAATTTTGGACTCAGAAAAAAACTCATTGGCTTCTGTTAATTACAAAATAAACATCTCTCTGGGGAAACTTTAGACATCAGATCAGATGGCAGATGAAGCTACCATCAACTTCTCTTTTGCTTTAAACACATAGACATTCTTGATAAAAAAAGAAATTATCTGAACTGAAAAGAAACAAAAAAAATCAAGGTTTGAAAGAAAAGGATATTCCCAGGTGCCCAAAACGGGGAACTCAAAAATAAAGAGGTGAGCACATCAAATAACTAGGAAACTGATTTTTGCCAATTTATTTTAACAAGAAATATAAGCATTTGTAAAGTGAAATAAGTCTCTCACTTCTCTCTTCTCAGTGGTAGCCAATGTGATTAGATTTGTGAATCCTTCAAGAAATATTTTGTGTATTTAAATAAATGCATATATACTATTAAATTTATATGAATTGTAGAATACTGCATTTTTTTCCCACTTAACAATGTACATATCTTATAGGTCTCTTCCACACTAGTACATGTATAAAGGCTTTTTTCTTTCATGGATACATAGTATATCACCATTGGAAAATACTACACTTTATTTCATTACTCTAGATGTTAAAGTTTTAATGTCCATGGGAGATATAGCTTTGCACTCATAAGAGGTGGGGAGCTGGAACCGAGACACTTGCATAAAGTTAGAATTCTCAAAGTGCCGTACCTTCATGTTATGAAGGCCAGACCTTTGGCCAGATGTGGTGGCTCACGCCTGCAATCCCAGCACTTTGGGAGGCCGAGACGAGCGGATCACTTGAGGTCAGGAATTCGAGACCAGCATGGCCAACATGGTGAAACCCCATCTCTACTAAAAATACAAAAATTAGCTGGGCTAATTAACTAATTAGCTGGGTGGCACATGCCTGTAGTCCGAGCTACTCGGGAGGCTGAGGCAGGAAAATTGTTTGAACCTGGGAAGAGGCGGAGGTTGCAGTGAGCCGAGATCACGCCACTGCACTCTGGCCTGGGTTACACAGCAAGACTCCATCTCAAACAAACAAACAAACAAACAAAAGGCGGCCAAGGCCATTTGACTACTGACCCAAGGAAAAGACATGGAAGCTCATAACTGGTCTGGAGCCTGGATGGAAAAAATAACTCTCCAGTTTAAAAATCAAAACACTAAGTTTATGCCACATGAATTTGAGGAGTGTGAGTTCACGGTACTCTCTGGTGTGGGATTCCTAAGCTGAGAAATTTCCCATAAAATTTGATCCAGAATGGCGACCCCCACCTCACCCTCTGGGGTACCACTGTTTGCACATGCAAAGTTGTTCTGTAAGGACACTCCTTAAACCCAAAGTATATGAGACTCCTGCTAAACAACACAAATTTGCTGATGGTGAACTCACACTAAAAAAAAACCTACACGAGGAAGTACATCACTATGAGGGGCAGGCAGCACATAAAAAGATCAGGGTTAATATTCTAAGGATTACATATGGTCTCTGTTACGAACTGCATCGTGTCCCTAGCAAAATTCATATGTTGAAGTCCTAATTCCAGGTACCTCAGAATGTAACTGTTCAGTAGTTGGAGATAGGGTCTTTGCGGAGGCAAAGTTAAAATGAGTTCATTCAATGAGAACACTTGGACACAGGAAGGGGAACATCACACACCAGGGCCTGTCGTGGGGTGCGGGGAGGGAGAAAGGATAGCATTAGGAGATACACCTAATGTAAATGATGAGTTAATGGTTGCAGCACACCAACATGGCACATATATACATATGTAACAAACTTGCACGTTGTGCACATGTACCCTAGAACGTAAAGTATAATAATAAAAAATAAATGAATAAAAAAATAAAATAAAATAAAATAAAATAAAATAAAATGCGTTCATTAGAGTGGGCCTTAATCCAATATGACTGATATCCTTATGAGAAGAGGAGATGAGGACAGACACAGAGAGAAGGCCCTGTGCAGACATAGGGAGAAGATGACCATCAGCAAGCCAATCAGAGAGGCCTCGAAAGAAACCATCCCCGCCAACAGCTTGATTTCAAACTTTCTTTAAGAATTGTGAGAAAATAAATTTCTGGTTTTTTTTTTTTTTTTTTTTTTGAGATGGAGTTTTGCTCTTGTTGCCCAGGCTGGAGTGCAATGGCATGATCTTGGCTCACCACAACCTCCGCCTCCCAAGTTCAAGCAATTCTCCTGCCTCAGCCTCCCGAGTAGCTCACACCAGTAATCCCAGCACTTTGGGAGGCCGAGGTGGGTGGATCACTTGAGGTCAGGAGTTCAAGACCAGCCTGGCCAACATGGTGAAACTCCATCTCTACTAAAAATACAAAAATTAGCCAGACGTGGCAGCACGTGCCTGTAATCCCAGCTACTCAGGAGGCTGAGGCATGAGAATTGCTTGAACCCGAGAGGTGGAGGTTGCAGTGAGCCAATATCACGCCACTGCAGTCCAGCCTGGGCGATAGAGCAAGACTCCATCTCAAAATAAATAAATAAAATAAAATAATAATTAAAAAAAATAATCATTGTGCACCTGCTACTGAAATAGTGGATCTTGGTGATGATTTTCAAAGGCCACTAAAACTATTAAAGTCAGTGGTTCCCATCCCTGGCTGCACACTGGAATTACTGGAAAGGCTTCATAAAACACAATTCGTGGGTCTCACCCCAAAGATTTTAATTTAATTGGCCAAAGCTGTGGCCCGTGCATTGTGAGGCTTCTTTAAACTCCCCAGGTGATTCCAATGTGCAGCCAAGATTGAGAACTGTCACATCAGGTGAAAAGCTGGTGGGAAACTGTATAAGGGAGGGAGTGGGGGAATGGAGAGCCAGCTCATGCTGACAATGCCTGAGTCCCCAGATCTGTCTTTATCAGAAAAGACAGCCAGACAGTATGGATCTCATGACATGCGGCACTAGAAGGGACACAGTGTGAAGTTTCCTGTGGAATCATCCGAGCTGAATCTCACCAAGCTTCTATTTTGTTCTTTTTTGGGGGGAGGGGGCAGGGTCTGTCACCTAGACTGGAGTGCAGTGGTGTGATCATAGCTCACTGCAGCCTTGACCTCTCAAGGCTGAAGGGATCCTCCTGCCTCAGCCTCCCAAGTAGCTGGGACTACAGGCATGTGCCACCATTTCCAGATAATTTTTTAATGTTTTATAGCAATGGAGGTCTCACTATGTTGCCCAGGCTGGTCTCAAACTCCTGGGCTCAAGCAATCCTCCCAACTCATTCTCCCAAAGTGCTGGGATTACAGGCATAAGCCACCTCTCCGGAACCCTCACCAGGTTTTTAAGGAAAGAACTTTGAATGAATTATCAAGATACAAAAGTGGGAAATTTCTCCATTTCTGGTTCTCTTGAAAAATCAGATGATCTAGCAATTCTGGGCTTACATTCCCAAATGGCCCAATTTGTGGATGCGGAGTAGCAGCTGACCTCTATAGGCAGAAAAGGACGAGTTCCGTGGCTCCACCTCAGCCTATGAACCACCTGGCCTTCAAAGCCATCTGAACTTGAGATCCCTGCTGTAAGGGACGGGCTACTGATATCCACCCACACATACTGGGCTTTCCACGTCTCTCCCACAACACTCTGTTCTTACCTGCCATTGGGTCTGCACTTGGAGACAACACAAAAATCAAAGGCGCACAGCAGCTGGAATCATTGTAGGATCCCTGGAGATCGAACGTAGGGGCTTCGATATACAGCTTTCCCATATGTTCAGCAATGAACTCCCGGACCGCTGGCACCATTTTGTCAGGCCGCAAACATCGAAGGATCACCATCTTCTCCAATCCTTGAGAGAACTTCCAAGACCCAGGGAGTTGCTCCTCATGGGGCCAGGCCGAGTCATAGATCAGCTTCCATTCACCCAGGTTCTGTTCCAAATGCTCCATCAGGCCATGCAGTTTGGGTAAGGCAGATGCACGGACAATCTCTGCCCATGCCTTCTCAGACAGCCATTGGGGAGCTGGATTGGGGTAGGGGTTATCCAGTGCGATGCCTCCAGTGAGAAGGAAGTACCACACCTCCTCCGTAATTTCCTTCTTCTGTTTCATGATGCCGATGGTCAGGAGGAGAGAGAAGAGTAGCTTGTCCTTCTCAAACAGAGAACGGCACACGTTGTTGTAGATGCTCAGGGTGAAATGGTCAATGATGTACTTGATGCGCAGATTCAGTTCCTCGCTCTTCGTGCTGTGGGTCAAGGAATGCATGTAGAGATTTATGAACCAAGTCAGGGAGTACTGGTACATCGGCTCGATGTTGGCCAGGTCCGAGATACAAAAGAAGATGGTGGCAGAATGCACAGCCACTGGCTTGTAGCCCATCCGAGTCTCGTCAATCTGCGTTTCTGTCATGGAAGCAACTTTCTGTTTCTCTGAGATCTCTTCAGATAGCACTTTGGAGGAGGACAGAACTTTGATGGCGGTTTCATCCTCCAGGATGTTACCCTTGGACATGGAGAGAACCTCCAAGATCTTATCTTCAATTTCCTTGAGATGCTTCTTGTTCTTGGCACTTTCCACAATCAACTGGTTCTTTTTCTCTTCCAGCTCTGGCTTCTCCTTCGCAGCCACGATGCCAAGGAGTTGATCTTGGAGACCCAAGGGGGTGATCATGAAGTTGAGGAGACAGACCTTCACGGCAACTTCTGGGAGGTAATGTGGATTCCTCAAACGGGTTGTGATGTATAACTTAAAATCCCTGGAATATTCAATGATGTTTTCACCCAGCCTCATGTACTCAACTCCTTGCTGTTTGAATGTTGCCTTGAGCAAGATAGGTTCGATAGAAGCATCCAGCTCTTCTCCAATGTTTTCAATCAAGACAGGGGTGCCTAACTGCAGCGCGTTTTCCAGCATCCTCATGTAGTTGCTATCAGAGAACTTGATGACAGCCAGTTTATTCGCCTTCTCCATGTTCTTAATCCATTTATTGGCCTGCCCGTGAGGGTCAATCATTAAGGCCCAGCGTCTGGAATTGGATACAATGATGCCATTGTCGATGGAGAAGGAGTCAACGGGAAGCCCAGCAATCTGCCAGGCACGGATTTTTATGGGATCCCCTAACGTGTGGCTGAGACTGAAGTCACTGAAGCCAGGGATGACCTTGTCCTTACATTCAGCCAACCACTGATTTTGGCACTGGACCCGATAATCCACTGTAAAAGCGCCCAGGTAAGCCACAGTTCCTGAGGACAGCAACACGTCACCAGTCAGATTAGTATAGCGGATCCCCAGCTGTCGGGCAGCTTCGGTCCATCTGTCCTTCTCTCCCCCAAGACCACTGATCAGTTTCTCTGCCCTGACCAGCTTTTGGGAGCAGATTTCAATGTTTTCCTCCAAGTCCTTTTTCTTGGTGTTCATCTCTTCAAAGTCGTCATTCAGGGCCTGGAGCCGATCTACCACCAGCTTCAGCTCTGCTCTTTTCTGGTTCAGCTTCTGCATCTGTGCAGCCAGCTTCCCCTCTGCCTCCCTCAGTCGCTCCCGTTTGGGAGCCACCACCTTGGCCACGCGATCGTACACCTCCATGGCCCTCACCCACTTGCACAGACCCTCGCAGGCCGACGATACATTTTTAATGACAGCTGGCTGGAATTCCGGGTGATTGATAAACCTTTCCCGGATCCGCTTCATGGTCAGTGGGGGGATGTTGTCTTTGTCATATGTCTTAAGACTCTCCAAGAATTTCAGATCCCCAAGAATCTTTTTGGATACCCCCCAGTAATCTTCTATCATCTTACCTATTTGGAACAAGAAACAGAGATAATGTGTTAAGACATTCTGGCCAAGACTTAAAATTCTGCAGTGGTTACTGCTGGTATTTGAGAAAAAACAAAAACAAAAACATGGTCTGAGAGGCCCAGCCAACCTCATCAACCCCATCTCTGCCTTGCTCCCTAAACTTGAGTTATAAAGGACCTTCCTTCAATTCCTCCATGACCCCAAGTGCTTCTTACCATGAGCCCTTTGCCTATACTGTAAATGGCATCTAGCTGGCTCCTGACCAGACCTCAGGCCTCATTTTATTTATTCATTTATTTATTTTGAGACAGAGTCTTGCACTGTCAGCCAGGCTAGAGTTCAGTGGCACGATCTTGGCTCACTGCAACCTTCGCCTCCTGGGTTCAAGTGATCCTCCTGCCTCAGCCTCCCAAGGAGCTGGGACTACAGGCATGTGCCACCATGCCTGGCTAATTTTTGTATTTTTAGTAGAGACAGGGTTTTACCATGTTGACCAGGCTGGTCTTAAACTCCTGACCTCATGTGATCTGCCTACCTCGGCCTCCCAAATTGCTAAGATTCCAGGCCTGAGCCACCATGCCCAGCCAATTTTTTTTTTTTTTTTTTTTTTTTTTTTTTTTTTTTTTTTGAGATGGAGTCTCACTTTTGCTGCCCAGGCTGGAGTGCAATGGTGCGACCTTGGCTCACTGCAACCTCTGCCTCCTGGGTTCAAGCGATTCTCCTACCTCAGCCTCCCGAGCAGCTGGGATTACAGGCACCCACCACCACACCCGGCTAATTTTTTGTACTTTTAGTAGAGACGGGGTTTCACCATGTTGGACAGGCTGGTCTCGAACTCCTGACCTCAGGTGATCCACCCACCTCAGCCTCCCAAAGTGCTGGGATTACAGGTATGGGCCACCACGCCCAGCTGTGCCCAGCCAATCTTTGTATTTTTTATAGAGATGAGGTTTCGCCATGTTGCCCAGGCTGGAGGCCTCGTTTTAAAAGCCATTGCCATATAGAGGTTTCCCTAGACTTATCTGACAAGAGAGGCCCCCCTCCCCGCTGCACCAGCATTTTCTTTCACCTTGCTTGCTAGAAAGTCCATTCCCTTTATAGCACTTATTGCAACCTGTAAGTTTTCAATTATTATCTACCATCTACCTTTCCCTCAAAGCGGTAAACTTCTTCTGTTTTCTAGAACCTGGCACACTGCCTGGTACTTAGTTATCAATAAATATGGGTTGAATGAATAGTACCCCATTATCTTATTCATGGATGGAAAAGGCAGCGGGAGCCACAGCCCGTGGGGATGAGTTTCGAATATCCTTCCCTAGTCTGGGAGGTGGGTTGGATGGAGCCCAATCAGTCCTCCCTTTGATGAACTGTGTGAGTGAGGCAAAGGTCTTGTGAGAATGAAGGAGGCTGGAAGAAGCAGCTTGCAGGCTTCCACCCATACAGAAGACTACCCGTGGCCTGCCCAGACACAAAGCCAGGCCGTTATTCCCCTTAGCAGCCATCATGCTGACTAACAAGTAATCAAGTGAGTCTCAATCCCATCCCGGAACAATGCTCCTTCTGTTGACACATTGGAAAAAATTTGGGAAGCTTTTTGGCCCATGGTACTTGCCAAGCTCAGGCTCATCAAAAAAGTTATACTCTGAGACATCACATTGAGTACAGCAGGTCAAATGTGTCCCATTCCTAATTACAAGAGGAGAAATCAGCCAAATATTTCCCATGAAGGTTTTTGTTGGCATTCTAGAAAATGATCTGCTTCATTTAGATTCAAGGTACCCCGAACTAACTCAATTGCTCTTTTGCTCCATCTCAATATACTCACTCAATTCCATGGTTTGGGTGAATAACAGGCATAATTTGCTTTAATTTTAATTTAATGATGGGTTCTGTGCTGATCATCAGTGATCCAAGATGAGAAGTGACATTCATGACCTGGCTGTGCTTTGTGTATCTCAGCAGGTCTCAACCCCAGCTGCAGGGGAGCTTAAAAAAAATCCTAATGCTCAGGCTGCATCCCAGACCAATGGAATGAGACTCTCTAGGAGTGGGGCACAGACTTCTGCTTTTTTTTTTTTTTTTTTTTTTTTTTTGAGACGGAGTTTTGTTCTTGTTGCCCAGGCTGGAGTGCAATGGCGTGGTCTCGGCTCACTGCAACTTCTGCCTCCCGGATTCAAGCAATTCTCCTTCCTCAGCCTTCCGTGTAGCTGGGATTAGGCACACACCACTATGCCCAGCTAATTTTTTTTTTTGGTATTTTTAGTAGAGACAGGATTTCACCATGTTGGCCAGGCTGGTCTTGAACTCCTGACCTCAGGTGATCCTCCCATCTTGGCCTCCCAAAGTGCTGGGATTACAGGAGTGACCCACCGCACCTGGCCGACTTCTGCATTCTTTAACCTCTCCAGGTGATTCTAGGGTGCAGCCAGGGTGCAGAAGTACTATCTAGCTCATCTTTGCTCAAGGCCAACTTATTATACATTAGCTATTTCCCTAAAGGATGCTCTTGTAACATCTGCTCTTTGCTTGACTATTCCTGATGAGCTTTGCCTCTGCTTTATGTGAGTTTAGGCCTGACACCCGCCAGAGAAGAGGGAATGCTAAGCAATGGGAAGCAGGAGCCAGAAGGTCTCAAATGAGGGATCAGGGATTTCTTTCTTGAGACAGGGTCTCACTCTGTCATACAAGCTAAAGATCAGTGGCAGGATCACGGCTCACTGCAGCCTCAACCTCCCAGGCTCAAGCGTTCCTCTCTTCTCAGCCTCCTGAGCAGCTGGGACTACAGACATGCGCCAGCATGCCTGGCGAAATTTTGCATTTTTTGTAGAGATGGGGTTTTGTCATGTTGTCCAGGCTGGTCTCAAACTCCTGGGCTCAAGTGATCCACCCACCTCAGCCTCCCAAAGTGCTGGGATTACAGGTGTGAGCCACTGCACCTGGATGGGATTAGAGCAGAGATCTAACATTTCAGAAAGAATGAAGGAATAGCCAGACTGTTCCCAGGACTGGAAGACTCAAAAGGCAGGAAATAGATTTGGAGGTGATTTTTAAAGTCACTGTTCAGCTCTAAGGCACTGGTCTTAATGCAAAGTCCTACACCTAATTTAAATTTGAAGGAGAATGAATATTCACCTGTTAATGTTTCTAGGCTCAACTGTAGAAGGAGCTTTCCTTCCTCCTTCCCCATTCCTTTCTGCCCGTTTCTAATTCTCTGTATCCTCCTCTTTCTCTTTCTTTGTTCATCTGTCCCTCTCTCTCTCTTTCTTCCTCTCCATTGCCGTCTCTGCCTCTCTTTGCCCTTGTCTCCTGCCCATGTCTCTCTCCCTCTAATTTTCCATTCCCCACTCCTGCTCCACCCCACCCCTCCCCCAACTCCTCTTCTCTGTCTTCGTGTGAGTGTTTTTTTCTCCCTGTCTCTGTCTCTCTTCTCTCTGGTCTCTTTTCTTCCCACTCTGTCTCTCTGTTTCTGTGTCTCTCTTTGTGTCTCTGGCACTCCATGTGTCTCTGCATCTCTCTGTCTCCATTTCTCTGTCGCTCTCTGCATATTTGTCTCTCAGTCTCTATTTCTACCTGTTTCTCTCCCTTCATGTCTTACTCTCTCCTGTATGTCTGCATCTCACTTGTGCATGCAAGTCTCTCCCCATCTGCTTTTTCTTTCTCTGTGTGTGTGTGTGTGTGTGTGTGTGTGTGTGTGTTTCCCTGTCTCTTTCTCCCGATTTCCTTCTCTCCTGGTCCCCCTGTCCCTTTGGGTGTATATGCATGTGCATGCCTGTATGTATGCATGTCTGCAAGTGTGTTCGTGCATGGCTCTGTGTGTGCATGTATGTCTATATGTGCATGTCTCTGTGTGCATGCATGTGTGTGCATGTGTGTGTGTGTGTGCATGCATGCATGCGTGTATAGGTGTCTGGGTCTCCATTTATTTTTCAGACTCTTTCTCTCTGTTCCTTTCTTTGTCTCTGTCTCATTCTTTTGCTTTCCCTAACTCTCTTTCTCTGCTTCTCTCTCTCTCTCTCTCTGTAGCTCTCCTGGTCACCCACACGTGACTCTGTGTTTGTTCCACACCAAGCCTTTTGTCTACCTGACCTTCATTTTTGTAATGACTTGCAGGGAGAAGCCTTGACTGAGCTCAGCTCCACCTACAGATACCTGCATTTTTCCCAACTGACTGAGAGGGCGGAGGCCGCTGGAGAAGCCTGAGAGAGGCCTTGGGTGCACACACACAGCCTGGTTCCTTTCTTAATTCCTCCAAACTCAGTGATCTTGCCTGCACGCCTGCAGTCGACTTGGGGATGCAGTGGGTGCTGGCACCCCACTGCCAGGAAAGAGCAGCCTGTGCAGGCATCTGGGTGGGGTGGCACTTACCGGAGCCACTGGGGTCTGGCTTCCTCTCTGGCTTCATCCCTTTCATGATGCAGATGCTCTCCATGACCAGTTTGACAGGGCCTGGTGGGTTCTGCATCGACTTCACCAGCGAGATGTCGGCCGGGTTCAGGGTGTCCAGAGCAGCTAGTGCAGCCTCGAGTGCAGGCATTGCCTCAGCTAGGTCCCCCTCACATTCGTTCTGTGGGCGGCATGAGGACAAAGGAGATGAGTGCCCAGGGCCTGGCACAATGGGGGCGAAGCAGAGCTCCACTCCTACATGAGGAAGAAGGAAGAGGTGCTTCCTCTTCCAGATACCCTTTAACATGGTGCCTGCCGCTGGAGCTGGACAATGGCTCTGACCGTTAACCAGCAGCCGGAACACATGCATGGCCTTTTGGGGCTGTGGTCTGGATGTCCCGAACATCTGAGCATTCAACTTATTTGCTTTTTTGGCCAGGCACAGTAGCTCATGCCTGTAATCCCAGCACTTTGGGAGGCCAACGTGGTGGATCACTTGAGGTCAGGAGTTCCAGACCAGTCTGGCCAACATGGCAAAACCCTGTCTCTACTAAAAATACAAAAATTAGCCAGGCGTGGTGGTGGGCGCTTGTAATCTCAGCTACTCAGGAGGCTGAGGTAGAAGAATTGCCTGAACTGGGGAGGCGGAGGTTGCAGTGAGCTGAGATTTTGCCATTGCACTCCAGCCTGGCCGACAAGAGTGAAATTGAAACTCTGTCTAAAAACAAAAACAAAACAAAAATCTCACATAGGCATTGTTACCACATTTGTTTCTATGCTAAAAACATAATTTAAAATTGCCCCTGAGTCTTAGCATGAAAAGAGCAATCGGATTGTTTGAGAGGTATGGAGTTCAGTGCAGTGTGACGAAATGTAATCAGATCACAGTAATTTTGGTATCATTGATCATCCTCATTAGGGGGGAAAGAAATAATTGGAAAGAATTGACCAATGTAAGCAAACCATTGCGCTTGTGAATCAAGAGTTGGTGACCTGATTCTTGCTCTTCCAGTCTTTGTCTTCCCAGTATGGATTTCTTTTCTTTTCTCTATTCTTTTTTTTTTTTTTTTTTTGAGACAGAGTCTCGCTCTATCATCCAGGCTGGACTGTAGCAGCGGTGCTATCTCGGCTCACTGCAACCTCTGCTTCCCGGGTTCAAGTGATTCTCGCACTTCAGGCTCCCGAGTAGCTGGGACTACAGGTGCCTACCACCAGGTCTGACTAATTTTTGTATTTTTAGTATAGATGGGGTTTCACCATGTTGGCCAGGCTGGTCTCGAACTCCTGACCTCAAGTGATCCGCCCGCCTCGGCCTCCCAAAGTGCTGGGATTACAAGCATGAGCCTCTGTGCTCAGCCGTACTTCTGAGTTTCTAACAAATCACTTTTTTTTTTTCTTTTTTGGTAAAGAGCAGGGAACTAACTTTGTCTCCATATAAAGAAACACTAAAATTTATGTTTCTTAAAGGCAAATTAGGATCAAACAGAAACTCCTAATATGGATTTCATTTGCATTCCTACTGTGCATTCGGTACCCTACTGGGCACTATTCCATCTTGTGTCATTTCTGGGAGTGTGAGGAGATTAGAGAAAATTAGCAACTTCTCCTGGGCAGGAGGGCCACAGCCCTGAAAGGTCCAGGAAGGGATTCCGGTCCACAAAAAAGCCTCAGGAAAGCTGCACAATCAGACACCGGTTTCTCCTCCTCCCTGGGTAGTTTCTTCCACTTCCTGACTCATCCCAGGATGTCACTCCCTGGAAGAGGGATGGGATGGCAGAGACTTGAGCCTCACCCTTTGCACCGAAACCTGATGTGGCAGTTATTGCCTGGGAGTGGGTGTAGTGGGGCGTCCTGGGTCACCGCCTTACAAACCTTGTGCGATCACTCACCTCCCTCCTGCTCCAACAAGTCGCTGTTTGGCCTGACATTACAGAGCAGAATCTTGGCTGTGCTGTTTTCCTTCCCTCTGCGACCCACATGTGGAAAGGGGCTAGCCTTGGTCACATAGGCAAGTCCCCTTGGTATAGAGCAAAGTACAGCAGTTTTGAAGAATCACTAACATAGACCCTTACGCTCTGGCACAGGCTACAAATGTTACATGTTTTCCTCTTAGTACCCCCATTTTGTAGATGAAGAAACTGAAGCTAGGAAAGGACAGAGCAAAAATTGAGCCCTGATGTACCTGATTCTAGCACAGAAACATTAAAGAGTTGCCAATTCATGCGCCTCAGGGGCCAGGCCAGTGAGTGCGAGTGGGTGGGGCTGGGACTTTGGTGAATTGGAACACACAGGGGCAGCATCTATTTAATACCGAAGATGAGTGCAACCCGGGAGGGCAGCTCCGATGTTGCCAGGTTGCCCGATGTTTTCCAAAGAAAAGCTGAAAATTCAGAATTGTTACTTGAAATCTCCTGATTTTTTTTTCTCTCTTTTTTTTTTTTTGAGATAAGATCTTACTCCGTTGTCCAGGCTAGAGTGCAGTGGTGGGATCATAGCTCACTGCAGCTCCTGGAATGAAGTGATCCTCCTGTCTCAGGCTGCTGAGTAGCTAAGACCGCAGGTGTGCTCCACTGCACCTGACCAATTTTTTTCTTTTTAGTTTTTTGCAGAGAAGAGTTTTCACTATTGTTACCTGGGCTGGTCTGAAATTCCTCCTTGCCTCAAGCCATCCTCCTGCCTCAGCCTCCCAAAGCACTGGGATTAAAGGCATGACCCATCATGGCTGGCCCATTATCACTGATGGTTTCCATTCACCTCGTGTCTATTCTACCAGGACTACAAGTGAAAAAGCATCTGTAATTCAGGGTATTCATTATGTGACTCTGACAGGGATCAGACCCACCCAGGGGATCTCCCACAGGCCAGGTCTCAGGACTCAGTGGAGAAAAGCCAATCAAAAAGGCCTGCCCTTCTGAGACAATGCCCCGTGATTTTTTTTTTTTTTTTTTTTTTTTGGTCACTCAGGCTGGAGTGCAGTGGCATGATGTCAGCTCACTGCAACCTCTACCTCCCAGGTTCAAGTGATTCATGTGCTTGGGCCTCCTGAATAGCTGGGATTACAGGTGCCCACCACCACGCCCGGCTAATTTTTATTCTTTTAGTAGAGACAGGGTTTCACCATATTGGCCAGGCTGGTCTCCAACTCCTGACCTAAAGTGATGCACCTGCCTCAGCCTCCTAAAGTGTTGGGATTACAGGCGTGAGCCACCTCGCCCAGCTGCCATGACCTATTTATGATAGAAGACACATAGGCTGCTTTTTAATCAAGCCCTTGTTTGAAGAATGGTTGAGAGAATTTTCTGTTAAGTGGGGGCATAGGTTCAAGTATGTTAAGGTAAGTGCCATGAACCTTGGCTTCTAATCCCACTAACCATGCAGCTCTGGAAAGTCAATTTACCACTGAACCTCAATGCTGTCAACTCTCATATGCCCATGTCTGTCATTCTTTTTTTTTTCTTTTTGAGATAAGGTCTTGCTCTGTCACTGAGGCTGGAGTGCATTGGTGCGATCTCAACGCACTGTAACCTCTACCTCTCGGGTTCAAGAAATTCTCCCACCTCAGCCTCCTGAGTAGCTGGGATTACAAGCATGTGCCACCACACCCAGCTAATTTTTGTATTTTTAGTAGAGATAAGGTTTTGTCATGTTGGCAAGGCTGTTCTCAAACACCTGACCTCAAGTGATCTGCCCACCTTGGCCTCCTGAAGTGCTGGGATTACAGGCATGAGCCACCTTTCCCGGCCCTATCTGTCATTCTGAAGTCTCAAAGTAGTTGTAATGCTCAAATGTAACCATGTACTTCAAAGTGCTTTGTGAAATATACAACATCACATCAGTGCTAATTGAAGAAGTAGATTTTCTTCTACTACGTGAACGTAGGTCAAGCCCTTACCAGGACTATTTCCTCTCTGGCACAAGAATCACCTTCAAGCGGGTTTCCTCTAGGTTCCACATTCTGTCATCCAACAAATATTTATTCCACGCCTACAACACGCCAGGCATAATTTAGCAAAAATACAATGGAGACGAAGGAAACAGCCATGTGGATATCAAAAGGAAGGGCATTCTGTGTAGAGGGAACAGCCAGTTCTTAGGCTCTGGGGTGGGAGTGCGGCTTATGATTATTTAACAAATAGCTAGGAGACCAACATGGCCAGAGTACAGGGAATGAAGGAAAAGTGGTAAAACATGAGGTCAAAACATATTGGGTCTTTTTGTTTGTTTGTTTTTGAGACTGGGTCTTGCTCTGTCACCCAGGCTGGAGTGCAGTGGTGCGACCTGGACCCACTGTAGCCTCGACCTCCTGGGCTCAGGACCCTCCCACCTCAGTCTCCTGAGTAGCCGGGACCATAGGTGCATGCCACCACAGCTGGCTAATTTTTTTTTACATTTTTTGTAGAGATGGGGTTTGCCATGTTGCCCAGGCTGGTCTTGAACTTGGCTGGTCTTGAACTCCAGGACTCAAGCAATCCACCCACTCAGCCTCCCAAAGTACTGGGATTACAGGCATGAGCCACTGCCCCTGGCCACTTTGTTTTGTTTTGTTTTGTTTTTTAGACAACACAAGGTCTTGGTCAGCTACTCGGGAGGCTGAGGTGGGAGGATCACTTGAGTCCAAGTGTTCAAGGCTGCAGTGAGCTATGGATTGCAGTGGCACGATCCTAGTTCACTACAGCCTCAAACTCCTGGGCTCAAGCAATCCTCCCACATCAGCCTCCTGAGTAGCTGGGACTACATGGGTGTGCCACTACACCTGGCTGTTTTATAGTGTTTTTTTTTTTTTTTTTTTTTTGTAGAGACAGAATCTTGCTACGTTTCCCAGGCTGGTCTTAAACTCCGAGGCTCTGGCGATCCTCCTGCCTTTGTCTCCCAAAAATCTGGGATCACAGGTGTGAGCCACCACACCTGCCCATATGTTGGGTCTTAATGCTTCCTGGTTTCAGCGATGTTTCAGAACAACTTCCTTCATCACTTATCAGCTATGTGATGCTGGGAGAGTCGCCTACCCCTTATTATTATTATTATTTTTTTAGAGTTTCACTCTTGCCGCCCAGGCTGGAGTGCAGTGGTGCAATCTCAGCTCACTGCGACCTCTGCCTCCCAGGTTCAAGCAATTCCCCTGCCTCAGCTTCCTGAGTAGCTCGGATTACAGATGCACGCCACCACACCTGGCTAGTTTTTTTTTTTTTTTTTTTTTTTAAAGTAGAGATGAGGTTTCTTTATGTTGGTCAGGCTGGTCTTGAACTCCTAACCTCAGGTGATCCACCTCCCTTGGTCTCCCAAAGTGCTGGGATTACAGCTGTGAGCCACCATGCCCAGCCTTGCCTACCCTTTCTGAGCCTCACTTTTCTCATCCGTAAGATGGGTATAACCACGCTCATTCGGCAGCACCAGTTCCCTCCCTTTCTTCTCAGTCTTTCTACCTTGATTCCTTGGGCAATGGCAGCAGCAACATTGGCTTCTTTTTCATCTGCCTGCACCAGAAGTTTCTTTCCATCAGCTTCTCTCGTCTCCGCTTCAATTTTCACCATCATCTTGGCAGTTTCCTCGGAGGTGAGGATGAGTTGAGGTTGAAGAGCTGTCAGTTCTCTTTGCATAACCGCTACCTAGCAAGGAGAGAGGTGGGAGAAATCCAGGGTCAGCACTGAAAATGGCAAAGTAGACAAGAATTGAAATGATTCTCCAACCTATGACATAAGCAGAAAATATGTACTAATGATTTTGACATGGTCCTGGGTACAGATTCGTTTCCTAGTGATTATCTCATAGGTTTTTCAACACAGTTATTGAGTTTACACTCTGCATTGTGGTTATCAAGCACTGTGCTAGGCACTAGACATATAATTGTAAACTAAAATCTTTTTTAAAAACCGTTT
This sequence comes from Homo sapiens, assembly GCF_000001405.40. Lineage (NCBI taxonomy): Eukaryota > Metazoa > Chordata > Mammalia > Primates > Hominidae > Homo > Homo sapiens. The sequence continues at coordinate 20,975,686 of NC_000016.10, forward strand.
CCTCCCTCACTGAGTCTATATTGTAGTGTTGGGGGTAATGGGAGAGAGACAGAGCAAAAGCAAGTTAAGACTTTTTTTTGACAGAGTCTCACTCTGTCACCCAGGCTGGAGTGCAGTGGCATGATCTTGGCTCACTGCAACCTCCAACTCCTGGGTTCAAGCAATTCTCCTGTCTCAGCCTCCCAAGTAGCTGGGACTACAGTCACACACCACCACGCCTGGCTAATTTTTATATTTTTAGTAGAGACGAAGTTTCACCATGTTGGTCAAGCTGGTCTAGAACTCCTGACCTCAGGTGATCCACCCACCTTAGCCTCCCGAAGTGCTGGGATTACAGGCATGAGCCACCACGCCCGGCCAAGAAATTTTTTTTTAAACTACATTTTTTTCTTGGCTTGTAATCCCAGCAATTTGGGAGGTAGAGGTGGGAGAATTGCTTGAGCCCAGAAGTTCAAGACCAGCCTGGGAAACATAGTGAGAACAGGTCTCTACAAAATTTTTTTTTAAGTTAAAATATTTTTTCTTTTTTTGAGATGGAGTCTCACTCTATCACCCAGGCTGTAGTGGTGAGATCTCAGCTCAATGCAACCTCTGCCTCCTGGGTTCAAGCAATTCTCCTGTCTCAGCCTCCCATGTGGCTGGGATTACAGGCATGTGCCACCACACCCAGCTAATTTTTGTATTTTTAGTAGAGATGGGGTTTCACCATGTTGGCCAGACTGGTCTTGAATTCCTGACCTCAGGTGATCCACCTGCCTTGGCCTCCCAAAGTTCTGGGATTACAGGCATGAGCCACTGTGCCCAGCCAAAATAATTTTTTAAAGCTACATTTTTTTCTTAAAGGCTATGAAGAAAAAAGACAGCTGAGATAGAAGGTACTTTCAAGGCTACTTTTTCCAATAGTATTGTGGACTAAATGTTTGTGTCCTCCTCAGATTTATATGTTGAAGCATAATCCCCAATTTGATGGCAATTATAGGCGAGGTCTTTGAAGATAATTAGAGTTAGAAGAGGTCATAAGGGTGAGGCCCACATGATGGGGTAAATGCCCTTATATAATAAAAAGAGGAAGCCACGTGAGATCTGTCTCTTCCCACTGTGTGAGGACACAGCAAAAAGGCAGCCGTCTGCAAACCAGGGAAAGAGCCCCCACCAGACAGTGGATCTGCTAGTGTCTTGATCTTGAACTTCCCAGCCTCCAGAACTATGAGAAGTAAACGTTTGTTGTTGAAGCCACCCAGTTTGGGATATTTTGCTATGGCAGCCCAAGCTGACTAAGACAAACAGTCTGATGCTCTATAAAACATTCCTGCCAAGTAGTTTTCTGGTCTCTGAACTCCTCTAATAACAGGGAGCGCACCACCTCTCATGAGGGTTGTGCCATTTTTTAGACAATTAAACCCATTAGGCCAGGCTCAGTGGTTCACACCTGTAATCCCAGCACTTTGGGAGGCTGAGGTGGGCAGATCACTTGAGGTCTCAGGAGGTCGTGACCAGCCTGACCAACATGGAGAAACCCTGTCCCTACTAAAAACGCAAAAATTAGCCAGGCGCTGTGGCACGTGCCTGTAATCCCAGCTACTCGGGAGACTGAGGCAGGAGAATTGCTTGAATGCGGGAGGTGGAGGTTGCAGTGAGTCAAGATTGCACCACTGCACTCCAGCCTGGGTGATGGAATGAGACTCTGTCAAAACAAAAACAAAAACAAACAAACAAACAAAAAACCATTAGCTTTTCCTGATGCAGAGCTAGAATTACCCCCCTGAAGTTTGCACTCACTGGTCATGATTCTGCCTTTTAAGGCAGCTCAGACAAACAGGGTTGGGTTTCATGTATTTGGAGACAGTTTTCATGACCTTGCACCCAATGCCCCCAGTGAGCTTGTGTGAGACCACAAGCACAGCAGGCTGGCCTAGTTAGGAACATAGGTTTTGGAGTCATGCAGATCTAAGTTTCAGTTCTAGCTGGACCACTCCCCAGGCTGTGTGATCATGGGCAAGACACTTGGCCTCTCTGTGTCCTGGCTTCTTTGTGTATCACATGGAGATGGTAACGATACTTTCTTCACACACAGCACTAGGGATGCAGTAGGACCCAAGAAATGTTAACTGGTGCAATCATTTTATTTTCTGGTCTAGACTGTCTTAGGTCCTTTTGCTGTTCCTCAGACACGACCGACCTCACCCTTGCTGGACAGACTTCACTTTCAACATCTCTAAAAACCAACCACTCAAATCCCCAGGAACAGAGCAACAGAGGCCATTTCCAATGTTCTCTCCCATCCCTGCATTGCAGTGTTTGTGGGTTTGCTGTACACAGAGCCAAGCTCTGTAAATCAATCAATGTTCTTTGGTCTTTATTGGGGCTGAAAATCCATCTCCTAGTACAGCTTTCATTTTAGATAATTTTTCAGGTGGCTCTAAGAACAAATTAATTAATAACTCATGTGCCAGGCATTTTGCTAAAGGCTGCACTGTGTCAGCTTACTTCATCTTCATAACAGCCCTATGCAGTGAAAACTGCTACCACTTAGTTTTTTCTTCTTTTTTAAAGGGACAAGGTGGCCGGGCGGGTGGCTCATGCCTGTAATCCCAGCACTTTGGGAGGCCGAGGTGAGCAGATCACCTGAGGTCAGGAGTTTGAGATCAGACTGGCCAACATGGCAAAACCCCGTCTCTACTAAAAATACAAAAATTAGCTGGGCGTGGTGGCACGCACCTGTAGTACCAGCTATTTGGGATGCTGAGACAGGAGGATCACTTGAACCCAGGAGGTAGAGGTTGCAGTGAGCTGAGATTGCGCCACTGAGTTCCAGCCTCAGTAAGAGAGAGATTGCGTCTCGAAAGAAATAATTATAATAAAATAAAGAGACAAAGTCTCACTCTGTTACCCCGCTGCAGTGCAGTGGTACGATCATAGCTCACTGCAGCCTCAAACTCCTGGGCTCAAGTGATCCTCCCACCTCAGCCTCCCAAGTAGTTGAGACTACAGGCACATGTCACTGCACTTGGCTAATTTTATTTTATTTATTTTTTTGTAGAGATGGGGTCTTGCTGTGTTTCCCAGGCTGGTCTCAAGCGATCTCTTGGCCTCAACTGATCCTCCCGGCTTTGACCTCCCAAATGCTGGGATTACAGACGTGAGCCACTGCACTGGGCCTTCACCTTTTTATAGAAGAGGAATCTGAGGCTCAAAGAAGTGAAATAACATGCCCCTGGCTCTACAGCTGGTATGCTGTAGAGATAAATTTGGGCCCAGATCTGACTCCACAAAGATATCTTGAATGATTCACTGCCTTATCCTGCCCAGGTCCCCATAAGGTGAGACAAGGGAGGCACTCACCTTGAGGACAAAACTTAAGGGGTCATTAAAAAAAAAGTACTCAAGATAAATAATACATTATTGCAATAGATTAAGAAATCAAAATTAATGCAAAAAACCCATGATGAACAAAATATCAAAATCTTAAAGACAGGATCCCACAGGGCAGGGATTACAGTGATGTAGGTAAGGTAAGCTCTGCAAATGCAGGGTCACATTCTGCTTGATCTGGTGTCCTCTTAATTCCGCACCTGAACACATGCCTCGGCACATCCACCTCGTCCCGGGCCTCTTTGTCTCTGTTCTGTTTTGGCAGTGCTCACCTGAGAAGCTGCAAAGTCGAGTTTCTGCAAGCCTGTCAGGTAGCGGTTCCTCATCATAGCCACCTCTTGCCTCTTGCTATTCAGGAGCGTCTTGAAGGTTAGAATCAATTCAAGGTAGGAGGTGGGGGTAACATAGTTGTGTCTTCGAAGTTTGTTGTAATAATCGAGTGACAGCTTCTTGACGCTCTCTTGGAAATATTTGCACATGGACACGACCCTGCCGAGGACACCAAGGCGGTTAGGCAGGACCCAACATCTTCCAGGGAGATCCAGTACAGCTTTAGTTATAGACATGAGGATATGAGAAGGCACATACACTGACTGTGACACGTTAGAATCCAAACTCTCTGAGGACATGTCAACAGAGCTGAGGCAGAGAAGGATGGGGCAGGTACATAGGTGCATACTCTCACACAAATGATTTTATATTTATTTATTGAGACAGTGTCTCTCTCTGACACCCAGGCTGGAGTGCAGTGGCGCGATCTCAGCTCGCTGCAACCTCTGCCTCCCAGGCTCAAGTGATTTTCCTGCTTCAGCCTCCCGAGTAGCTGGGATTACAGGCATGTGCCACCACGCCCAGCTAATTTTTCTATTTTCAGTAGAGGCAGAGTTTCACCATGTTGGTCAGGCTAGTCTGAAACTCCTGACCTCAGGTGATCTGCCCACCTTGGCCTCCCAAAGTGCTGGGATTACAGGCATGAGCCACCACGCCCAGCCACAAATGGTCTTTGATCAAGTCATTTCTATCACTGATCCCTTTGATGAATCACCAGGGCTTAAGCAGGAATTCCTAAACTTTGGTAGTTTGGAGATATTCCCTGACTTTGTAGAAAAAAAAATATATATATATATATATAATTTTATTATATATTTATTTATATTATTTATATTATTTATTTATATTATATATATAATATACATCATATATTATATTATAATATACATCATATATTATAATATACATCATATATTATATTATATATTATAATATATACTATATTATATTTTATTATATTTATTTATATATAAATATATATATATGTGGGGGGGGAGAGAGAGAGACAGGATTGCACTCTGTCATCCAGGCTGGAGTGCAGTGGCACAATCATGGCTCACTGTAGCCTTAACCTCCCTGGCTCAAGTGATCCTCCCACCTCAGCCTCCTGAGTAGCTGAAGTCTCAGGCACACACCACCACACCCAGCTAATCTTCTGCACTTTTAGTAGAGATGGTGGGGGGTGGGGTAGGGGTTGCTATGTTGCCCAGGCTAGTCTGGAATTCTCGACCTCAAGTGATCCACCAGCCTTGGCCTCCCAAAGTGCTGGGATTATAGGCATGAAACACCATGCCCAGCCAATTTTTAAAAATGCATAAAATAAAACACAGAATTACCATGGAAACCAATTATATTGAAATAGACTTTTTGAAATGTTTTAAAATATTTTAAAATTTGTAATATAGTAATATACATGCTGCTTTACTGAGGCATTAAATCAGGGATTAGTAAACCTTTTCTGGAAAGGGTCAGATAATAAATATTTTAGCCTTTGTGGACCACATGATATCTGTCACAGTTACTCAACTCTGCCATTTTAGTGCAAAAACAGCCACAGATGGTGTGTAAACTAATGGGCATGCGTGCATTCCAATAAAACTTTATTTACAAAAGCAGGGTGAATTCAACTAGGCCCATGAACCATAGTTTGTCAGCTTCTGCATTAAATAACAAGAGTGGGCAGCAGGTCTAAAAAGCACCATCAATTCGAAGAAAATTATACACTGAGTTAACTGTAATGATGCAATGAGTTCTGCAAAGAACTGATTCCTACTGGTAACAAAGTCAGGCCCTGCTCATCCCACTGGGGTTTACTGCCTACATTCATAACTGGAGGAAATGCAAAGTACCAGTTGGATGTCATTGGAAATGAAGATGTAATGTTTCCCATTCATATTCATCCACCCACTGAATTCTACCCACAAGCACGTGGACCCAGGTTAAGGGTCTTCTGGTCTAGATAATAAAGTTCAAAATACCCCAAATGGAATTTAAGGCCATTGACACTCTTACCCCTACCTACTTCCTCATTTTTCATCCATTAATTCAACAAACAGTGATTGAGCCTGGGTGCGGTGGCTCACGCCTGTAATCCCAGCACTTTGGGAGGCCGAGGTGGGCAAATCACTTAAGGTCAGTTGAGCCTGGCCAACATGGTGAAACCCAGTGTCCACTAAAAATCCAAAAATTAGCTGGGCATGGAGGCTCACACCTGTAATCTCAGCTACTCGGGAGGCTGAGGCACAAGAATCGCATTAACCCGGGAGGCGGAGGTTGCTGTGAGCCGAGATCGCACCACTGCACTCCAACCTGGGCGACAGAGTGAGACTCCATCTCAAAATAAATAGATAAATAAATAAATAAATAAAATAAACAATGATTGAACCTACTGTGTGCCAAGCACCTTCTAGAAACTAAGGAAACAGAGGTAGACAAGGTTGACTGATCTCTAGCCTTCATGGAACATCCAGAATGACTGATATTCTCACCTCTTCCCTTACTCTAGCCAAATAAAATGCTTTTTTTATATATGTATGCATATATACATACATAAAGTGTATAAAGCACATATATTATATATAATAAAGCATATATATAAAGCACATATATAATATATAATATATATAATTAAGTATATATATATAATAAAGCACATATATATATGTGCTTTATACATAAAAGAGTAAATTTTCACCCTTATAGGAACTAATTTTTGCCAGGTGCAGTAGCTCACACCTGTATTCCCAGCACTTTGGGAGGCCAAGGCGGGCAGATTACGTGAGGTCAGGAGTTCGAGACCACCCTGGCCAACATGGCGAAACCCCATATCTAGTAAAAATATAAAAATTAGCTGGACGTGATGGCAGGTGCCTGTAATCCCAGCTGCTTGGGGGAGGCTGAGGCATGAGAATCACTTGAATCTGGGAGGCAGAGGTTGCTGTGAGCTGAGATTGCACCAAGGAACTCCAGCCTGGGGGATAGAGCAAGACTCCATCTCAAAAACAAATAAACAAACAAACATTGTTTTGTGGTCTCAGCAGCAATCTTCTTCCTGTTGAGAATGCATATTCTAGGACTACTGAAATAGCTATATCATTATTCCAGGTTCTCATAGCTAGGACAAATCTCCAGGACAATTCTGAACAATGAAATTTTCTTCTTTTACAGACAAGATGCTTTATTAAATATCTAACTAACTGTGATTCAATTTAAAAGCATAAGACATTTGCTATATACAAATTGAGAAATCTTCAAAACAACAACAAAAATAGAGCCAGCGTCTGGACTTCAAATTTGGAATATCTAGAGTCCTAAAATGCAATCAACACTTACTCTACCCGAATGTTGTCATCAAGCTCCACATCCTCTAGAAATTTGTTAGCCACCAACTCTAGGGCATCTGTGGGCCAGGACTGGAACCAATCAATCGTACAGCAATTGATCAGCGAAGGGAACATCCGCAGGCGGTTCCTGAAGGCATCCCCTATTGGACTCATGGCTAATGAAAAGGAGATTTTGTTAATTACCTTCCTCCAAGGCAGGTGGACCCAAGGAGGCAGGCGGGTATTCCCAAGGATTCTGGTGGGGTAAGTGGGGGCAGGCTTCCTCCTGGCGCTCCAGGGATGTGACTGTCAATGGCCATAATGAGTGCCTGGGAAATGCGGGCTAATTAGTGGGATATTTTCACTTAACTTTGTGAGGAGCCCATTACAATAGCCCCTTTTTAAAAAAAATTTTAATTTTTTATTTTTTATTAAGACAGATTCTTGCTCTGTCACCCAGACTGGAGTGCAGTGGCGCAATCTCGGCTCACTGCAACCTCCGCCTCCTGGGTTCAAGCTATTCTCCTGCCTCAGCTTCCTGAGTAGCTGGGACTATAGGCACCCACCACCACTTCCAGCTAATTTTTGTATTTTTAGTAGAGACGGGGTTTCACCATTTTGGCCAGGCTGGTCTCAAACTCCTGACCTCAAGTGATCTGCCCGCCTCAGCCTCCCAAAGTGCTGGGATTACAGGCGTGAGCCACCATGCCTGAGTCTATTACCTTCTAACTGGTCTCCCATACACACTATTGTTCCTTCCGCATCCTTCGGGTCACGTAGCCAGTGTGGCTGGAGCCCTTTGATTGACTTGCTGTATTTGTGCTGATACACGGGAGCCATACACTGTTATTTATAGAAGTTGCTGTGAGGTCATCTGCTTGTTTCTGATCCCATCTCTGGCCAATAACAAATTTTGGGTTCCACACTTAAAATTCCATTCATTGTTATTTAGACTATGTGTGGTGGAAGGGAGCATGATGTCTAGGTGGAAGTGAAAGGTCACTGTGGGTAAAGAACAGAGGCCTGGCACAGTGGCTCACGTCTGTAATCCCAACACTTTGGGAGGCCAAGGCAGGAGGATCATTTGAGCCCAGGAGTTTCAGACCAACCTGGGCAACAAAGTGAACCCCACATCCCCGTCCCCTATCTCTACAAAAATGGAAAAAATTAGCTGGGCATCGTGGTGTGTGCCTGTAGTCCCATGTACTCAGGAGGCTGAGGTGAGAGGATCACTTGAGCCCAGGAAGTTGAGCCTGCAGTGAGCTAGAACCACATCACTGCACTCCAGCCTGGGTGACAGAGCAAGACCCTATATCCAGAAAAAAAAAAAAAAAAGACAGAAAGGGCGATGGTTTGAAAAGATGAAGGTGGAGAGGATACAGAGGACAGTCTGGCAGGTGGCCTTATGGCATTATGAGACCGCAGGTTAGTAATTTTGGTCCTTATCCCAATGTGTGTGTGTGTGTGTGTATATGTGTGCACGTGTGCGCATGCGTGCGTGTGTGTGTGTGTGTATGCATGCATGAACACAATGATAATATTTGCAGCATATGAAAAAAATCAGCCTGGCTTCATGGAACAGACAAGAATGGAGCTAGAATGATTAGAAAGTTGCAGAGGTGAGCCTGGGTAAAAGGATGGCAGCTTAGCCAATGTGAAGGTGATGGAGATGGAGATAAGAGAGTGGATATGAGACAGCTGGAGGTAACAGACAGGACTTGGTAAAGAAAGGGAAGTACTAAACACAATTGCTAGGTTTCTAGATACATTGGAAATGTCGTTCACAGAGAAAACCCGAGATGTCATTCTGTGCAAGGGTAATTCTCAGAGGAGAATTCAGGAAATTGAAGACGGGGGACAGGTTTGAAATTATTCAGGGTCCGGCACGGTGGCTTATGCCTGTAATCCCAGCACTTCGGGAGGCCGAGGCGGGCAGATCACTTGAAGCCAGGAGTATGAGACTAGCCTGGCCAACATGGTGAAACCCCTCTCTACTAAAAATACAAAAATTAGCAGGTGTGGTACGCGCCTGCAATCACAGCTACTCAGGAGGCTGAGGCACCAGAATCGCTTGAAACTGGGAGGCAGAGGTTGCAGTGAGCTGAGATCTCACCACTGCACTCCAGCCTGGGCAACAGAGCAAGACTGTCTTTAAAAAAAAAATTGCTGCTCAGAAGAGTGAAAAAAGTTGCCAGAGGAACTCCGGGCCCTGACCCCGAGCTGGTGCGTTGGCTGAATCAACCCTGGGACCATTGTAAGGGATTGGCCTGCTCAGGGCACTCAGAAGACCCCAAAACACCCAGAAGAACAAGGGCAAATGGAGTTTTCTTCTTCTTACCGAGGACAATGTGAAGGTTCTTTCTCACCCTCTCAATAAAGAAGTTATACATAGAAAGAGGAGTGACTTCAACCTTCTCTCCTTGGGTCCTGGCTGCAGTCTGCATCTTCTCCACGATGTCAGCCTTCTCGTCAGCAGGGAAGATGTTAGGCACGTCACCTGTGTTCAGAAGCATGTTGATGTCCTCCACGAATGATTCATCCTTGATCTGGTTGTCGGCGAAGAGGAACACGGTGCTCTTGGTGGCCACACCGACCTGCAGTATGATCTTCTTAAGATCTTCTCGCCAGTCATTGCCTGCGTAGTTCTTGGTGATCTCAATCTGGTATAGCTCGTATGCGTTCATGAATGTGGACAGTTTGGCGGCACTTTGCCGCCCGCTGCCCCCTATGCCCACCAGGAGCAGGTGGCCTTTGTCCTGCTTCAGGACACGGCAGATCCTAGAGATGTGCTCAATGGCAAACCTGAACATGACCAGGGACATGGGGGCCTTGCTGATGTTGTTGAATTCTTCCAGATAGTGCTCCATGACCACAGTCAGCTGTTTCAGGTCAGTGATCTCATCGTAGATTTTTTGGTCACTTTCTGGCTTGAAATAATCTCCAAAGAAGAGGCTTCGAATGTTATCATCGACTATCTTTCCAGTGGGTGACAAGTGGATAAGCACCTGTAAGAAAAGTAAATCTCGGCGGGGCATTCAGTGAATGGCCCAGCCAGGCTGGTAGGGACATCATGGAGGGAGGGCATGGGAGACGTGGCTTATTTCCTCTGAGCACATCCTTCAAGGTCATGGGTCATCAGTTTTGTTTTGTTTCGTTTTGTTTTGAGACAGAGTCTCACTCTGTCGCCCAGGCTGGGGTGCAATGGTGTGATCTCGGTTCACTGCAACCTCTGCCTCCTGGGTTCAAGCGATTCTCCCGCCTCAGCCTCCCAAATAGCTGGGATTACAAGCACCCACCATCATGCCTGGCTAATTTTTGTATTTTTGTAGAGATGGAGTTTCATCATGTTGGCCAGGCTGGTCCTGAAACTCCTGATATCAGGTTACCTGCCCACCTCGTCCTCCCAAAGTGCTGGGATTACAGGCATGAGCCACTGTGCCCGGCCCAGTCTTTTTGTTTTTTAAACATAATATGTGGATTTCATGCTTGTAAAGACTATAATGAAAGAACATTGCTGGGCACGGTGGCTCATGCCTGTAGTCCCAGCACTTTGGGAGGCCGAGGCAGAAGGATCATTTGAGCTCAGGACTTCAAGACCAGCCTGGGCAACATAGTGAGACTCAGTCTCTACAATAAAATAAGAAAAAATTAACTGGGCATCGTGGTGCACACCTGTAATCCCAGCTACTCAGGAGGCCGAGGTGGAGGACTGCTTGAGCCCAGGAGCTTGAGGCTGCAGTGTGCTATGATCATACCATTGCACTCCAGCCTGGGTGACAGAGTGAGGTCCTACCTCTAAAAATAAATATTTTTTTTGTTAAAAGAAAGGACATTAGAGTATGAACGCTTTAATCAGTCTATTTGCCATGTGATTAAAACATTGGTGATCAGTTTGTACGGTCCCCAGAAAAGACAGTTGAAGGATGTGCTTTTCTTAGGTGCTTGATCCTCCACCAAATAGAAGTATAGACACTATCCTGGTCCCCACTCTGTGCCTGGAGTAGGAACGTTTTAGATGCCTCCTCGTCCTATGTTAGAACCCAGTGACGCTTTTGCACTTGGCCTCTGAACGCAAGATAAAACACTTGAAATTTTTCTATGGAGAAATCACAGCTTCTTAGCAGTGGAAGAATAACCAGATGATAAAAATATAGATGTTTAAAACAACTTTTCTTATATGGAAATGGAAAAGAGAAAATATTCACACCTGGAAAACCATAACAATCTTTCACTTGAGCTTTATAGGACCTCAGTCAAATCATGACAATGTACAGTTCATTTCTCAACTCACCAATTAATTGATCCTAAAAATGCATTTTAAGTTCATAATAAACATTCATTTATAATGAACTTAAAATGCATGTTAAGCCATTTTGAGTGGATTCAAACTTATATGTTACAACAGAAGGGAAGCAAAGTTGGACCAAGTAAAATATCACCAAGTCAAAAAGAGCAGTTGACTCAATACTGTTTCCCGAGATTCAGAGTGCAGAGCTGGCAGTCTCCAACAGGAAGGGAACCTGAAATCTGAAAGTAACGTGGTTAAACACTTGGAACCATTTCTGAGGTCAAATGATCACAGAATCTGGTTTACCTTCTCTATGGTCTGCTTGAAGCAATTGGAGGTGGTTTCCTTCACCATGTTGAAAAAGACCTGTCTGTCCTCCTTGTCAATCAGACGATCATAGAAGACCCGATAAACCTCATGGATCCAAAGCCGGATACATTTTTCTACATCCTAAAAATCCAGAGTTAATTATTCAAACGAGTGGAAGATGGTCCCTGAGGTGGTAGTTCTCAGTAGTAGGTAAGTCCTGGGGTTGATTTGAGGATTGAACTAGATAATGTTTATAAAATGCTTAGCACAATGCCTAGCATAGACTAAGTGCCTAATAAAAGTTAGCTATTACTGCTATTACTACATGTTCTATGTAGCCAAGGATATGCTGAATGATCTTGGTAGTAAAATGATAGTGGCTGACCTGCAGGTGTGTGTGAGGGCACAGCAGGACCCCTTGAATCACTCGTGAGAAGTCCCGCAGGTTAAAGACGTAATGTGACTTCGAGGGAGTTGGCAAGAAGTTCTCCACTGCATCTCTATAAATTGTCTTAGTAGCTTGGACCAGCATCTTTCCGTACCTTGGGAGGAAAGGGATGGCACAGTAGTCAAGGAGGGGCCAGAAACTGAGAACCCCCAGCCCACTATCCAGGAAGACAGAGAAACCTCTTACCTTAAAAACATCACATCAAACCCTTTCCCGAAGTGCCAGTCAACAATCGAACTGAAAATCTTGGTTAAAATGTCATCCTCAAAGGCATTGATGGAAATGATATTCAGATGGCGAGTGAATCGTCCTGGGGAATACAACACACAAGTGAATCATCCTGGAAAACACATATTCTCACACTGTCTGTGACCCTAGGATGCACACGAGGTGGCTTTGCCTTCTGCCTTCATGTTCCAGAGCTGTGCTGTGCAATATGGCAACCTCTAGCCACCTGCAGCAAATTTAAACTTAAATTAATTAATATTAAATAACATTAAAAATGCTCTTCCTTAGTCTCACCACACTTCAAGTGCTCAAGAGCCACATGTGGCTAGTGGCTACCGTATTGCTCAGTACAGATATAGAGCATCTCCATACTGCGGAAGTTCTACTGAGTGCTAGTTTAGTGCTCATTATTATATCATATCATGTTGTATTATATTACATTACTTTTTGAGATGGAGTTCCCCTCTGTTGCCCAGGCTGGAGTGCAGTGGTGCCATCTCAGTTCACTGCAACCTCCGCCTCCCGGGCTCAAGAGATTCTCCAGCCTCAGCCTCCAGAGTAGCTGGGACTACAGGCCTCCCAGAGTGCTGTGATTGCAGGCATGAGACACCGCGCCCAGCCTCAAGAATGTTTTTAAAAGATAAAGGCAATACATGATCATTGTAAAAGAGTCTATCAATTCAGGAATACTTTTGTTGAAAGTGAAAATCTCCTTTTGTGTCCGGAATTGGTGGGTTCTTAGTCTCACTGACTTCAAAAATGAAGCCGCGACCCCTCGCGGTGAGTGTTACAGCTCTTAAGGTGGCGCGTCTGGAGGTTGTTCCTTCTGATGTTCGAATGTGTTCGGAGTTTTTTCCTTCTGGTGGGTTCGTCATCTCGCTGGCTCAGGAGTGAAGCTGCAGACCTTCGCGGTGAGTGTTACAGCTCTTAAGGCGGCATGTCTGGAGTTATTCGTTCCTCCCGGTGGACTCGTGGTCTCGCTGGCTTCAAGAGTGAAGTTGCAGACTTTCGCGGGGAGTGTTACAGCTCATAAAAGCAGTGTGGACCCACAGAGTGAGCACCAGTAAGATTTACTGCAAAGAGCGAAAGAACAAAGCTTCCACAGTGCGGAAAGAGACCCGAGCGGGTTACCACTGCTGGCTCGGGCAGCCTGCTTTTATTCTCTTATCTGGCCCCACCCACATCCTGCTGATTGGTAGAGCCGAGTGGTCTGTTTTGACAGGGTGCTGATTGGTGCATTTACAATCCCTGAGCTAGATACAAAGGTTCTCCTCGTCCCCATCAGATTAGTTAGATACAGAGCATCTACACAAAGGTTCTCCAAGGCCCCACCAGAGCAGCTAGATACAGAGTGTTGATTGGTGCACTCACAAACCTTGAGCTAAACACAGGGTGCTGATTGGTGTGTTTACAATCCTTGAGCTAGACATAAAGTTTTTCCAAGGCCCCACCAGAGCAGCTAGATACAGAGTGTCGATTGGTGCACTCACAAACCTTCAGCTAAACACAGGGTGCTGATTGGTGTGTTTACAATCCCTGAGCTAGACATAAAGGTTCTCCAAGTCCCCACCAGACTCAGGAGCCCAGCTGGCTTCACCTAGTGGATCCCGCACCGGGGCTGCAGGTGGAGCTGCCTGCCAGTCCCGGGCGGTACGCTCGCACTCCTCAGCCTTTGGGTGGTCGATGGGACTGGGCGCCGTGGAGCAGGGGGTGGTGCTCGTCGGGGAGGCTTGGGCCGCACAGAGCCCATGGAGTGGGTGGGAGGCTCAGGCATGGCGGGCTGCAGGTCCCAAGCCCTGCCCCGCGGCAAGGCAGCTAAGGCTCAGTGAGAAATCGAGCGCAGCACCGGTGGGCTGGCACTGCTGGGGGACCCAGTACACCCTCCGCAGCCGCTGGCCGGGTGCTAAGTCCCTCATTGCCCGGGGCCGGCAGGGCCGGCCGGCTGCTCCGAGTGCGGGGCCCGCCAAGCCCACGCCCACCCGGAACTCCAGCTGGCCTGCAAGCGCCGCGCGCAGCCCCGGTTCCCACTCGCGCCTCTCCCTCCACACCTCCCTGCAAGCTGAGGGAGTGGGCTCCGGCCTTGCCCAGCCCAGAAAGGGGCTCCCATAGTGCAGCGGTGGGCTGAAGGGCTCCTCAAGTGCCGCCAAAGTGGGAGCCCAGGCAGAGGAGGCGCCCAGAGCGAGCCAGGGCTGTGAGGACTTGCCAGCACGCTGTCACCTCTCACTTTCACTTACCTTATACGCGCCAAATCCATTCTCCCCTGCTAATTTGGTATCCTTATATCATCTATCTGTCTAATCTATCATCTATCATCTTTCTGTGTATCTATAGATCTATGTATCTGTCTAATCTATAATTGTTAGATATCTGTATTTATTTATATAGATATATACCAGCTTTATTGATATCCCAATAATAACTCACATATTGTACCATTCACCCATTTAAAGTACAATTATTCAATGATTTTTAATATATTCAGGGTTGTGCAACCATTATCACAATTTTAGAACATTTTAATCGTGCTAAAAAGAAACCTTGTACCCATTAGCAGTCATTCCCCATTTTCCCATGGTTCTCAGCAACTAATAATCTACTTTCTGTCTCTATAGGTTTGCCTGTATATCTTTAAAACATTTTTTTGTTACAGGTAAAAGATACAGAAAACCACACAAAACAAATGTATAGTTTAGTAAATCATTATAAGGTTAACACTCTTAGCATCTACTGTCAAGATTAAGAAATAGAATTTTGCCAGCCAGGTGTGGTGGCTCACTCCTGTAATCCCAGCACTTTGGGAGGCCGAGGCGTGCAGATCACGAGGTCAAGAGATCGAGACCAGCCTGGCCAGCATGGTGAAACCCCCATCTCTATTAAAAATACAAAAATTAGCCAGGCGTGGTAGCGGGCACCTGTAGTCCCAACTACTCGGGAGGTTGAGGCAGGAGAATTGCTTGAATCCGGGAGGCAGAGGTTACAGTGAGCCGAGATTGTGCCACTGCACTCCAGCCTGAGCGACAGAGCGAGACTCTGTCTCAAAACAAACAAACAAAAAACAAAACAAAACAAAAACAAAATAGAATTTTGCCAGCCCTCCACAAAAGCCTCTCGACAGAGCCCATCCTAAACTGTCTCCTTTTCTTCCTCCAAAAGTTATCACTCTTCTGACTTTTATAGTAATTGCTGTCTTGCATTTCTTTATGATTTTTACCATCCAAGTGTTTATTTGTAGACACCAGGGTTTAATTGTTTAATTCTGCCAGTTAAAACAACCACATGCCTTTTTTTTTTTCTTTTCTGAGATGGAGCCTCACTCCCATTGCACAGTCTAGAGTGCAGTGGCACGATCTCGGCTCACAGCAACCTCCACCTCCCAGGTTCAAGTGATTCTCCTTCCTCAACCCCAAGTAGCTGGGATTACAGGCATGCACCACCATGACTGGCTAATTTTTGTATTTTTAGTAGAGATGGGGTTTTGCCATATTGGCCAGGCTGGTCTCAAACTCCTGACCTCAGGTGATTCACCCGCCTCGGCCTCCCAAAGTGCTAGGATTACAGACGTGAGCCTCTGCACCTGGCCTCATATGTATTTCTTAAGGTCTCTTTTTAATTTATAGTTTTTTCCCTCCATTCCTTTCTTACGTGTCTTATCCGTTGAAGATCTGGGCTGTTTGACTTGTAGAGTTTTCACAGTCAGGATTTTGTTGATTACATACTTATGATGCAGTTTATCACGTTCCTCTGTCCTCTGTATTTCCTACAAATTTGTAGCTGGATCCAGAGACTTGTTGGGATTCAGATTCCATCCCTTTGGCCAGACCATAGGTGGTGGTGTGTTCTTTCATTGGAAAGTACTCAATAATGTTTCTCCTTTTGTAATGTTGGTAGCTACTGATGCTCAATGGCTACATCCATTAATTCACTGGGGTTTGCAAAGTGGTAATATTCTGAGTCACTTCTTTTTCATCTATTAGTTGCAATATTTTCATGAGATACTTCCCCTCATCAACCACTATTTGGTTATACAGTGGTACATTTCATACAAGAAAGTCAGGGTGTCAGAGAATGCCTGATTCTTTCCCATTTACTTATCAGTTTCCAAGATAACGAGTTGGTTCCTTATCATTTTCTGTAGGTGACCAACTATTATTATTGTTATAGACTCATGGATTAAAATATATTTAGATAAATTTCAATCCATTGAAATCACTACCATTGTTGAAGCTTAAATTTTCTCATCTTTGGTGAGTGAAAGCCTCTTTATGTTGACAACCAAGTCCTTTTGATGTGAGTCCGGTAATCTTTGATAGCTTTCTCATTATCTGGTATATCAAGACTTTACAGGCTTATTTCATATATTTATTTTTATTTTTATTTTTTGAGATGGAGTCTTGCTCTGTCACCCAGGCTGTAGTGCAGTGGTGGGATCTCGGCTCACTGCAAGCTCCGCCTCCCGGGTTCACGCCATTCTCCCGCCTCAGCCTCCCCAGCAGCTGGGACTGCAGGCGCACACCGCCAAGCCCGGCTAATTTTTTTGTATTTTTAGTAGAGACGGGGTTTCACCGTGTTAGCCAGGTCGATCTCCTGACCTCGTGATCTGCCTGCCTCAGCCTCCCAAAGTGCTGGGATTACAGGCGTGAGCCACCGCTCCTGGCCTATTTCATATATTTCTTACCCCAGCAGACATGCAATCAGCCATTTCTTTAAGATGTCTTGGTTTCTTTCAGCAGGAAATTGGATTTCAAGACTACAATCTGAGTAGTAGACATGTTCATTGTTAATAAGGTGGTCATTATTTCTTTAGATCTTTTCAGTGGACATTAAACATCAAGTTCAAATTTAGGACTATAAAACTTTTGCCTAACTTCTTTTTTTAGTTTTTGTTGTTGATTCATTCGTTGAGACAGAGTCTCACTTTGTTGCCCAGGCTGGAGCGTAGTGGTGTGGTCTCAGCTCACTGCAACCTTTACCACCCAGGTTCAAGCAATTCTCATGTTTCAGCCTCCTGAGTAGCTGGGACTACAGGCTTGCACCACCATGCCTGTCTAATTTTTGTATTTTTAGTAGAGGCAGGGTTTCACCATGTTGGCCAGGCTGGTCTCAAACTCCTGGCCTCAAGCGATCCACCCTCCTCGGCCTCCCAAAGTGCTGGGTTTACAGGTATGAGCCACTGCCCCCAGCCCTAACTTCCTATGTATTACATCTTGACCTCCTTTTTTCCACCCCAAGACTCTTGGTTCTCAAAAACTCAAGGGATAAGATAAATAGAAAATTCTACGTTTTCAACTGTTCTATATCTACATCATCAAATAATATACTCTTTACATAATATCACCTCTCCATTTAGTCTTAGTTCAACAAATAACCATATATTTAATGCTTACTACTAGTTATATCAGTCTCTCCACAGTCATTTTGATTACCTGAAATCCATTTTCTAGGAGATTCCTGAGAAATGGCTTAAAAAAATAATAGTCTCTGAGTTTGTGCATGTTGATAACAATTTTCCTTTAATACTTGAAGATTAATTTTTCTGGCTATAAAATCCTCAACTCTCATTTTATTTCCTTAAGTATCTTAAATGTGTTATTCCATTTTCTTCTGGTATTAAGCATTGCTACTGAAAACACTTAAAGTTGATCTAACTTTATTTCCCATATAAGTTGTGTGCTATTTTTGTCTAGCTGCCCAAAAGTTTTTTTCTTTTTTTAAATTTTTGAGACAGGGTCTTGCTCTGTCGCCCTGGTTGCAGTGCAGTGGTGTAATCATAGCTCACCGCAGCCTTGACCTCCCTGCCTCAAGCGATCCTCCCACCTTAGCCTCCTGAGTAGCTGGGACTACAGGCACATGCCACAACACCTGGCTAATTTATTTTTCTTGAAAGCCCACTCTTTTATGCTGTTTATTAGCGTATGCCTTGGTAGTGATCATTTTGAGTCAATATTCTTAGGTATACAATGTGCTCTTCCAGTATGTAATTCTCAAAATGTTTTTTTCTTATTTTATTGGATTATATATTTTGTATTATTTCTTCTATTTCTTTATTTTGATTTTCTTATTCAGATACTTCAGACACTTCATGTTGGATTTTCTTTGTAACTTCAATATTTGTCATTTTCTCTCAAATCCTTTTAATCCTTTTCTTCATTTCTTTTTTAAAAAATGGCCTGGCGCAGTGGCTCACGCCTGTAATCCCAGTACTTTGGGAGGCCGAGGTGGGTGGATCACCTGAGATCCAGAGTTTGAGACCAGCCTGGCTAACAGGATGAAACCCCGTCTCTACTAAAAATACAAAAAAATTAGCCGGGCATTGTGGTGGGTGCCTGTAATCCCGGCTACTTAGGGAACTGAGGCAAGAGAATCACTTGAACCCGGAGGCGGAGGTTGCAGTGAGCTGAGATCATGCCATTGCACTCCAGCCTGGGCGACAAGAGCGAGACTCTGTCTCAAAATATAAATTAATTAATTAAATAAAAAAATAAAAAGTTTTTATTGTGATAAAATATATGTAACATAAAATTGGCCATTTTAACCATTTTTAAGTGTACGGTTCAGAGGCATCAAGCACATTCACGTTGTCGTGCAACCATCTCCACCATTCATCTACAGAACTTTCATCTTCCCAAACTAAAAATCATTCATTCATTCAACATTCACTCCTCAATCTCCCCTCCCTCCAGACTTTGACAACCACTTATTCTACTTTTTGTCTCTGTCAATTTGACTACTTTGAGTACCTCGTATAAGTGGAATCATACAGTATTTGCCTTTTTGTGAATGGTTTATTTCACTTAATGATATGGTTTATTTCACTTAAAGACAATAACATCTTTAAGTTTCATCCATGTTGTAACATGTCTTTTTTTTTAAAAAAATCCTCCTTTTATTATTATTTTTTCCTACAGCATTATTTGCCGTGTTTATTCTTTCTTGTGTTCCTCCTAGTTTTTGGTTTCATTTTTCTTCTCTTTTTTTTAGAGACAGGGTCTCACCCAGGTTGGAGTATTGTGGTGCGATCTTGGCTCACTGAAGCTTTGACCTCCCAAGGTTCAAGCGATCCTCCTGCCTCAGCCCCCTAAGTAGCTGGGACTACAGGTGCATGCCACCATACCCAGATAATTTTTTGTTGTTGTTGTATTTTTTGTAGAGATGGTGTTTCGCCAAGTTGCCCAGGCTGGTCTCAAATTCCTGACCTCAAGTAATCTGCCCGCTTTGGCATCCCAAAATGCTGGGATTACAGCCGTGAGCCAGAGCCCGGCCTTTTCTTTCTTTTTTTGAGACAGAGTCTCACGCAGGCTGGAGTGCAATGGTGCAATCTTGGCTCACTGCAACCTCTGCCTCCCAGGTTCAAGCAATTCTTGTGCTTCTGCCTCCCAGGTTCAAGCAATTCTTGTGCTTCAGCCTCCCGGGTAGCTGGGATAACAGGTGTGCATCATGCCCGGCTAATTTTTGTATTTTTAGTAGAGATGGGGTTTCGCCATCTTGGCCAGGCTGGTCTCGAACTCCTGGCCTCTTGAGATCTGCCCACTTTGGCCTCCCAAAGTGTTGAGATTATAGGCATGAGCCACTGCGCCCAGACTCTCTTGGTTTCTTATATGTTCAAAAATATAGTGAGTTGCTTTCTGAAAATTTCCGCCTTTTTTCCCTCTCTCTCTTTTATTTGGACCTTCTCTTTGCTTTGTTTCTATTCATCTTAACCTTCTCCATTCTGATTCAGCTACCAGCAATTTCTCTTCAATATAGGGTCCTGCCTTGGAAGGGGACACCTGACTGGTCAGTTTTGAGAAATCACGGGGGCTAGCATCCCCTTCAGAGCTCACCATGGGCTGGGTCACTGCAGTCACTAGTTTCAGCAGGTGAAAACCCTGTAAACTTCAGCTTCTCCTCTCACATGGGCCAGCACACTTTGCAGTGCAAACCTGCTGACTAGCTTTTGGTTCTTCCTCTCAGGTCCATTCCTTCCCGCTGCGTTCTCCTGCACAGGTGCAGATAATTGCACGTCTTGCAGCTGTCAGTGGTTTGCTGTCACCCAATTTGTATTTTGGAATCTGTGGGGATACCTTGCAAACTAGCTTTGTTGTAAGTGTTGTTTATAGCTTTCTGGTTTTGCTACCTAGTTGCTCTGTTTTTATGTGACGATTTGGGAAGATCTGAAAACTGTGCAGCCTTTGTGGCTGCCATTTCCCTGAAATTCTTTCCATAGTTTTTTATACATACATGTGTTAAAAATCATGTAGATAATATAATACATATATATGTAGCTAGCATGTGTATATACCATCTACACACACACATACTGATACGTGTAGATTTTTCTCTACATTAAATTATATGTTGTTGATCTGGAACTATTGGTAGCTATGTGAACTTAACCTTTTGATGATAGGGATAACAGTAGTTAAGGTTTATTAATGCCTGCTTTGGGTTACTCAACCCCAGACCTGTGTCAGCTGCCAAACCATGCTCTCAGCTACCATCCTTAACTTTTTTTTTTGAGACAGAGTCTCATTCTGTTGCCCAGGCTGGAGTGCAGTGGTGCCATCTCGGCTCACTGCAACCTCTGCCTCTTGGGTTCAAGCGATTGTCCTGCCTCAGCCTCCCAAGTAGCTGGACTACAGGCACAAGCCACCAAGCCCAGCTAATTTTTTTATTTTTAGTAGAGATAGGGTTTTGCCATGTTGGCCAGGGTAGTCTCGAACTCCTGGCCTCAAGCGATCTACCCGCTTCGGCCTCCCAAAGTGCTGAGATTACAGGTATGAGCCACTGCACCCACTCAGTATGAAGATTCTTAACCAATAATGTATATCAGAATAGAAGTACAGATCTATAGGACTGGGTGGATCAAGTTGCACGTGAAGCAATATATCCACTGATTATTTATTTGCTATTTTTATTGTTATTAATTTTGCTTAGGGCACTTTGGGTTAGGCATTCTGTCTCTGGCAACCTAAAGAATTATAACGAATACAATGGATGACTGTCATGCACCCCTAGTTGAGGCTTCTGGATGGAGCCTCCCTCCCGGAACACATGCTGGCCACACTGAACTCTCCTTTTCCTATGAGACTCTCTGTTTCTCTAGGGCCTAGCCAAACACTCCTCACATCTTCTTGCCATCGTCCCCTTCTATTTCACACAATTTCCAACATGAAGCCTGTAGCCTACACATGCTTCTGCTCCATGCTCCTGCCACGTGGTTTGGCAGGACAGACTGTGGCACACCAACCCACCTTTCATAAAGGTGGCCCAGCTCTGCTGGGGATGGAGGGAAAGAGGAATGAGCTCTTCCCTTCACATACCAGTAATGTCATTCCTTCCTCCCCCGGGGGGCCCCATGGCTGTCACGAGCAGCATGTCCACGATGTCCAGCCTGGTTGTGTCTTTTTTGTCAAACCAGTAACCATGGTCAATCCACTGCCTCAGGAGCTCGATGGGTGGCTGGGCCCCATACACCTCTTTGGCTGGCATGTTGAGGTCATCTGGGGAAAGAAACCACAGATACAGCCATTGCAAGTTCATGGCATCTTCTGCTCTTACAGAGGTAACAGATGGCAATTCCCCTGTAGGGGAATCTGTTCCCAGGTTTCCATTCCCCATTCCAGTTAGGGCTTAGTCAATGGATGCCCTGACCAGATTGGAAGGGGTTTTCCTGAGTTCTGGGCTCTCCTGCCTCATTGAGATCTCTGTCCACGTGACTATAAGGATGCATAGACTGACATTAACAAACTGGCTTGGCCGGGCATGGTGGCTCATGCCTATAATCCCAGCACTGTGGGAGGCCGAGGCAGGCAGATTGCTTGAGCTCAGGAGTTCGAGACCAGCCTGTGCAACATGGCGAAACCCTGTCTCCATAAAAAAAAAAAAAAAAAAAAAAAATTAGTCAGGCATGGTGGCTTATGTCTGTGGTCCCATACTCAGGAGGCTAAGATGAAAGGATTGTTTGAGCCTCGGAGGCAGAGGTTGCAGTGAGCCAAGATTGTGCCACTGCACTCCATCCAGCCTGGGCAACAGAGTGAGACCCTGCCTCAAAAAGAAAATAGAAAAGACGAGAAAAACAAAAAGAAAACAGGCATTTAATTTTTTCCCATTTCTGTCAAGCAAAATAGATTGTCTACTATGTGCTAGACATTTTGTTAATTCCTCCCCATATGATGGCAACAGTCAAGCTCCCAGCAAATAGAGTATTTAATTTGACCAGCAGGTAATAGTTGAACTTCAATGGGAGCAACAGATGATGAGACCCTAGGCCTTGAGCTGGAGTTTTTTGTTTGTTTGTTTTGTTTTTGTTTTTGAGACAGTCTTGCTCTGTCACCCAGGCTGGAGTGCAGAGGTGTGATCTCAGCTCACTGCAACTTTGTCTCCCAGGTTCAAGTGGTCCTCCTGCCTCAGCCTCCAAGTAGCTGCGACTACAGGTGTGCACCACCACGCCCAGCTAATTTTTGTATTTTTAGTAGAGACGGGGTTTCACCATGTTGGCCTGGCTGGTCTCAAACTCCTGACCTCAGGTGATCCACCTGCCTCAGCCTCCCAAAATGCTGGGATTACAGGCGTGAGCCACCACACCCAGCCTGAGCTGGGGTTTTTGATGAGAAAACCAAAATGACAAGAATATATTAAGACTTCCCGAAGGGCAGGGACTCATTTTCCCCAGTAGTATATTACTCAGTCCTGGCACATCAGAGGCACTCAATGAAATGGGGGCTCTTCGAGATCGCACCACTGCACTCCAGCCTGGGGGACAAAGCAAGACTCCGTCTCAAAAAAAAAAAAAAAAAAAAAAGGGGGGGGCTCCTTTAGTTTTTCTTCAACAAACAATTGTTTGAATGCCCAGTTTGTGTGGGGTAACATTTTAGGAGCTTTATATACATTATCTCATATAATCCGATAATAACTTTATAAGGAAGATAGTATTAACTCTATGTTAAAGATGAGGAACTGAGGGTCAGGGACGTTAACTCACAATATACCTAGGGTTAAAAAGTAAGCTTTGAAGTTGGGCATGGTGGTTCACACCTGTAATCCCAACACTTTGGGAGGCCAAGGCGGGAAGATCACTTGAGGCCAGGAGTTCGACCACCTGGGTAACAAAGCAAGACCCCCGTCTCTACAAAGAATGGAAAAATTAGCCAAGAGTGGTGGCATGTGCCTGTAGTCCCAGCTTCTTGGGAGGCTGAGGTAGTAGGATCACTTGGGCCCAGGAGTTGGAGGCTGCAGTGAGCTGTGATTGTGCCACTGCACTCCAGCCTGGGTAACAGAGTGAGACATTCTCTCTCTCAAAAAAGTAAGATTTGAAACCAGATCTGTTTGGCTGCAAAGCTTACCCTGTTTTTGAATATACCATAAAAATAGGGAGGGAGAGCAAGATGGAGAAAAGGAGAAAAAGAGGAAGAGAAAAGGAATGTAAAATAAAATAGGACCCCTGCCTCTGAGGGGCTGTTAGTTGGCAAGGACATGAACTCAGGCAATATTTCCTCTGAATACATGAGTTTTAAAGGCATATCCTGAAATAATCCAGAAGTGTGGGGCATTACTATTGCTAGATGAGAACGCTACGTGTCAACAGCAAGATAGTGGAAAATATAATGTATTTGGCACCAAAAAGCCTGGGTCTGGGTCACAGCTCCAGAATGTTCTAGATATTTGATCTCAAACAGGAAATTTAACCTTCTGGAGCCTCAATGCACTGACTAGTAAAATGACAATGATGGTTAATAAGCTCACAGGGTTGTGGGGCTCAAGTGACCGAAGTGAGGAAACGCTTTGTAAATAGTTACAGTCCTGGGAAAATTCACTGTGCTTATTTCACAAATGTTTGGCAAGTATTAGGTTCCTCCATTTAGTGATAACACATTTATCTGACAGAAAATGGAATAAGGGGTTTATCACAAGGTGTGTGTTGCTTTTGGAAATGCCAGCGGGCAAACAGCACAGCCCCCTTCTGAAATTACTACTTCCACTACAAGGAAGAGAGGAAGGAAAGAAAGAAGGAAGGAAGGAGAAAAGGAGGAAAGAAGGAAGGAAGGAGAAAAGGAGGGAAGAAGGAAAGGAGGGAGGGAGGGAGGGAAGGAGGAAGGAGAAAAAGAAGAGGAGAGAATGAATACTAAGCTATATTAACTGGAAATATTTGATCTCCCAGGGAGAGTAAAGGTATGTACAGTGGCACCACAAGCAGAAGCTATAGTTTGCTGCAGCTTATGGTGGAAGAATCTGGTTGTGTCCAGACCCAGCCCAATGCCTTACCCACAAACACCACTGCTTTCTTCCCTATGGGAGGCCCGAAAAGGCCCTTCCGTCGTCGATCCAGCTTGGACATGATGATATCCTGGGTCTGATTGGCTGAGGTTCTGGCAGAGAAATTGATGCAGTTGGGTAGGTACGTATTTTTGGGAAGGTGGAGAAGGAAGTTGTTGGTGATGGCTGATTTGCCAGTGCCTGTGGGACCCACGAACAGCATTGGAATCTCATGGTCTAAGTAGGTTTTCAAGAAGAAGGACTGCCGGGCTGTCTCCATTGTGGGGATGATGAGTTCTGAGACCTGTACCACACAGACATGGGAGAGTCTCGGTTGTGGGCCCAGGAAGCTGGAGGTCTTGGCATTCAAGAGACCTGGGTTTACATTCTAGCTCCATCCCTTACTATCTTTATGACCTTAGGCGAGTCTTTAACCTCTCCATGGGCCTCAGTTTCTTCATCTGTGAAAAGGGGATAATAATGGCACCTAATTCACAGAGCTGGCTTGAGGATTAAACAAGATCATGCATGTAAAGTTGGGCATTACTGTCTGTGTGTTGTAGATGAGAAGACTGGGTCGAGAGCCTTTCTGCAACCTGCTCAAGTAACACAGCAAGTAAGTGAAAATGCAGGGATTTGAATACCAGCTTGTCTGATTCCAAAGTCTACAGTCTTCACTACTGAATGGTCATATTATAAACAGTTGTGGTAAGGATCAGTCCATAGCTGCTGTGCTCCTAGAGCATTGCTCTGAACCAACTTGTCTCCCTTGTCCCAGGCAAGGTCTACCTCCCCTATGCCATCATCACTGCCTGGCTCAGAGGGCTTAAGTGTGATCCTGAATCCCCATGATCTGTGCTTGTTTCTGATCTATTTTTTACAACACTCACATTCTTGGTTCTAAGACCCACCCTTACTAATCCCATGCCTTTTCCAATATGGGGATTGTATTAATACACACTTTTCCTGGTATTCAGGTCCCAGTTGGACTCTTAAGGCCGGGTCTCGGGCTCCTGGAATCCCTATTTGGACAGGGCACCTGACCTTGGCTTGGATTCTCTGAGTTTGAACCCTGTCATCAGCCATTTGGCTACATTTTGTCCCTCTATGGGGGAAGATGATTATATCATACACTGAAGTCTCCTTCTATGTCTAGGCTGAAAGGGACTAGACCTTGGGGCCACTGTGTTGTACAACTACAGAGAGTACCATTCACACCATGGATCATGTCAATGGTGCCTTCTAAAGCAAAACTGGACCGTGATGCAAATAGCGCCACCTAGGTCTGTGCGACATAATGGCCCTATGTATACTGGTAGAAAAAGGCTCAGCTTCTTTCTACAAGCAATTTGATCAAAGGAAAAGAAACAGATGAGACAAGGGAATTAAAGTTGAGAAGAAGAGAAGTAACAGGTGCTTAAGTATGGGTGTTTTGCCTGTATTACCCCCTACAGTCTTCCCAGTAACCTTCTAAGGCAGGTATGTAATAACACAGATGAAATAAATGAGGCTCGAAGAAACTGGCTAACTTATCCAAAGCCATATAGCCAGCAAGTGAGGCTAAATGCAGAACTAGGTTCAAGATGCGTATTTTGCTACTAAGACTGGGAGTTTAAAGCAAGTTGGGTTTCATAGATGTTTATTTTCAGGAACTAGGACAATTGTTTGACAAGGGAAAAATCTCCAGAACTGAAGATATTTTCTTCATTGGACTCTTTTACTTGTGTTAATTCAGCAAGATTGCAAATCCCTGGAGCTCAAGTGACTAAGCTCTTTTTGGAGAATTAAAGTTTAGGACCTCAGTGCTGGGGGTTGCTTTACAACACTCAGCCCCCAAGGTGTGTCCTGAAGTCAGCACACATTCACCCTGCTTGACACATCCTTACACATACAGCTGTGGTCCTGCGTGGTGTCTGACTTGGTTGTCAATATCTGTACTTTCTCCACCACCTACCACTCCACCCAGGGCCTGAACAATCTCCAGTCACTTCAGAAAGATAAACTATGCCCACTAGATTCTACTAACAGGGACATAAAAGCTCTCTGAAAAAATGTTCCACAAGGATTGAAAAGAGCAGGAGTTGTAGGTGTATCATTTTCTAATCAGAAAACTTATTAATCAAAACCTACTTTTCAGAGAATTCTGATCAAGAAAATCTTTCTCTGAGGATTCAAAGAATCCTTTTTTGCTGAGATAACTGAGAAGCACACTGATGACTATCTGGTGTTGTTATTATTATTATTATTATTATTATTATTATTTTGAGACAGAGTTTTGCTCTTGTCACCCAGGCTGAAGTGCAATGGCGCGATCTCGGCTCACTGAAATCTCTGCCTCTGGAGTTCAAGCGATTCTCCTGCCTCAGCCTCCCAAGTAGCTGGGATTACAGGCATGCGCCACCACGCCCAGCTAATTTTGTATTTTTAGTAGAGATGCGGTTTCACCATGTTGGCCAGGCTGGTCTTGCACTCCTGACCTCAGGTGATCCTCCTGCCCTGGCCTCCCAAAGTGCTGGGATTACAGATGTGAGCCACTGCGCCTGGCCAGTACCTGGTATTACTGATAACGACAATAATCAGAATAGCAACAAACACTGATGTAGCCCCTAGCATGTGCCATGTGTTCATGTATAACACCTCCAACCTCTGCAACCATAAATGTTCCCCCCACCGCCATTTTTTGGTTGAGTAAATTGAAGCTGAGAAAGGATGCTGTGTCTCTCTGATTCTAAAGCCCATGTTTTTGAAGGTCCACTGCAGCTCATGTTTAAATATTTTTCTAAAGAAAGCCCTTAAAACTCCTCGCAAAGACTGTTAATTCTTCCACCTGAGAGAATATTTGGATGATTCTGGAAACCAAAGTTCCATGGCCAATGATTCTCTTTATACCTTTGCACCAGCTGGAACTTTTTCCTCCTCTTTGGTGATATACTGTGTCCACGTTTCCCAATGTCCACTAGCTTGTTTGATAAAATAAAAATCATAGATGCTTCCTGGACCCAAAGAAACAAAACAGATCATTAGCACATGAAGGCTTTACTTGCCTCCCATATTTGAGGATTTTAAGTCCCTCAGTTATCAGCATATGAAAATGTGTAACTACCAGTACTGGCATAGTTGTGGTGAAACTTATACATTGCTGGAAAGTGTATAAACTGAAACAACACTTTTTAAAGAGTAGTGACTTTATTATTTGTGTAAAAATGATAGGTGCTAATTATGCAAATTATTAAATTAGTTTTCATAATGTAAACAGCAAGTATTAAAATAGAACAAGGCCAGGTACAGTGGCTCACGCCTGTAATCACTGGACTTTGGGAGGCTGAGGTGGGTGGATCACCTGAAGTCAGGGGTTCGAGACCAGCCTCGCCAACAGGGTGAAACCCCATCTCTACTAAAAATGAAAAAAAATTTGCTGGGCATGGTGGCACGTGCCTGTAGTCCCAGCTACTTGGGAGGCTGAGGCAGGAGGATCACTCAAACCCAGGAGGCCGAGGTTGCAGTGAGCCGAGATTGTGTCACTGCACTCCAGCCTGGGCAACAGAGTGAGACTCTGTCTCAAAAATAAATCAATAAATATATACAATTAAAAAAAAGAACAAAAAAAGAAGACAATAAGTTAGTCAAAATCCCACATCCAGAGATAACTTTTGATGGCAATCCTTCTAGCCCTCTTTCTAGACACACAAACATACTGAAGATGGAAAGACAGATAGATGAAAGAAAGGATTTTATAAGAAGGGGACTCATTGGACATATACTATTTTAAAATAACTATGTTAAAGTTAATTTTACTTAAATCTAGCAAAAGAAAAGGAGATTGAAGTGAAACTGAAGGACCTGCTGACTTTCAGGTACAGTTTTTGTCACTACAAGAGATACTGGGTCCTAAAAGGTATTTCATAATTTTAAGTCATTAAGGGATTAAAGTCATTATGCTTTATAAGTCATTTAATGTTATTTTGTTGTATTTTAACTTTCTATTGTGAGAAAAATTTAAAAAATGAAAGTAAGGAGAATAGTATAATAAACCGTCCTGTACGCATTATCCAGCCTCAACATGATCATTTTGCCATTTTTGTCTCATCCATTTCACTACCTCCAACCAGCAACATATTCATTTTTCCTTTAGTCTCTCTTCCTTTCTTTCTTTTTCTTTTTTCTTTTTTTTAGAGATGGAGTCTCACTCTGTTGCCAGGCTGGAGTGCAGTGACATGATCTCGGCTCACTGCAACCTCCGCCTCCCGAGTTCAAGCAATTCTCCTGCCTCAACTTCCCAAGTAGCTGGGACTACAGGCACTCGCCACCACGCCCTGCTAATTTTTGTATTATTAGTAGACACAGGGTTTTGCCATGTTGGCCAGGCTGGTCTCAAACTCCCGACCTCAGGTGATCCACCCGACTTGGCCTCCCGAAGTGCTAGGATTACAGGTGTGAGCCACTGTGCCCAGCCCTTCCCCGTCTCTTTCTTTCCTTCCCTTTCTCTCCCTCCATCCTTCCTTTCTCCTCTTCCCTCAACTCTCCCCACTCCCCTTCCCTTCCCCTCTTCCTTCTTTGGAGTATTTTAAGGCAAATCCTGATATCAGACCATTTCAATTGTGAATACAAACGATTCAAGTTTAGACCAATTTCATTGATTCCTTTGTGAACTGTGAGGTGATTAACTCTTCCTTCCAGCTCCCCTTCTCTGGTTCCTTTTGTTGTCATTGACACTATAACTTTCACTTTGTCAGGGTTCATATTCATTTATGTTTTTTTCTGCAACCATAATTTCCCCATTCCTTAGTCTTATGTTTATATTTCAATAGATTCACTGCTCAAACTTTTAAATAGATTCAATGCTCAGGGCTTTTAACACAGACCACTTAAGAGTTCTTTGTTTTAATTCATCTCTTAGTTGACTAATTTTCTTCCTCTTTCTCTTCTTTCTCTCGTCTCTTTCTTTTCTTTCTTTCTTTTTCTTTTTCTTTCTCTTTCTCTCTCCCTCCTTCCCTCTCTCCTTCTGTATTTCCTTCCTTCCTTCCCTCCCTCCCTTCTTCCTTCCTTCCCTCCCTTCTTTCTTTCTTTCCTTCCTTGCTTCCCTCCTTCCCTCCTTCCCTCCCTCCCTCCCTTCCTTCCTTCTTTCCTTCCTTCCTTCCTCTCTTTCATTCTTTCTCTCTTTTTCTCTTTTTTCTTTCTTTTTTGAGACAGGTTCTCACTCATTGCCTAAGTCAAAGTGGTGCAGTGGTGCAATCACAATTCACTACAGCCTCAACCTCCCGGGCTCAAGCAATCTTCTCACAGCCCCCTAAGTAGCTGGGACCACAGGCACACGCCACCGCACCCAGCAAATAATTTTATTTTTTGTAGAGATAAGGTCTTGCTATGTTGCCCAGGCTGGTCTCAAACTCCTGAGCTCAAGCAATCTGCCTGCCTTGGCCTCCTAAAGTGCTGGGATTACAGGCATGAGCCACCATGCCCAGCCTCATTTTTTTTTTTTTCCAAGAAGGGGCTTATAGGTGCTCAACTCTCTCAGCTCTTACGTGTTTGAGAATGACCGCCTGCTGCTTTTGTATTTTAACAGTGAGAGTAATAGTCTATGTCATATTTTCTTGTCTTCTAAGGTATGCAGACATTGCTCTATTCTTTTTTTTTTTTTTTTGCATTTTAAATTGCTGTGCAGAAACTGAGGCCCATCAGATATTTACCTGGAAGTCCAATAATTTAATTATGTTATATTTTCTGGTCAATTATTATGTATCAGTTTTCCTTAGAGCATAGCATACTCTTACAATTGGTAGAAACAACTGTTCATTTTAAGAGAAGTTTCTGCATCTGTATCTTTGTATATATTATTTATACTATTGATTGGAGTTCTTAAGGAACTAGCATTATTTGGTCTCCATATCAATTGTATTGTCTCTGATTACTTCAATGTTTTTCTCTTCTGTTGTATGTGTAATTATCTCAAACCTTATTTCTAAGCAATATAGTAGATGTCTAGCCTTGCATACTTTATTTCTCGCTGGTTCTAATTCACTTATTAGATCATTAATGGCATTATTTTATTCCCAATCTGTTTCTCTGACTCTGCAGTTCCTCTATTTCTCTAATTTAGTAGTTTTATCACTTCATCTACAAACTTTCTACAGCTTTACTGAAATGTAATTTACATATCATATAATCCAACTAGTTCAAGTGTACAATTCAGTTGTACTTTTAGCATACCAAAACCACATGTACATGTAAATATATTAATATTCACAGAGTTGTGAAACCATTACCACAATCAACTTTAGAACTTTTCATTACATTGGATAGAAACCCCACACCTCTTAGCCGTCACCTGCCAAATCCCTCTCCCACCCACTTCATACCCTGGCAACCTCTAATCTACTTTCTGTCTCTATAAATTCGCCTATTCTGCCTATATAAAGGGAATCATATAATATGTGTTCTTTTGCGACTGGCTTCTTTCACTTAAAAAAGTGTTTGTGTGTGTGTGTCTATTTGAGACCAGGCCTAGCTGTCACCCAGGCTGGAGTGCAGTGGCACAATCTTGCTCATTGCAACCTCAACCTCCTGGACTCAAGTGATCCTCTTGCCTCAGCCTCTCAAGTAGCTGGGACAACAGGCATGCACCACCACGTCTGGCTAATTTTTGTAGAGACGGGGTTTTTGCTATGTTGCCCAGGCTGGTCTTGAACTTAGCTCAAGTGATCTGCTCACAATTGGATTGTATAACTTTTGAGTTAAATTAAATTGGATTGTGTTTAACTTTGGAGGAAGTGTCACAGCCTCTTTTTCAAAGCTACTGCACCATTTTACATTTCCATTATGGTAGATGAGAGTTCTGATCTTCCTGCATCCTCACCAATACTTGTTGTTTTTCATCTTTTTAATTACACCCATCCTAGTTATTGTAAAGTAAGTATCTCATTGTGGTTTTAATTTGCATTTCCCTGATGGCTAATAACATTGAGCATCTTGTCATGGGCTTATTGGCCATTTGTATATCCTTTTTTTTTTTTTTTGAGGCAGGGTCTCACTCTGTCACCCCGGCTGGAGTGCAGTGGTATGATCTTGGCCACTGCAACCCCTGCCTTCTGGGCTCAGGTGATCCTCCTGCCTCAGCCTCCCAAGTAGCTGGGACTACAGGCAGGCACGCACCATCATGCTTAGCTAATTTTTGTATTTTTTGTAGAGATGGGGTTTCGCCATGTTGCCCAGGCTGGTCTCAAAATCCTGGGCTCAAGTGATTTGCCCACCTCAACTTCCCAAAGGCATGAGCCCCAGTGTGCCTGGCCTGTATATCTTCTGTAAATAACGGTCTATTCAGATATTTTGCCCATTTTATATAGTGTTATTTGTCTTTTTATTATTAAATTATCATCACTCTATATATTCTAAATTTGAGTCCCTTATAAGGTACATAATTTGTAATAAATTTCACCCATTCTGTGGGATTTTTCATTTGATGTTGTCCTTTGAAGCACGAAAGTTTTTAATTTTAATGATGTTCAGTTTACCTATTTTTTCTTTTGTCACTTGTGCTTTTGTTGTCTTAAGACATCATTGCCTACTCCAAATCATAAAAATGTGCATCTATGTTTTCTTCTAAGAGTTTTATAGTTTTAGCTTTTACATTTAAGTCTTTGACCTATTTTGAGTTAATTTTTCACTATAGTGTGAGGCAGAACTACAAATTCACTCTTTTACATGTATAATTCAGTTGTTCCAGCACGATTTGTTGAAAAGATCATTCTTTTCCTATTTAATCATCTTGGCACCATTGTCAAAAATCAAGTCACCATAAATGCAAGAGTTTTCTTTCTGGACTGTCAATTCTATTCAATTAATCTATATTTCTGTTCTTTTGCCAGTATACCATACTATTCATTTATGAACTTAAAAATTTAAACTTCTATTATTACAAAATTCTTTCAACAGAAATATTTTCTGGCTCTTGGTTCATGTTTTCTGTTAAACATTCTCTCTCTCTCTCCTCTGTCTCTCTCTCTCTCTGATGTGTGCATGATTGCCTTACCATTCTGCTCTGATATAATTGGGTAAATTCTTCTTGACATGTTTCCCAACATTATCTGGGGCCAGTTTATCTTATCTACAGTGTTGGCCACTATTTAAGGAATGGTGTGTGGCTTTCTTTCCTATAGCCTTAATCCATAGGGTTGGGTAAAGGGAAAAGCTCAGTTACCCTTGCTGGAAAATCTGAGCACTGTACCCTCTCTCTGAAATCTGTCTACATTTCCTGAACCATGGGTCCATCTCACTCCCATCCTAGCTAGTGATGTGCCCCACTCCCGAAGGATTCACCTCATGTCCCCACGCAGCATAGGGTTCTGGAAGATGCAAAACCTGGCGTTTTTTCCCATCCCTACTAAGGTCCTCCAGCATCACACAGGGGCTTCCATGATGGAGAGTTTCTCTTAGACCTTTTGTGCAGCTGCCCAGCCATCATCATGGTCCCCTTTCCTCTCCGTTGGTGATTTCCAGCGAGAACTCAGAGTGTTGTCAACTGACCTGCTTTCCTCTCCCCATCACTCTTAGCAAGACAGAGGGGTGGCAGGTTCTGAGTTGGGAGATACGCCAGGCCAGAATCTTGTTTTCTCTCCTTATTCACTACTTCACAATGCTTGTAGAATTAAGTTGTAATTCATTCTTTGGTTATTGCTGGGTACTTTTTAGGATTAAAAAACGTTTGTTGTTGCTGATTTTGTTAGGTATTTTAAAAGTGAGCTTCTGTTATTCTACGTCACTCTGCAGCCTTACCTAGAAGTAAATCTGGTGCAACACTTTTAGAAAGCAATCTGGCACAATGCTTACAGAGCGACGAGAATGTTCTCTAAGTCAGAAATCCCATTTCTGGGAATTTATCATAAGGAAATAATTCACAATGAAAATAATCTGTATACATGAGTATGCAACACCATCTGTGATAGCAAAGAAATAACTTACATATCCTACATTAGGAGACAAGTAAAATTAGCTCTTATAAGATGGATGGAATATTCTTTGGTCATTAAAATGATAGTTGCAAAAGCTAAGTATTAGCATAGAAAATGCTTTTAAGAAACAATGATAGATAAAAATAGACTACAGAGTGAAATATATACCATTATGGTAACCATGTAAAGAGATGAAATCAGGTAGACAAGCAAGGAAACGGATTTTTTGAAAACTGAAATGACTGTGATACGGTGGTATGAACAAAGAGATACTTAAGGATAATTTTTATTTAATAGAATAGAATCGCTTTTACAATAAAAAGGAGATACTAAAAGACTGAATTGGTAAAATATTTTTCCCTCTTCCTTTGCTGATGTTGAGCTAGAGCTAATTTGTGGCTTGATTTGGGAACATTTAGGCTAATGAGAAAAGATTTGGCTGGGTGTGGTGGCTTATGCCTATAATTCCAGCACTTTGGGAGGCCAAGGTGGATGAATCACTTGAGTCTGGAAGTTGGAGAACAGGCTGAGTAAATGGCAAAATCCTGTCTCTATAAAAAATACAAAAATTAGCCAGGCATGGTGGCATGTGCCTGGAGTCCCAGCTACTTGGGAGGCTGAGGTGGGATCACCTGGGCCTGGGGCACTAAGACTGCAGTGAGCCGTGATGAGCCGTGACTACGCCACTGCACTCCAGCCTGGACAAGAGAATGAGGCTCTGTCAAGAAAAGAAAAGAGGAGAGGAGAGGAGAGGAGGGGAGGGGAGGGGAGGGGAGGGGAGGAAAAGAAGGAAGGGAAGGGAAGAGGAGAAGAGAAGAGAAGAGAAAAGATTTAACTAGTAAAAGTAGATTTACCAGCAGTGTGACCTTGGCTAAGGTTACCATTTACACACCTGTAAAATAGGCCTGATTTTATGTCAAACTCGGAAAATCACTACGGAGAGTGAGTGAGATATATGTATCAAACATCTAGCATAGTTCTGGGCACACAGAAGGCACTTGGTAATGTTTAGCTCTAGCTCTTCTTGGTTTTCATCAGAATAATGGCTCCTGTTCTCTTTGTGTTGTGATTATAACTTAAACTCTGGTCTGGGTGTGAGAGTAGAAAGAGGAGAATAGCAGAAATTCAGGAATGGATTGGTAATGAATTGGTAAATGACTTCTATCACCCCTACCCCCCCTACCCCAGCTCTGCTTTCCTCTCCTGCACTTGGGAAAATGAGGTAAACTTTTCAACTGAGCAGTAAGTGACTTTTCAAAGGTCACACAATGAATGAGTGAATGAAGAGAAATTAAGCACTTTCGGGACAAATGGATCCCTGGGTTGACAAACAAAGGTCCATGTCAAACAATGTGAGCCCAACATTGACAGAATCCCACAAGGGTCTGCTTGCTTTCCTTAGTGTATGCTTCCCAGTGTAGTTCCTCCAGCACTTATTTGAGAGATCCATTTATGCCATGTCTTGCATATCATGAAAATCCTAGAAAACAATGTCCCATAAAGTCAGGGAAGGCCTTCCTGGAGCACTCGGCATTAGAATTTTCATCATGGGCCCTCATGGACAGGCTAGAAAGGCATTTTAAGCTTTTGAATATGGTTATAAGAAAGTACAGGGTCTTGCTATGTTGCCCAGGCTAGTCTCAAACTCCCAGGCTCAAGCGATCCTTCCAACTCAGCCTCTGTGTAGCTGGGATTACAGGCATGAACCACCACGCCCGGCCAAAACCTGTTTTTTTTTTTTTGTTTTTTTTTGTTTTGTTTTGTTTTTTAAAAAAAACAAGCTGCTGCAAAAGAGGATATACACAAAAGAAGTCAGTTTGCAGGACACGATGAAAATCATGGTTTGTTTTATGCTGCATCTGCTGGGTAGGGCATGGAGGGAGGAGATGAGGCCATCGTTGTGGACAGGAGATATTATAAGGGAAAATTATCTAGAAACTGAGTGGGAGCTGTGCACATCACATCATTGACTCTCTAGCTGCAGAAGGAAAGGAAAGAGGTCACCACAAAGTGATCTGAAAGTGAGGTCAAGGGCAATTCATGTACCATCTCTGCAGACAGAGCATAAACAGATTGATTTTGAAGGATGAGGAAGGCAGAAAACAACATGTGGAGCCTGTGAAAAAAATATTGCAATGTAAAGGAATGTCATATGGAGATTAACCTGAATAATTTATCTCTGAACTTTCTTTTTCTTTTGAGACAGGATCTCACTGTATCACCCAGGCTGGAGTGCAGTGGTCACGCATGGCTGTAGGTGCATCACAGCTCACTGCAGCCTCAACCTCCTGGGCTCAAGTGATCCTCCTGCCTCAGCCTCCCAAGTAGCTGAGAATAGAGGTGTGTGCCATCATGGCTGGCTAATTTTTCTTTGTATTTTTTGTAGAGACAGGGTTTTACAATGTTGCCCAGGATGGTCTCAAATTCCTGGGCTCAAGAAATCCACCTGCCTCAGCCTCCCAAAGTGCTGGGATTACAGGGGCGAGCCACCGTGCCAGGCTGAAACTTGTTTTTGCAGGACTTGAAGCCAAATTTCAGGAAAACTGTTTGGTATCTTCAATAAGGTGCAGAAAGACCTAACTTTAAATGAAGCAGGAACAGAAAGCAAAAAAGGAAAAACAAACTAAGATGAAAAGACAAGATGAGATAAAAAGTGAGATGGATGCCCTAAGAGATGATGATGATAATAGCAATAAAATTGCTCACATTTATTTAACATTTCCTACATACCATGCTTTATTCAAAGTATTTTTACATGTATTAACTCATTTAATCCTTACTATTATTATTGTCCCCATTTTATAATTGAGGGAACTGAGGAGGATAAAGAAGTTGCTCAAAGTCACCCCAGTATTAAGTGTTGGAGCCAGGATCCGAACTCTGACAATTTCACTCCATGGCCTGTACTTTCCCATCCTTGCACTAACAAAGCCTGCCACAGAAACAAAAGATACAAAGGCAGAATTAAAATCATTCAAGACAGTAAAAAGAATAATTGAAGTTGTGGGTGGCTGATATCAAAATGAAAAGCGCACCTCGAAAGACCAAAGCCCCAAAACAAGAAAAAAGGAGATGATGGTTATGGGAGCCAGAAAATTATTTTTTTCCTTGCTGACGGAAAGGATGCATCACATTCCAGGCAAAATAAACAAAAGAGGACACAGTCTGTTAAAAACAAAACAGAAACAAAACCTACAAAAACATTAAATAAAAAACATATGAAAAACAAACTACCACTTTATATATAATTCAACCTCACTTCTAATTTAAAGAAGAAGAAATTTAAATTAGATACTATTTTCACTTTTCAAATGTAAACAGAATGCCAAAATACATGAGGCAAAACTGATAGAACTTTAAGGAGAAATAGACAAATCCAATATCACAGTCGGATACTTCAACCACCCCTGCCAATCAGTAGTTGGCAGATAACAGTCAGAAAATAAGTAGGAATATAGTGAAACTGAATAGCACCATCATCAATTAACAGGATCAAATTGACATTTATTACTTTATTCAACAATAGAAGACTACATATTTTCTTAAGCTCACGTGAAACATTCACCAAGATAGAATGCATCGTGGGCAATAAAACACTTTTTAATTTTTTTTTAGGCAGGATCTCACTCTCTTACTCTGTCACCCAGGCTGGAGTGCAGTGGGATGATCATGGCACACTGCAGCCTCCAACTCCTAGGCTCAAGCAATCATCCCGCCTCAGCCTCCTGAGTAGGTGGGACTACAGGTGAGCGCTACCACACCCAGCTAATTTTCGTTTTTTGTTTTTGTAAAGACGGGATTTTGACATGTTGCCCAGACTGGTCTCAAACTCCTGTGCTCAAGGGATCCTCCATCTTGGCCTCCTAAAGTGCTGGGATTACAGGTGTGAGCCACCGTGCACAGCCAAAAAGAAAGATCTAAAATCAATAATCTAAGCATTCATCTTAGGAAACTAAAGAGAGCAATTAAATAAAAGGAAGCAGAACAGAAGAAATAAAAATTATTGCAGAAATCATGAAATTGACAACAGGAAATTAATAGATAAAATTAACAAAAGCTGTATCTTTGAAGGATTAATAAAATTGATAGGCCGGGCACAGTGGGTCATGCCTGTAATCCCAGCACTTTAGGAAGGTGAGACAGGTGGATCACTTGAGTCCAGGAGTTTGGGACCAGCACCAGCCCGGGCAGATCCCATCTGTTAAAAAAAAAAAATTGATAAACCTTTAGACAGGTTAACCAAGAAAAAAAGAGAAGACAGCACTAATATCAAGAATGAGGCTGGGCGCAGTGGCTCACACCTGTAATTCCAGCACTTTGGGAGGCCAAAGCAGGCAGATCACCTGAGGTCAGGAGTTTGAGACTAGCCTGACCAACGTGGAGAAACCCCGTCTCTACCAAAATACAAAATTAGCCAGGCGTGGTGACACATGACTTTAATCCCAGCTACTCGGGAGGCTGAGGCAGAAGAATTGCTTGAACCTGGGAGGAGGAGGTTACGATGAGCCAAGATCGTGCCATTGCACTCCAGCCTGGGCAACAAGAGTGAAACTCCATCTCAAAAAAAAAAAAAAAAAAAAACTAAAAAAATGAAAGACAGGCCATCAGTACTGATTCAATGGACATTAAGAGGATAATAAATATTATGAACAACTTTATGCCAACAAATTTGATAAATAAAATAGACCAATTCCTTGAAAGACATGATTTACATGATTCACATAAGGAGAAGTAGATAATTTGAATAGGCTTTTATCCATTAAAGAAATTTAATCAACAATTAATAACCTTCCAAGAGAGAAAGTACCAGGCCAAGATGGGTTCACTGGTGAATTCTATCAAACATTTAAGGAAGAAATGATACAAATTCTCTACAATCTCTTAGAGAAAATAGAAGCAGAGGACACACTTTATAACTCATGCTATGAGGCCAGCATTACGCTAATACCAAAGCCAGATAAAGACATTATAAGAGAGGAAAATTACAGACCAGTATCTCTCATCAACATAGATGCAAAAATATTCATCAAAATATTAGCAAATCAAATCCAACAACATATGAAAAGTATTACACACCACAATCAAGTGATATTTATTCCACTTGATTATTATTATTCCAAGGTATATAAGTCTGGCTCAACATTTGAAAATCAATTAGTGTAATTCATTGCATTAACAAGCTAAAGAAGAAAAATCATATGATCACGTTAATAGATTCAGAAAAAGCATTTGACAAAATCCAACATCCACTCATGACAAAGACTCTCAGTAAACTAGTAATAGAGGGAACTTGTCAACTTGATAAAGAATACCAATGAAAAACCTTCAGCTAAACATCACACTTAATGGTCAAGAACTAGATGCTTTCCTCCTAAGACTGGGAGCAAGATAAGGAAGCCCTTTTTCATTACTTCTGTTCAGCATCATACTGGAAGTCCTAGCTAATGGAATAAGACAAGAAAAGGAAATAAAATATTGGGAAGGAAGAAATAAAACTGTCTGTCAGTGGCATAATTATGTAAAAAATCCCAAAGAATCCACAAAAAGACTCCTGGAACTTATAAGTGATTGTAGTAAGATGGCTGGATACAAGATTAATATACAAAAGTCAATTGCTTTTCTATATACAGGCAATGAACAAGTGGAATTTGAAATGAAAACACAATACCATTTATATTAACTCCAAAAAAGAAGGAACTACTTAGGTATAAATTTAACAAAAAATATACAAGATCTATATGAGGAAAACTATAAAACTCTAGCCAAAGAAATAAAAAACAGTCTAAATAAATAGAGAGATAATCCATGTTTATGAATAGAAAGACCCTAAATTATTAAGAAATCTGTTCTTCTTGACTTGGTCTAGGTAAACACAGCCTTAACATTATCCAGCAATAGCATGTCTATGTGTTTACTAAATGAATTAATGGAAAAGTTATGTTCACAAAAGGCCTTTACATAAATGTTTATAACTGCTTTAAGTACCAAAAATTGTAATAAACCAAAATGTCCTTTAATGGGTGCATGGATAAACATACATACAATGAAATATTATTAAGTGATAAAGAAGCAATCTAACAAGGAACAAAAATCCATGTAGGAACCTCAACAGCATATTGCTAAGTGAAATAAGGCAGTCTAAAAATTTCACATACTGTATGATTCCAAGAATATCATGTCTTGGAAAAGTCAAAACTATAGAGACAGTAAAAAGATCAGTGGTTGCTTGGGGATCAGGGAAGGAAGGGAGGATGAAGAGGTGGAGCACAGGATTTTTTTGGGTTGTGTGAAACTATCCTGCATGATTCTGTAATGGTGAATACATGACATTTACATCTTTGTCAAAACCCATAGGACATACAACACAAGAGTGAACCTTAACATACACTATGAACTTTGTTCATAATAATTTAGCAATATTGGTTCATCAATTGTAACTATAATACCACAGTACTGCAAGATGTTAATGAAAGAACTGTGTTTGTGTGGGTGAGAAGAAGTGGCATATGGAAACTCTCTGTATTTTCTGCAACATTTTTCTATAAATTTAAGACTAAAGTCTATTAAAACTTTTTTTAAAGGAGAAGAAAGTTAAAATGCGATATGATTTTCATATTTCAAATTGCTTGAGATTTTTTATTTTGTTTTCTGAGATGGAGTCTTGCTCTGTCGCCCAGGTTGGATTGCAGTGGTGTGATAGCTCACTGCAACCTCTGCCTCCCAGGTTCAAGCAATTCTCCTGCCTCAGCCTCCTGAGTAGCTGGGACTACAGGTGCCCACGACCATGTCCAGCTAATTTTTGTATTTTTAGTAGAGATGGTGTTTCAACATGTTGGCCAGGCTTGTCTCAAAATCCTGGCCTCAAGTGATCTGCCTGCCTCAACCTCCCAAAGTGCTGGGATTACAGGTGTGAGCCACTGTGCCTGGCCGAGATATGATTTTCATATTTCAAATTGCTTGAGATTTTGAAAAGGCAATACTCAGTGAGGCACAAGGGAAGTTTAGCAACCAAAAGCTTTAAAATGTTACCGATCTCTTGACTCAGCAATTCTATTTTAGGAAATCATCACAAGGAAATAACAATGAATTAAGTAAATATCATTAACAACCAGAATATTGTTAATGATAGTAAAAACTAGGAGATAAAAGTACAGAATGATCTTATATTTTAAAAACAAACCTGGAGACACATACATGCATAAGAAAATGTCCAAAAGAATTGTCATCAAAATATTAATTGTGGCTCTCTTTTTATCACATATTTTTATTGTATATTTTTTTCTTAAAAAATAAGAATGAACTTCATACCCACCACAATGGCTATTATCAGTAAAACATACAGAGAGAATACAAGCACTGGTGAGGATGTGGAGGAATCAGAACTTCTGTGTATCGCTGGTGGGAAGGTACAATGTTGCAGCCTCTATGGAAAACATTACAGCAGTTCCTCAAAAAATTAAACATAGCATTAACATATGATCCAGATTTTCACTTCTGAGTATATACACCAGAAATAGCAGAGACTCAAAAGACAGTATTTGTACACCCATGTTCATAGCAGCTTTATTCGCAATAGCCAAAAGGTGCAAATAACTCAAGGATCCACTGACAGATGAATGGATAAACAAAACGTGGTGTATACATGAAATGGAATATATTCAGCCTTAAGAAAGGAAATTCTGACACGTGCTACAACATGGATGAACGCCGAAGACATTATGCTAAGTAAAATAAGCCAGTCACAAGAAGACAAATACTGTATGATTCCTCTTACATGCAGTACCCAGGGCAGTCTAATTTATGGTGACAGAAAGTAGAATGGTTATTTCCAGGGTAGGGGTGGAGAAGGGGCTTTGGGGGAGGTACTGTTTAATGAGAACAGTTAGTTTGGGAATGTGAAAAACGTCCTGGAGATGGAGGGAGGTGATGGTTGCCCAACAATGTGAATGTACTTAACACCACTGATTTGAACAATTACAAATGGTCAAAATGGTAAATTTTGTGTTATGTGCATTTTACTATGACAATAAAATAAGCAAAAATCATCCAAACCAAAAACTCAATGAATGCATGACAATCTGACTAATGGATTGATACAGAGACAGAGCCTCCCTGTGGTTCATCTTGTGAAAGGAGCATATCTTGGGCCCCCAAAATCATCAAGCTAAAAGGAAAAGTCAAGCAGGGAATCACTTAGGGCAAACCTGCCTCCCATTCTATTAAAGTCACCCCTCTGCTCACTGAGATGAATTCATATCTGATTGCCTCTTTTGGAGAGGCTAATCAGAAAACTCAAAAGAATGCAACCATTTCTCTCTTATCTACCTATGACTTGGAAGTCCCCTCCCCACTTCAAGTTGTCCCACCTTTCCAGATGGCACCAATGTTCACCTCACATACGTTGATTGATGTCTCATATCTCACTAAAATGTATAAAACCGTGCTCTGGCCACCTTGGGCGCATGTTTGTTGTCAGCGCCTCCTGAGGCTGTGTCACAGGCATGCGTCCTCAACCTTGGCAAAATAAACTTTCTAAATTAACTGAGACCTGTCTCAGATTTTTGTGGTTCACAATCTGACAGATGGCCATGTATCAAATGAAGTGTGCAAGCTGTGCAGAGAAAGAGTATGTGGCAGGCGGTAATAGTATCTACTTGCTCATTCATTATTTCATTATTATGAAACATAATAATGTTTCATTATTATCAAACATACAGAAACATGGAAGACATTGTACAGTGAACATTTGTATACTCACCTTCTAGATTTTACCGTTAGCTCTTTATTTGTTTTAGTACATACCTGGTCATCCCTCTATCCTTCCTTTAATCTATCTTTTTTTTAAAAAAAATTCAAAATTAATTTTAAGCATCTACACACTTTCTCATAAATACTTTGGCGTGCTTCTTATTACCTAGTGTTCAGTATTTGTTTATATATTTTTCCTTTGATATAAATCTTACAATGAAATGCACACATCCTAAGCCCACATTTCTAAGTTTTGGCAAATGCACATATTTGTGTAATCCAGGTCACTCTTAAGATATGCAACATTACTATCTCCCCTAGAAGTTCTCTCATGGCCCTTGATACATGTTTTTTTACAATCACAAAAAGTAAAGCTATTTGGGAAGTACTTGTAGTATGATCCTCTTTTTGTTCTAGGAATATAGAAAAAACTGAAAGAAAACATAAGAAGTGATATTTCTGGATAGTGGGATTACCACTGATCTTAATTTTCTTCTATTCCTTTCTCTGTATTTTCTAAATTTTATATAATGTCTTACTTGGGTGGTAGAAAAACAAAACAAAAGCGACTTAGAAGAAGCATCTTCCTTATAAGAAATGATGTCACACACATAAGAATATTTACAGTCACTAAGTGATCATTTTGAAGACAATGTATGTAGTGAAATTGGAAACATTTCAATATGATATTAAAATATAACTGCAGGCCCGGTGCAGTGGCTCACGCCTGTAATCCCAGCACTTTTGGAGGCTGAGGCAGGTGGATCACTTAAGGTCAAGAGTTCAAGACCAGCCTAGCCAATGTGGTGAAACCCCATCTCTACTAAAAATACAAAAATTAGCCAGGCGTGGTGGTGCATGCCTGTAATCCCAACTACTTGGGAGGCTGAGACAGGAGAATCTCTTGAATCTGGGAGGCAGTGGGTGCAGTGAGCCAAGATCATACCACTATACTCCAGCAGGAGCAAGAGAGCAACACTCTATCTCAAAAAAAAAATTATAATGACAAAATTAAAAGAAATATTAATACCATAAGTACCCTATACGAAGGCATGTCAACACACACAGAAATAGAAAGGAATAAGAAAAACACAAGTGTCTATATTTCTCATTTTGTTTTGGTGATGGAATTATAGGTAATTTTTGCAAAAATAAAACAGTCATATCCTCTTTTTCTAAATTAAA
This sequence comes from Homo sapiens, assembly GCF_000001405.40. Lineage (NCBI taxonomy): Eukaryota > Metazoa > Chordata > Mammalia > Primates > Hominidae > Homo > Homo sapiens. The sequence goes on from NC_000016.10 coordinate 21,019,093, forward strand.
AAAGTGGTTAAGTATCCCATAAAACCTTGACTTCAGGACCACCCATGGGCCAACTCTATTTTTTTTTTTTTTTTTTTTTTTTGAGACAGAGTCTAGCTCTGTTGCTCAGGCTGGAGTACAGTGGCATGATCTCAGCTCACTGCAACCTCTACCTCCCGGACTCAAGCAATCCTCCTGCCTCAGCCTCCTGAATAGCTGGGTTTATAGGTGCATGCCACCACACCCAGCTAATTTTGTTTGTATTTTTAATAGAGACGGGGTTTCACCATGTTGGCCAGGCCGGTCTTGAACTGCTGACCTCAAGTGATCTGCCCACCTCAGCCTCCCAAAGTGCTGGGATTACCAGTGTGAGACACCACAACCAGCCAATGATGATATTTTAATTCTGTAATTCCTTACATATTTATTAGCCACCGTGCCTGGCCTTCTGTGGCTTTTGTAAAGGGCTCACCTGTCTGCACATTCTGGTTGTGTTTAGAACACGTAATTCCAACTATTATACTAGAACATAACAAACAGGTTCTAAATTACCTCTTTCTGGAAAGATGTTGTTTTTGGTGAGTTTGACGCTTTTGGGCCTTGGGTGGTTATCATCCATGCCCATGATCAGGTTGCGGAAAAACACATCAAATTTCTTTCTGCTGTCTGCGTTGATGGTGCCAGCCACGGTCCACACCAAGGAAAAGAGAAACAGTCCTTGGAGCCAGAGAAAGATCTGTTGACTTGACAGGCCTTCACCTAATTCCATTTCCTCCTCTTCTACTGCCCTGATTTCATCTAAAAGTGAGAAAAGCGAATCTCAGGACAGAGTGCAGAATGCCACAGATGTAAGGGCTGTGAACTGGTTGGCTTTGCCTTTGAAGGGTCTGGGCCAGAAGGGCGACTGATATTGGCAGAGTGCCTATCACCTACCAGATCATTTCACATGCATTTTTTTTTTTTTTTTGAAACAGGGTCTCACTCTGTCTCCCAGGTTGGAGTGCAGTGGTGCAGTCACAGCTCACTGTAGCCTCAACCTCCCGGGCTCAAGTGATCTTTCCACCCCAGCTTCCTGAGTAGCTGGGACCACAGGCACTAGCCACCACATCTGACTGATTTTTGTATTTTTTTATAGAGATGGGGTTTTGCCAGGTTGCCCAGGCTGGTCTCGAACTCCTGAGCTCAAGCAATCCACCCACCTCGGCCTCTCAAAATGCTAGGATTACAGCCGTGAGCAATATTTTTATTTTTACTGCTGTATAATAATATAGTGTGTGTATATATATATATATATATAAAATCACTATATATATATATATATATATATTTTTTTTTTTTTTTTTTTTTTTGAGATGGAGTCTAGCTCTGTCGCCCATGCTGGAGTGCAGTGGCACAATCTCGGCTCACTGCAACCTCTGCCTCCTGGGTTCAAGTGATTCTCCTGCCTCAGCCTCCCAAGTAGCTGGGATTACAGGCACCCGCCACCTCACCCTGCTAATTTTTGTATTTTTAGTAGAGACGGGGTTTTACTGTGTTGTTGGCCAGACTGGTCTCGAACTCCTGACCTCGTGATCCACCCACCTCAACTTCCCAAAGTGCTGGAATTACAAGCGTGAGAGACCGCACCCGGCCTTTACTGCAATATTTTTATTGTGGTAAAATACATGATATATAATTTACCATCTAACCATTTTTTAGTGTATAGTTCAGTGGTATTAAGTGCATTCATATTGCTGTGCGACCATCACCACCATCTATATCCAGAATTGTTTTCATCTTGAAGAACTGAAGCTCTTTGCCCATTAAACAATAACTTCTCCCTCCATCCTCTCTCATCCCCCTTGCAACCAGAACTCTCCGTTCTGTCTTTATAAATTTGGCTACTCTATGTACATTAATTGTAGAGAAGAATCGCACAGTCATTTTGTGACTGGCTTATTTTCTTAGTATAATGGCTTTAGTGTTCATCCAAGCTGTAGCATGCATCAGAATTTATTTCCTTTTTAAGGCTAAATAGTATTTCATTGCAAAATTACAATACATTTTGCTTATTTGTTCATCCATCGGTAGACACATGGGTTGTTTTCACCATTTGGGTATTGTGAACAAGAGTTCTATGAACATGGTTATACAAATATCTGATCAAGTCTCTGCTTTCAATTCTTTTTGGTTTATATGCTAAGGTGAAAGTGCTGGATCAATAAGTCTACATTTACTTTTTTGTTTTTTTGGAAATTAATCTCTTATCAGAGAGGAGGTAAGACAGGGGTCCTGCTATGTTCATCTCCCTCTAGGATATCCCTGTGAGGTAAAAAGGGCAGGAATTACTACTCTCATTATGTAAATGAGGAGCCTTAGACTGAGGAATGATGGGGTAATTTGCACTAGAATACCACCCAAAAATCAATGTCAGACAAAGACTAAACACATGGACTTTGCCTACCAAACTCTACTATCTGCACTCCAAAGGCTTGCTTGTTCTAGATCAAACAGCCAGTCATGTTGTAATTCAATGGGGGCCAAAGAGAGGTGGGAGCAGAAAAAATAGCCAAGGTAGCCCAGGCGCTGTGGCTTATGCCTGTAATCCCAGCACTTTGGGAGGCAGAGGCAGGTGGAACACTTGAGGTCAGGAGTTCAACACCAGCCTGGTCAACATGGCGAAACCCCATCTCTACTAAAAATACAAAAAAATAGAAGTGGTGCGTAACTTAATCCCAGCTACTCGGGAGGCTGAGGCAGGAGAATCACTTGAACCTGGGAGGCTGAGGCTGCAGTGAGCCAAGATCATGCCACTGCACTCTAGCCTTGGTGACAGAGTGAGACTTCATCTCAAAAAAAAAAGAAATAGCCAAGGTAGACCCACCCCCCATGTGGCTTAAGAATCATGGCTAGCACTTACCAAGCAGAGAAGAGTACAGTCTCATCATTGAGAAGGCAAGGTGGATGGGAGATGTCTGGACAACAAATTTACAATGAAGGCGACCAAATTCCAGGCAGGGCTGGACAAGCCACATGAACATGTCATTGACCTGAGAGTAGAAACCTCCATGAGACTTGGAGACATGATCAACAAGTGAGTTGACGACCAAGAGCTTGGTCTACCTTGTGAGGCTAGAGATGCTGGTTAGACTGCTGATTTAAATGTAGGTGCATTGGGGGAAAACTTATAGGCAACAAGACCCCTATCTCAGCATCCTCCTTCAGGGTCCTAAGACTGTTGCCCACAGGCCATGTTAACTCAGTTTCCCATCCGCATTCCACTGCCCAGAGCTGATACTCAGAGAGGCTTGGAAATACTCTGGGTCAGCTACAGGATGCATAAAATGTGTTTAGAACCCAACTAGTGTATCTGTCTTTGTTTCTATAAAAAGTATTAGGAATTCTAAACAATTAATTTACAAATGACTGTTATGTTAGACACTGGTGAGGTGGGACTCCTGTATAAATTAGTCAAAGAGAGTACAGAGCTAATTTGGGGGGCTCATTTTCAGTAATTTACCACACGTATGGGTAGGTTTATATGTTCTTCTTTGGGGTTATCATGATTCTTGCCTCTAGTGTCTGTTCTCCAGTCCATTTACTCTTTTAAAAAGTTATCCGACTTGCTTTTCTTGTAATGCTTTTTTAAACCTTTGTTATATTTTTTTTAAAAAAGATTTATTTATTTACTTACTAAATTTTTTTTTTTTTTGAGACGGAGTTTTGTTCTGTCACCAAGGCTGGAGTGCAATGGTGTGATCTCAGCTCACTACAACCTCCGCCCCCACTGGGTTCAAGCGATTCTCCTGCCTCAGACTCCCTGAGTAGCTGGGATTACAGGCACATGCCATCATGCTCAGCTAATTTTTGTATTTTTAGTAGAGACAGGGTTCTACCATGTTGGCCATGCTGGTCTCGAACTCCTGACCTCAAGTGATCCGCCCACCTCAGCCTCCCAAAGTGCTGGGATTACAGGCGTGAGCCACCACGCTCAGCCTCTTTGTTATACTTTATTTGTGACTTTCCCTATACACATTTTTTTTAAGAAGTAGGAAGGCCATCACTAAATAAATACAGACTTAGGTGTGGATCTATATAGATAATTTATGTATGTGTAGATGCATTTATATGTATATATAAAAATACAGGTATACATGGAAATGTGGTATATCAATTCAGTCAATAAATATTTATTGAGCATCTACTAATTGCACGGTAGTAGTGCTGGGGATAAACAATGGAAAAGGTAGACAAGGAGCCCTCATGGAGGGTCAGGGAAGACAAACAATAAATAACTAATCCAGCAGGGATATCAGTAAAATACCTATAGATCATGCAAAGTTCTAGCAGGAAACACAAACGTGTTATGGTGAAGAATAACAGGAAGGGTTTAAATAGGGTAAAGAAGCCTTCCTGGAGGAGGAGATTTTTATGTTGAGAACTGCATGATGAGGGTGGAGCCAACTCTGAGATAAACTGAGGCAAGAGTCCCAGGAAGAGGAATAAAAAGAGCAAAAGCCTTGAGGTGATGAAACCTGGGCTTGTCTTGGAAACAAGACAGGACTGCTGGAGACTGCTAAGCTGAGGCTGAGAAAGAGCAGGAAATGAGATTGCAGAGGCAGGCGGGGCCAGATCACATAGTCTCATGGGCCCTGATAAGGAGTTAAACTTTGTGCCAGGGACATTGGGGAGTCCCTAAATGACTTTACATATATGGGGACTTGGCAGCTTTTGGGGTGTGTGTGTGTGTGTGTGTGTGTGTGTGTGTGGACTGGCGCTTGAATGTGCACGTGGATATGTACTTGCACTTTACATATTATCCATGTATGTAGGTGATGACAGACATTCAGCCGTCCTACATAATCTCCCAAAGAGTTTCCATTGTAGGAATAGACCATCCTTGGATTCCTCAGTGGGAGACTTTCCTAAGCATTCTATTAACACAGGGGAGGGCAAGAGGAACCACAGACACCGCTACTCCCTTCCTGCTTCCGGGTCTGAGAGTGTGGTCAGGTACCCGCCTAACCCGAACTTTCCCACCTCTTTAGAGAAGGGAAGAAGGGAGTGGTCGCTCACAGTAGCTGCAGTGAAAGCACTTCTAACTGGTTCCAGCTCCCTCAAGGTGGGAGGTGCAGAGTCCAGGTTACAGGGATGGGAATTGGCAGCACCAAAAGGAACACCTGGCCCATCTCTAGAGAAACTTCTACAGACATTTCTGTTAGTGGGGCAATGAAGAAAGAGGTGACATTTCAGCTTCCACAGAGAACATTCCTCAGCACTGGGATTCTCCACTGGGGAGCCAGGGAGTGATGGGGAAGGAGGAAGAGGAAAGAGAAATTGACTGCACCACCCCAGGCCCACCATATGGAGAAGAAAGTTCGAAAAATGGCAGGCAGCCAGGAAACAAGATAACTGGGGACAACAAGGGAATTCCCTGCCCCTTGTTGCCTCCAGGGACTATGAAGGTGAAGATGTACCTAGAAGACCCTCGAGATGAAAAGCAGGGAGACAGCAGGAGGGGAAGGAAAGGGTCTGAGGGGCTCACCAATTCTTTGTGCTCCTTGGTGAGACTGGAGGGCAGGGTGTCCATGTAGGAATCCTTCAGGGGCTTCCAGCCTAGTTGATGGGGCTCCATGTAGATCATCCCACACCTGGGAAGCACAGAGGACCAGTTTAGGTGCTCGCTTCTTTGTTACTAATACGGGTTAACATTTATTGAGCAATCTACTGCATGTCAGGCACCATGCTAGGCATTAATGGATCTTGACAATAACCTAGTCCCCTGGGTTTACCCACGTTGAATCTTGTGTTCATCTGCCCCTTGATTTCTTTCCTTCATATACAGTTTTATAGCATTTCTATATGTTCCTAAAATGTTTATTTGTTTGTTTGGAGACAGTGTCTTGCTCTGTTGCCCAGGCTGGAGTACAGTGGTGCAATCTTGGCTCACTGCAACCTCCGCCTCCCTGGTTCAAGTGATTCTCATTTCTCAGCCTCCCGAGTAGCTGGAATTACAAGTGCGTCCCACCACACCTGGCTAACTTTTTTGTATTTTTAGTAGAGATGGGGTTTTGTCTTTAGTAGAGACAGGGTTGGCCAGGCTGGTCTAGAACTCCTGGCCTCAAGTGATCCATCCACCTGGGCCTCCCAAAGCGCTGGGATTACAGGTGTGAGCCACCTCGCCCGGCCTGTTCCTAAAGTGTTTATATTTTTATTTTAGTTGTTTTTAACAATTAAAAAGGGGTACCATGTTATAGATAATATTTTGATCTTACTTTTATTATTACTATATAATAATAATATAGTATATAATAGCATATAACCATACAGTATATATATTATTATATATTAGCACATAATAATATAGTATATATTAGTATATAGTATAACATTATATTATATATAATATACTGTAATTATAGATATAATTATGTAATTATAGATGTAATTATAGATATAACATATTTATAGATGTAATTATAGATATAATATATTTATAGATATAATTACATTATTACATTATCTGTGTTCTATATAATATTGCTAAGGTTTTGTCCTTAATAGAGTTACTAAGATTTATTTATATAGTTGCATGTCAGTGCAGTTCTTTTGAGTACTTTATTATACATATTACAATTTCTGACTCTATTATACTTTATTAATTCACTCTTTTGTTGTTGTTGTTGTTGTTGTTTGTTTTTTAGATGGAGTCTTGTTCTGTCGCCCAGGCTGGAGTGCAGTAGTGTGATCTCGGCTCACTGCAACTTTTGCCTCCTGGGTTCAAGCAATTCTCCTGCCTCAGCCTCCCAAGTAGCTGGGATTACGGGCACCCACCACCATGCTTGGCTATTTTTTTGTATTTTTCTGTAGTAGAAATGAGGTTTCACCATGTTGGCCAGGCTGGTCTCAAACTCCTGACCTCAGGTGATCTGCCCGCCTCGGCCTCCCAAAGTGCTGGGATTACAGCATAAGTCATCGTACCTGGCCACCAATAACTCGATTAACAGGCATTTGGGCTGTTTCCAAGTGCTTGTTACTGTGAGTTCTGCCACTATATTTTTTGTACAGATCTCCTGTTGCACATGCCAAAAGTTTTCCTTGGGCCTGTACTTAGGAGAATGGCTGGCTCTTGGGCATACGGAGATTCAACTTTAGGAGATAATATCAAACTGTTTCCAAAGTACTTGCTGGGTTTTAGACTCCCACCAGTAGTGTGGACTGAGGGCTGATTTTATGACAAATCTAAATGAATGACAAATAATATAATGCTAAGCAAATTAACGCAGGAACAGAAAACCAAATCCCGTATGTTCTTACTTATAAATGGGAGCTAAACATTGAGTACACATGGACACAAAGAAGGGAACGATTGGCTGGGCACGGTGGCTCATGCCTGTAATTCCACACTTTGGGAGGCTGAGGCAGGCAGATCACGATGTCAGGAGTTTGAGATCAGCCTGGCCAACATGGTGAAACCCCATCTCTACTAATAATACAAAAATTAGCCGAGGGTGGTGGCGTGTGCTTGTAGTCCCAGTTACTGGGGAGGCTGAGGCAGGAGAATCGCTTGAACCTGGGAGGCAGAGGTTGCAGTGAGTCGAGATCATGCCACGGGACTCCAGCCTGGGTGACAGAGTGATACTCCGTCTCAAAAAAAAAAAAAAAAAAAAAAAGAAGGAAATGATAGATATGGGAGCCTACTTCAGGGTGGAGGAGGGTGAGGATGGAAAAACAACCTGATTAACTGGGTGACTAAACAATCTGTACCCCAAACCCCCATGCCATGCAATTTACTCATGTAACAAAGCTGCACATATACCCCCTGGAACCTAAAATAAAAATTGGAAAGAAAAATAATAATAATGTAGATGATCTGCGAGGGCTTCATCACATTTGTGAAATTTGAGAGCTTTCTCTTTTGCTTAGGGTGAGTGGAGCCACACTGTCCCCCGGGGTGCCAGTGAGGGCTGCCTCACCTGCTCACAGTGGCTGGAGAGGCTTGCTCGAGGTCGGCGGGCTCGAAGATCAGGCTCATCTTGGAGTTCATCTGGATAATTTCCCCACTCATGAGACACAGCTAAAAGTGCAAAGCAGAGGGTAGCAGACAGGGGAAAGGCTTAAATTCCATCTGCAAGTAAGAGGTCTCAGTGCAGACAAAGCTGGTTTGATTCATTCCATAAATATTTCTTGAGCACTTATGATGTCCCAGGCACTGTTATGCACTAACTCCTAGGTGCATAAAATAAAACACAAAATTTCCTATCCTCTTGGGGTTTACATTCTTCTGGGAGATGACAGACAATAAGCAAAATATATAGTGTTCGAAGTGGTGAAAAGTGCTCTGGAGAAAAATTTAGTAGAAGAGGGGGTTGCATCTACACATACATATATCTACACATACATATACTATATAGATCCACACCTAAGTGTGTATTTATTTAGTGATGGCCTTCCTACTTCTTAAAAAAATGTGTATAGGGAAAGTCACAAATAAAGTATAACAAAGAGGCTGAGCATGGTGGCTCACGCCTGTAATCCCAGCACTTTGGGAGGCCGAGGCGGGTGGATCACTTGAGGTCAGGAGTTCAAGACCAGCATGGCCAACATGGTAAAACCCTGTCTCTACTAAAAATACAAAAATTAGCTGAGCATGGTGGCACATGCCTGACCTCAGTCAGGGTTGAGTGAGCTGCAATTTTAATAGGAAAGCCAGGGAATCACTGACCTTAGATGCAATCTCAGATGAAGAATCGAGAAGTTATCAGACCTCACCAAGTTTCCTGGTCCCTTTCTCAATATTTAACATAGAACTTAACTGCAAAGCCACATCCTATTTTTATTTGCTCAATTCTTTCACAAAAGACCCATATTTGAACACCCGCATGGACTAATCCATAGCAGGAGGGACAAAAGCCTTTCCATAAATTCTTTTTATTTTTAATTTTTATTTGCTTTTGAGACAGGTGTTGCTCTGTTACCCAGACTGAAATACAATGACACATTTGCAATCACTCCATCCTCGACCTTTGGGGCTCAAGCGATCCTCCCACCTCAGCCTCCTGAGTAGCTAGGATTACAGGTGTGTACCTTCACACGTGGCTAGTTTTTTATTTTTTGTTTTTTGTTTTTAGATTAAATCAATGTTTCCATAATATATTTTTTAAAATTTTTTTTGTAGAGACAGGATCTCACTGTGTTGCCCAAGCTGATCTCAAACTCCTGGGCTCAAGCAATCCTCCTGTCTCTGCCTCCCAAAGTGCTAGGATCACAAGCATAAGCCACCGTGCCTGGCCCATAAATCTTTTTTAGAATAGAGTGAAAGAAGCTAGGCACAGTGGCTCGTGCCTGTGATCCCAGCACAGCACTTTGGGAGGCCGAGGAAGGCAGATCACTTGAGGTCAGGAGTTGGAGACCAGCCTGGCCAACATGGTGAAACCCAATTTCTACTAAAAGTACAAAAAAAAAAAAAAAATAGCCGGGCATGGTGGCACGCATCTGTAATCCCAGCTACTAAGGCAGGAGAATTGCGGGAGGTGGAGGTTGCAGTGAGCTGAGATCGTGCCACTGCACTTCATCCTGGACAACAGAGGGAGACTTTGTCTCAAAAAAAAAAAAAAGAAAGAAAAATCATCAGAATTTCTAGTGTGTAGCAAGTAAAACCCTGTAGGAAGTAGTGCAATTACACAGGAAAGCCTTGGAATATATACTAAGTCAATGACACTGTTTCCTACTCACGAAAATGGATTCCAGTGAGATGTTTAAGTTATAAGAAAGGCCTGAGGCCCTTGTCTCCCAGGGGAGAAGAGGAAATACGACTGATTCATTCTGCTCATCCTAATTTGTGATTAAAAACTTCCCTGCATCTTACTTGGCCTGCATCAAACACAACTTGAAACAGGTCACTGCCTGCATCCCCAGGAAGATCACAGCTGTTACAAGGCTGACACCACCAACCGCGTCATCTCTGAATATAAAGAAAGCTAAAACAGACCCACACCTGTGACTGTAGTTTCATTTACATCCAGAGCAGAGGAAAACCATTAGGAAATTCACTTATTATGACTCTCTTGATACTTCTAATCTCAAGACCAACCGATACATCTGTACAATTAGTTTATATAATATAGTCCATATCATGTAATAAAACATTTCCATTTTTGAATATTATATAATCAAAATTATGCACATGCTATAATTAGTGGATGTGTATAATTTGGATAATTAGCCCTTTCGTTGTTGAGCATGACTCACTCTTAGTCTTGTGACATTTAAACACAGTTAGAAAATATATTTTGATTTGATAATGATGTATATCCAGTGAAGGAATTCTTCCTTGAGATGATGATAAATTTTATTTTAAACAGTTATATAGCACTTGCTATATGCCAGGCACCATCAGAAGAGGTGTATAAATAGTAACTTATCTAATCTTCGTAACAGTATAAGGTAGACGCTATCGTCCCTACTTTACAGATGATGAAGTTGGGGCATCAAGAGACTAAATAGCTTGTCTGAGGTTACATAGCTGGAAAGTGGCAAGGCCAGGATTTGAACCCAGGCTCTCTGGCTCCAGAGTCCAAGCTCTTTTAGCCACCATACATACTGTGGCGCCATACTTACTGTGTTATCACTCTACTCTACTTATTTTTCCAAAGATTGGTGGTATTTTTGCAAAGATTGCTATATTTTCCAAAGGTCCTGGCATCAGTTTGGACTCCTAACTCTACTATTGAGCTGTGTTGTGTTGGGCAAGTTACATAAATTCCATCCCATATGCCCCCACTTTTTTTTTGAGACAAGGTCTTTCTCTGTTGCTCAGCTTGGAGCACAGTGGCACAATGAAGGCTCACAGTAGCCATGACTTCCAGACTCAAGGGATCCTCACACCTCAGCCTCCTGAGTAGCAGGACTACACGCACTTACCACCATGCCCAGTTAATTAAAACAAATTTTTTTTTTGTAGAGATGGCTCACTGTGTTGCTCAAACTGGTCTTGAACTCCTGGGCTCAAGCAATCCTCCTGTCTCAGCCTCTAGAAGTGTTAGGATTACACGTGTGAGCCTATAGGGCCCAGCCCATATGCACTTTTGCAATGTGACCTGTCTGCCTCCATCAAGAGGTGAAGTCTATTTTTCCACTTCCTGGTCAGGCCTTGTGAGTTCCTTGACCAACAGAATGCAGAGAAAGTAATGCTTATCAGTTTCAAGCATAGCTCTTAATATCTTGGAAACTTCCACTTCCTGACTCTTGGAAATCACCCACCACATAGGAAGCGCCACTACCAAGACACCACCAAGTGAAAAGCCCAAGCCATGTGAAGTGGCCTGGAAGAGGAGGTATTATTTTTAGAGAGAAAGAAAAAGAGAGAGAGAAAGATGGGCCAAATATGATTGTGCCACCAGGCATTGAGTGAAGACGCCATCTTGAATGCGGATTTTCTAGCCTGAGCTGCCCCAGCTGACATCAAAAGAGAGACCAACTGGCCAGCTGAGCCCTTTCAAAATTCCCAGCCCACAAAATCATGAGGAAAAGAAATGGTTGTTTTAAGCCGTTAAGTATTAGGGTAGTTTGTTATATAGCAATAAGTAACCAAAACATATCCCGCAGGTACTATGTGCAATCTCATTTAAGTATCAACAACCTCATTTTATTACTACCTTTCTACAAATGAGAAAACTGAGATTCAGAGAAGTGATGTGACTTGCTCAGTACAACACAGCTCAGTTGCAGGGCTAGGAGTCCAAACTGATGCCAGCACTAAGGCTCACTATTCAACGTGGTCTCTAAACATGCTTAGCTTACCAACTACAAGTACAAACAGAGCATAATTCATGAATTGATTACTATAATCCTCCTGTGGGGCATTTATTCTTAATGTATACAGAATACATACATAATAAATGTATGTCTCTATATAGTTTTGATCAATCACTTACTTCAATAAAAGAGTTTATGTCTCACTCATGGAAAAGTCATATCAGGGTCAATACTTACCTTTTTATTGTCATCCAGAACAGTGTTCATATTTTCAATCCAAATAGCATCCACTGGCCCATCAAATATAATCCACTTGCGATCATCAGAGAGTGAAGACGCTTGCTCCCGGAAAGCATTGGCAAGGACACCATCCATCCACTCGTGGCTCACTTGGTCAAAGCACCCATACAGCTGCCCCATCGTGATAGCCTTGGGGTTGATGATCTTGTACTCCACAGCAAACTCCTCCATCTGATTGGCTGGGCAAGAAGGTTCAACACCAGTTATAAAGGCTCTGGTGAGACCAGAAGGTTAAACAAGAGATGATGTCATCTCAACAACCAATCAACTTTTATAAATATGCCATATGAGGGAAGTCCTTCTTATAAAACATGTGCTCAGTTTTTATAGAGATTGGGATCTGGGGCCAGGAGCTGTAGTAGCTCACACCCATAATCCCAATACTCAGGGAGGCCAGGATGGGAGGATCACTTGAACCTGGGAAATGGAGGCTGCAGTGAGCTATGATTGTGCCACCACACTTCAGCCTGAGCAACAGAATGAAGCCGTCTCTCAAAAAAAAAAAAAAGACTGACTGAGACATCTGGATAGGCAATGCCTTACATTATTGGGTTATTATAGCCTTTGATTTCTCACCATACTTTCTTCCAATCCTCTTTTCAAATAGGGCAAATGTGCCAGTCAGATCCAGGACTACTTGCTGGGCACAGTGGCTCACGCCTGTAATCCCAGCACTTTGGGAGGCCAAGGCAGGTGGATCACTAGAGGCCAGGAGTTTGAGACCAGCCTGGCCAATATGGTGAAACCCTGTCTCCACTAAAAATGCAAAAATTAGCTGGGCGTGGTGGCGCATGCCTGTAAACCCAGCCATTCGCCACTTGGGAAGCTGAGGCAGGAGAAACACTTGGACCTGGGAGGTGGAGGTTGCAGTAAGCTGAGGCCATGCCACTGCACTCCAGCCTGGGCGACAGAGTAAGACTCTGTCTCGAAAAAAAAAAAAATCCAGGACTAAAGAAATCTGACTGCCCTCACAGAACTCAAGCAGGAAGGGAGAGTGACGCCTATTATCAGCCCTCTATGTACCTGCTCTCACAGCCACCCTAAGAACCTTGGCTTTTCAAACTCAAACAGGCTGAAGGAAGAAATTAAAAATGAAAAGAACAGATCAGAACCTTGGCTTTGATTTGAAATGAGGAAACGGGAAACAGCTGACAGGTAAAAAGGTTCTGAAAAATGATGGTTACTTTTCTGTCTCTGAAGGGCTAGTTTGGCCCCGAAATCGTTCTTGACTGCTCAGTGAGTGTCATTTGTTCCCAAGAAATACACGCTGGAGTATTAAAACTCAATTGGAACGTACAGGCTGATGGATGGCACAGCATATGTATTTAATAACAAAAAAAAATCACAATGCTTTTATGGAATCCTTCAAAGTAGGGAAAAGTTGAAGTGCTTGAGTCATGAACTAAATAAAGAACCACCTCTGGGCCAGGTGTTGTGGCTCATGCCTGTAATCTCAGCACTTTGGGAGGCTGAGGCAGGAGGATTGCTTGAGCTCAGGAGTTCGAGACCAGCCTGCGCAATATGGCAAAACCCCATCTCTACAAAAAATACAAAAATTAGGCGGGCATGGTGGTGCATGCCTATGATCCCAGCTACCCGGGAGCCTGAGATAGGAGGATTGCTTGAGCCCAGGAGGCAGAGGTTGCAGTGAGCCGAGACTGTGCCACTGCACTATCTCTAAAAACCATTAAAAATAATTAAATAAATAAAAAAGAACTACTCTGCAGCATCCTGAGGCAAACACAGTGGTAGCCTCCTTTTTCTTCACTCAGTTTCTTAAGGTATATTAAAATGGTATATTAAAGGTATATTTCTTTAAGGTATATTAAAATGCTAAAAATATTTTATATTTTATTATATTCTATTATTTTATTTTGAGACTGGATCTCACTCACCCAGGCTGCAATTGCAGTGCAGTGCGCAATCATAGCTCACTGCAGCCACAAACTCCTGAGCTGAAGTGATCCGCCCGCCTTGGCCCCTCAAAATGCCGGGATTATGGGTGTGAGCCCCTGTTCCCTGCCTCAAAATTTGTATCTAAATTTGAGATGCCCAAATTAGTTATTAAGGCTAGGATAACCCCCAAAACATAACCTCAAAAACCCAATCATCAAATGTTATTAGAAAAAAAATTTTAAATGAAAAACTTGAAGCAATGCATGCACGAAAAGGAAATGCTTTTATGAAACTATAGGTTTGTGTTTTATAAAAACAAAACAAAACAGACACACACACGAAAAAACCCACAACTGTTTCTCTGGCAGGAAACATAGTTTCCATTTGTTGCGTAGGCACTGTGCTCAGTTATTTACCTGCATGCTGTTACTTAATTCTCATAACAATCCCATTTTACAGCTGGGAAAACAGAGGATAACACAGGTTTAGTCATTTGCCCAAGTCTGAGTCTGATTCAAAAGCAGGAGCTCCTATCCTTGACTTTAAAAGGAAGGAAAGAAGAAAAGAAGGGAAGGAGGGAGGGAAAAAACTAAAGGGAAGGGAACAGGAAAAGAAGAGAATAGAAGCAAAGAAGCAAAACCATGCAGTGATTTGCTTTTAGACTAATTTTAAGGCCAATGACAAGAGTTTCTCTTTCACTGGGGGACCTTTGGAGAAACCACTGCTCAGCATTTGAGACAATTCCTCCAGGCCTTAATGATATGCACATGAAATCCCTTGTTATTATAGAAGCACCCCGCCCCCAACCCTTTATTTTCTGCTTGCAGACATCTGTGTGCCATGTTCTATTTCTAGCTCTGACGTCACGATCGAGGCCTGACAAGACTAGCAGCCTGGCATTATCTCCATGGAGCCAGCCAACTGAGCGAGGAGTTCTGTCCTCCCTGGAAGCCAGGGATGTGAGCTTTACCTGCGTGTAAATCGCCGAGAGCTGCAGCCAACACTTTATAAGCAGAGGTCTTGCCGCCCATGGGGTCTCCTACAATCATATAGCCATGTCTCACCAGCATCATTTCGTAGATCTGGGAGGAGACATCATTCATAAAAGAAGCTAATCATTGCAACGCTCCCCCATTGTGAGTTAGTCAGAAGTCAATGAGGAATGAGGGGTCAGAAGAGGATTCTCACAGTTGCTTCTACCTCTGGAGAACTTCGGTTCTTTTCATGGTCTATTGTTTACATATCTTTCAGACGAAAAAATATATGTGTGTGTCTCAGATTATTTAAGGGATGGGAACTACCATTTGCTCTGTACTTGTCTATGTGTTAAGAATCAACTGATAACCCAAATTATTTAATCTACTCCAATATCATTGACCACCTTTTACAAAGGGTAAGACTGAGCCCAAGAGAGGTTAAATACTTGCCCAAGTTCATCAGTGATGGAGCCAGAATTTGCAGACAGGGCTATTTGACTTTAACGCCTCTAATATTTTCATGACACTATTGCCATTTATTTTTAAAGAGAAAAAGAAAATGGCGGTCATTTTAGCAAATTGTGTTTCTCCTGGAAACTTTCTTTCTTGAGATCTAACTGCTTTGGTCATTTGCATTTATGTGAATTTTATGGTTTAAACAAATTTGCTCCTTTAGACTGTGACTCCCTCAGAGAAAGGGAACACAAGCAGCTTTGTATTTTAAAGATTAAGTTCTTATTATTTTTCACCTTGGAGGTGAGTAATAAGAAGCATCTAAATGAAGGTAGTGACAACGGGAGTGGTAGAGAAAGGAACACATGTAATTCAGCAAATATTTTTTGAGCATCTACTATGTGCCAGACACTGTTCTGGGTGCTGTAGACAGAGCAGAGAACAAAACAAACAAATCCCTAACCATTAAGTAGGGTTGACATTCAGGTAGGTTTGAAAGCTACTGTTTGAAAGTTACAGAGCAGAGAACAATACAAAATCCCTAACCATTAAGTAGGGTTGACATTCAGGTGGTTTGAAAGCTTGACTGTGCATCAGAAATAAGAGAGGAAGGCTGGGCTGGGTAGCTCACACCTGTAATCCCAGCACTTTGGGAGGTCAAGGTGGGGGGATCATTTGAGGTCAGGAGTTTGAGACCAGCCTGGCCAACATGGTGAAATCCCATGTCTACTAAAAATACAAAAATTAGCCGGGCATAGTGGCACATGCCTGTAATCCCAGCTACTCGAGAGGCTGAGGCAGCAGAATCGCTTGAGCCTGGGAGGTGGAGGTTGCAGTGAGCTGAGATCACGTCACTGCACTCCAGCCTGGGTAATGGAGGGAGACTGTTTAAAATAAAAAACGAATAAGAGAGGAAAACATTAAAGATTCAATAGCCTCTCACATTCTTCCTCACATTGAGACATCAATAAGTAAAAGGGCAGGTAGCTCCAGAACCCTTGTTTTTGAAAATATTACCTTGTTTTTGTAAATTGGTACTAAGCTACATGAAAGTTCATCTGTAGATCCGCAAATTACTTTGAAATATATCAAAAAGTAAGATGGATGGATGGACGGATGGATAAAAAATAAAACAAATAGTATAAAATATTAATTGTAAAATCTGGGTGGTGAGTACATGAATGTTCTGCGTACGTTTCGTTCAATTTTTCTGCATGTTTAAAATTTTTCATAATAAAATATTGAAAATTAAAGTTCATGCCTAGTTAAAGAATGGTCCTTCTGCAAAATCTCAATCATAAATTGGGGTTCAAAATTGGGTTAAATGAGTTGTGTCAAAAATTAGCTCACTTGCTAATACAGTAGGAAAAAGAATGATTGTTTTTACCACAAGGCAGTGTGATCTCAGAATCTGGAGACCTGGGTCCTAACTTCACTTGTAACTCACATTGTGACTTTGGGAAATGATGATGCCAATGGTGCTGCTGATGATGACGGAGATGGTGGAGTTGATAATGATATAGTATCAGGTACTATGTGTAGCACTTTACACACCTCTTCTCTCAAAATGACTCCATTTTACAGAGGACTGAGGATAAAAGAGGTGAACTAATTTGCCTAAAATCTCACAGCAAAAAATGATGGGATTTGGGAGGCTGAGGTGGGTGGATCACCTGAGGTCAGGAGTTTGAGACCAGTCTGGGTAACATGGTGAAACCCCATCCCTACAAAAAGTACAAAAATTAGCTGGGGGGTGGCGGCACGCACCTGTAATGTCAGCTACCCAGGAGGCTGAGGCAGGAGAATCGCTGGAACCTGGGAGGCAGAGGTTGCAGTGAGCCAAGATTGCACCACTGCACTCCAGCCTGGGCAACAGAGCAAGACTGCATCTCAAAAACAAACAAACAAACAAACAAACACAAAAACTGATGGAGTAAGTAAGTGGGTTTTTTGGTTTTGGTTGTTTGTTTTACCTCCATTTCTTTCTTCTTTTTTTTAAGAGTCAGGGTCTCACTCTGTCACCCAGGCTGGAATGCAGTGGTATGATCATAGCCCACTGCAGCCTCGAACTCCTGGGCTCAAACGATCCTCCCACCTCAGCCTCTCAAGTAGCTGGGACTACAGGCATAGGCCATTACGCCCAGCTAATGTTTTACTTGCATTTCTACACAGGCACCTCTGATTGCTGTCACTTCAGTTCCAATCTCCTATAAGACTTTACTGTTTGCTGACTTCAGCAAACAGTAAAACAGGCACATTTATATGGGCTAAGGAACCAACCTGGATAATTTTCCCTATAAACCAAGGTACTGGCTGGAGTTTCATCTTTTTGATGTTATCATTCAGCACTTTCAGAAAAACTTCATAGTCTGGCTTTGGAAGAACAACTCCAGGAAATAAATCAGATATAATTCCCTGTTAAAAAGAATTTAAAAGAAAGTGGAAAGGATAAAGTATCAGATATATGACCTCAACATTTTCCTAAAATGAGATGTATCAACAACAGAGATCTTTGAAAAATTCCAGACCTTATTTTTCTTGCACCAAAACTTTTCTACAATTACAAATGAAAATGCTATTTATAAAACATAATTTCTGGCTAGGCCAGAATCCCTGTGTAATCCCTGCACTTTGGGTGACCGAGGTGGGTGGATCACCTGAGTTCAGGAGTTCGAGACCAGCCTGGCCAACATGGTGAAAACCCGTCTCTACTAAAAATACAAAATTCAGCTGTGCATGGTGGCTCATGCCTGTAATCCCAGCTATTCGGGAGGCTGAGGCAGGAGAATCACTTGAATCCAGGAGGCAGAGGTTGCAATCAGTCGAGATCATGCCACTGCACTCTAGCCTGGGCGACAGAACAAAACTCCATCTCAAAAAACAAAACAAAAACAAAAAAACCGTGTAATTTCTCCCCCAAATAATTTTAAAAGTCAGCAAATATTTAATAAGTCTGGATTATCTTCCAGTCACTGTACTAGGAATGAACAAGATAGTAATGACTTCTGTCCTTATGAAGCTCAGAGCCTGGCAAGTAAGATTAAATTAAATTACAAAAGGAAACTAATTAAACTGGATAAAAACACATATGTATACCCAAGAGCAAATATTATCCTATCAGTGAAACCATTTTTATTAAAAATCAGGCAGAGATGTTTGCTATCTATCACTCTTATTATTTAACATTTGCAGGGAGGGTATCAGGTGGCAGAGATGCTGGCCAAAGAATGGAAGATGGAAGAGGGTATGGGGAAGGCACCAAACACAACATTTCATCTTCCAACATTGAGCCTTGGTCCTCGGCCAAGGTCCTGAACCGCTACATACCTGAAACAGAGGGACATCTTGCGCTAAGAACTTGGCCAGATTGACATCAAGCAATGCCCGGAGCAGCAGGACACTTTCATTCTCCTCTGGATACTTGAGCTTCAGGTTTCCTGCGGCAGTAAGCACAGACTTGACAGCGCGCATACCGTAGTCATAGTGATGCTGAGAGGACAGTTGTTCCGAGCACAGGCGGTAGGTCGCAACGATCTTCTGGGCGAGACTAGAAGGGCAAAGACATGTATGCGGACACCCAGAGAGGACTACGTCCTGCCCAGCAGACATTCCCAATATCCTTGTCCTTGCCCCGTCAGCAACCAGGCATGCCCATGGACTTGATGGAGAAGCCCTATCCTTTAAGGATATTTTAATAGAGTTACCATAATGTGGTATGGAAGCATGAAAAAAAGCAAGTGAACATATATGTATAACATGTATGGTATATGAAATGATACGTTTTTGGCCAAGTGCAGTGGCTCATGCCTGTGATCTCAGCACTTTGGGAGGCTGAGGCAGGAGGATCGCTTGAGGCCAGGAGTCCGAGGCCAGGAGTCCAAGCCCAGCTTCAGCAACATAGCGAGGCTCTATCTCTACAGAAAAATTAAAAAATGAGCTGGGCATGGTAGCATGGCACCTGTCATCCCAGCTACTCGGAAGGCTAAGGGTGGGAGGAGCTCTTGAGCCCAGGAGTTCAAGGCTGCAGTGAGCTGTGATTGCATCACTACACTCCACTTTGGATTTTCAGATGAGATTGGCTGCGTTCAGTGTGGTATGGCTGTAGACTCATTTTGGATTTTCAGCGAGTAAAAAATAAACTTTGTTATGGTAAGCCATTGAGATTCAGGGGTCAGCGTTACCCTAACTAATACACTTATGCACTTTTCTCTCAAGGAGATCCTCTTTACAGAACTGATTTCCTTTAAAAACAAAGACTTTGTGTTGTTCACCAGCACCCAGCACAGGGCTGGGCATAAGGTTGGTGACTCAATAAAGGTTTGCTAATTAAATAAATAAATGAATTGAGTGAGCAAATCAATGCAATCCTGGTTACTATAGAAAACAAATGAGTTAAATGTCATATGACTGAGGCAGCCTCTTGGCCTAGGAAGGGTGATATTCTATTGAGAATTTCTGTAGCCCCTTGGATTATAAACAAAGACATCCAGGCCATAAAGACATTCATTATAACAGAAAGTCAATTGACATGATAAAATTTGGAATAGATCAATACAAGCCATTTTGCAACGATTATTCATAACTCTTGGTGCATGTGTTATATGTATGTGTGTATACACACGTACACACTTGAAGACACTGATCCGTGTATAACTGTGTGTCTTAGAAAACTGGACAATACTTGAATGAGATATAACCTAGTTAATTGGAGGCAATAAATGTTATATTAATAATTTTTCCTCTTCAATTCTGGAATAATTGCATATGTTTTATAGTGTTGCTTTTTTTTTTTTTTTTTTTTTTGAGACAGGGTCTCACTCCGTCACCCAGGCTGGAGTGCAGTGGTGAAATCTTGGCTCACTGCAGCCTCCGCCTCCACGGTTCAAGTGGTTCTCCTCCCTCAGCCTCCTGAGTAGCTGGGATTACAGGTGCACGCCACCAAGCCCAGCTAATTTTTGAATTTTTTGGTAGAGACAGGGTTTCCCCATGTTGGCCAGGCTGGTCTCAAACTCTTGGCCTTAAGTGATACCCCGCCTTGCCTGCCAAAGTGCTGGGATTACAGACGTGAGCCACCACACCCGGCCTTATACTATTTGTTGCCTTAAGCCATTTAGTAATGTGGGTATGGATGTGTTAGAGTGAGAGGTGAGGAAGATATGAGTAGCTACTTTCTTTAACAGAACTCAGGTGTATGTAAAGAGAC
Source organism: Homo sapiens (assembly GCF_000001405.40). Classification (NCBI taxonomy): domain Eukaryota; kingdom Metazoa; phylum Chordata; class Mammalia; order Primates; family Hominidae; genus Homo; species Homo sapiens. The sequence continues at coordinate 21,039,637 of NC_000016.10, forward strand.
AGCAGGGTTCCGCCCTGGGAATCTGGGCCATTTCCCCGTCAGAAATGGGGCAAGACCAAGGCCAGGGCTATGTGCTCTCAGACCACCCAGTAAGCAGAAGCAAGTTTCTCAAGCTTCTCTCTCTTCTTCCAATGGGCAAACCACCTTGAATCTGCCACGCAAAAAGCCGCTATTTAAAGTCCTTTAGAATGCACTGGAAAACCCATGTAACACACCTTCTGGAGTCCAGAAACCCCATGGAGTAGAGGGAGATTTCTCCAATGAGGGCGTAATCTGGGACCATCATGGCCACTGTCCGGAACAAGGCCTGGAAAAGAAACAACAAATCAGAATCGGAACACGTGCAGTGAATACTGAGGGAACGCACATTCACAGAAGCAAAGGGAAGTAGCTTTGCTTCATTCAGGCCACTCCAGTGACAATAAAGGCAAGAAGGACTGGGGGACAAGTGAGTGCAGATGGACCATCCTCGGTGGGCCAATGCATGGCTCAACCAACCTCCCCACTGGCCCTATGCGGGTACATGTTGTTACTTACATTGGGTCCCTCAATGGTTCTGTGGAAGGCCCTAGGTGCTGGTACACCTCATTCTCCTATGCCAAATGAGGACACCTCATAGCATCACTCAACTGTTGGAGCTTCCCAGTGTTCAACATGGACATCAGAAGTCATTTAGGAATGCAGAACCAATATGCATCAGAAGAATCCCAAAGCCAGACAGATTTTTTTTTTTTTTTTTTTTTTTTTTTTAAGACAGAGTCTCTGTCACCCAGGCTGGAGGGCAGTGGCACGATCTTGGCTCATTGCAACCTCCGCCTCCCAGGTTCAAGCGATTCTCGTGCCTCAGCCTCCCAAACACCTGGGGATTACAGGTGCCCAACACCAGGCCCAGCTAATTTTTATATTTCTAGTAGAGATGGGGTTTCATCATGTTGGCCAGGCTTGTCTTGAACTCCTGACCTCAGATGATCCAACAGCCTCAGCCTCCCAAAGTGTTCAGATTAAGGCGTGAGCTACCGCGCCCAGCCAGACAGATCTTGATTTGAGTTCTTGTTTTGCTACCGACTAGCATGGGCAAGTTATACAACCCTTGTAGATCTCTATTCTTTCATCTCAAAACAGACTAACTTTACCCTCTTCATAGAGTTATCATGAGAATAAATGATAGAATGCAACTGAAGTGCTTGCAAGAGTATGTGGCACATAGTAAGTGTTCAGTATGCACCAGCTATTGCATTATTATCTTAGATCTTAGAGGAGAAGTAACTTGCCTGAGTCACCCAGTTAGAGCTAGAGCCAGGGCTAGAATCTAGGCTTCCTGACACCATGCCTGGGTGCTTTCTACTATCCCATGGCATTGTGAAAGCTGCTTGTGACGATCTAATATGGCTGTTGGCTGGGATGGATGCAGGGGGTGCTTACAAATACTGGGCAGTAAAAAATGAGAAATGTGGCTGGGACTGGTGGCTCACACCTGTAATCCCAGTGCTTTGGGAGGCCGAGGCAGGCAAATTGCCTGAGGTCAGGAGTTTGAGACCAGCCTGGCCAACATGGTAAGACTCTATCTCTACTAAAAATACAAAAATTAGCTGGGCATGGTGGCGCATGGCTATAGTCCCAGCTACTCAGGAAGCTGAGGCAGGAGAATCACTTGAACCTGGGAGGCAGATGTGGCAGTGAGCCAAGATCATGCCACTGCATTCCAGCCTGGGGGACAGAATGAGACTCCATCTCAAAAAAAAAGAGAGAGAGAAATGTGGATCCAAATTCTATCTTGGCCTTCACTGGCCTATGTTGACCTAGATGGGAGGAGCCACTTGAAGCATCTCTCTGACTCTTTTCTCTTCTCAGAGAGAAGTGGTCCATCTGAGTAAGTTTCCAGGGCACCAGTCAGAATGCATTAGTAACAGGGGGTAGACCATGTCCTAAAGTCCGTGGATATGGGCGTAGCTGGGTCTCTCTTATCACTTCCACCCAAGGGGATGGAGGAATAAATTTACCCCCAGGTAGGTACCTCCAGAGGTTTCTTTTCTTTCGCTTTGTTTTTTTTGAGATGGAGTTTCACTCTTATCTCCTAGGCTGAGTGCAACGGCGCTATCTCCGGCCACCACAACCTCTGCCTCCCACATTCAACTGATTCTTCTGCCTTAGCCTCCTGAGCAGCTGAGTGGGATTACAGGTACATGCCACCATGCCCGGCTAATTTTTGTATTTTTAGTAGAGATGGGGTTTCACCACATTGGACAGGCTGATCTCGAGCTCCTGACCTCAGGTGATTTGCCCACCTTGGCCTCCCAAAGTGCTGGGATTATAGGTGTGAGCCGCCACACCCGGCCCAGAGGTTTCTATTCTAAAAAGCACACCCCACATGTATATCTGCTGGCATTTACCTTGAGATTGTCGGGCAGTTCAGCCCTGCCAGCATACCCGGGGTTCATGGTGATGAACACAGCGCAGGTTGGGTTCAGAGAGAGCTCAGTCCCTTCAAAGATGAATGTCTTTAGCTTCCGAATGATGGCTTGTTGGATGCTGAGGATCTGCTGAGCGACCACAGACAGCACTTCTACCTGGGGTGAGAATGCCCGGCTGATAAGAGCATCTGCTTCTGTCTGACAACCACCCTACTCTACCGGAGTCCTCCCACATAGCAAAGAAAGAACCCAATCACCCAAAAACCGCACCTGCACATTCAAAATTAGGAGCATGATTTGGGGTTTTGGTAAGAAAAAAGAATATAGGTTTGTGCATGTGTGCATGTGCGTGTGTGTGTGTGTTAATAGTTTCCATAGTACTTTATCTTTGTTTCAACACCTAGCATAGTACTTGACACACAGTAGGTATTCTGTGTTTATTGGTTCAAAGATCAGGGATTTTTATATTTCCTGATCTTTATTCATCATCCAAAGAGAATTATACACTCTTTTGTGATGCATCTTTTGTACTTCTACTATAGACTTTTAGCACGTTGGTATTTGTTTCATTAAATTTTTTATTTCCCTTTACTAGATCGCAACAGTCTAGACAGCAAGATCTTTTTTCTTTTTTTTAATTATTATACTTTAAGTTTTAGGGTACACGTGCACATTGTGCAGGTTACATATATATACATGTGCCATGCTGGTGCGCTGCACCCACTAACTCGTCATCTAGCATTAAGTATATCTCCCGATGCTATCCCTCCCCACTCCCACCACCCCACAACGGTCCCCAGAGTGTGATATTCCCCTTCCTGTGTCCATGTGATCTCACTGTTCAGTTCCCACCTATGAGTGAGAATATGCGGTGTTTGGTTTTTTGTTCTTGCGATAGTTTACTGAGAATGATGATTTCCAGTTTCATCCATGTACCTACAAAGGACATGAACTCATCATTTTTTATGGCTGCATAGTATTCCATGGTGCATATGTGCCACATTTTCTTAATCCAGTCTATCATTGTTGGACATTTGGGTTGGTTCCAAGTCTTTGCTATTGTGAATAATGCTGCAGTAAACATACGTGTGCATGTGTCTTTATAGCAGCATGATTTATAGTCATTTGGGTATATACCCAGTAATGGGATGGCTGGGTCAAATGGTATTTCCAGTTCTAGATCCCTGAGGAGTCGCCACACTGACTTCCACAATGGTTGAACTAGTTTACAGTCCCACCAACAGTGTAAAAGTGTTCCTATTTCTCCACATCCTCTCCAGCACCTGTTGTTTCCTGACTTTTTAATGATTGCCATTCTAACTGGTGTGAGATGGTATCTCATCGTGGTTTTGATTTGCATTTCTCTGATGGCCAGTGATGATGAGCATTTTTTCATGTGTTTTTTGGCTGCATAAATGTCTTCTTTTGAGAAGTGTCTGTTCATGTCCTTTGCCCACTTTTTGATGGGGTTGTTTGTTTTTTTCTTGTAAATTTGTTTGAGTTCATTGTAGATTCTGGATATTAGCCCTTTGTCAGATGAGTAGGTTGCAAAAATTTTCTCCCATTTTGTAGGTTGCCTGTTCACTCTGATGGTAGTTTCTTTTGCTGTGCAGAAGCTCTTTAGTTTAATTAGATCCCATTTGTCAATTTTGTCTTTTGTTGCCATTGCTTTTGGTGTTTTAGACATGAAGTCCTTGCCCATGCCTATGTCCTGAATGGTAATGCCTAGGTTTTCTTCTAGGGTTTTTATGGTTTTAGGTCTAACGTTTAAGTCTTTAATCCATCTTGAATTGATTTTTGTATAAGGTGTAAGGAAGGGATCAAGTTTCAGCTTTCTACATATGGCTAGCCAGTTTTCCCAGCACCATTTATTAAATAGGGAATCCTTTCCCCATTGCTTGTTTTTCTCAGGTTTGTCAAAGATCAGATAGTTGTAGATATGCGGCATTATTTCTGAGGGCTCTGTTCTGTTCCATTGATCTATATCTCTGTTTTGGTACCAGTACCATGCTGTTTTGGTTACTGTAGCCTTGTAGTATAGTTTGAAGTCAGGTAGGGTGATGCCTCCAGCTTTGTTCTTTTGGCTTAGGATTGACTTGGCGATGCGGGCTCTTTTTTGGTTCCATATGAACTTTAAAGTAGTTTTTTCCAATTCTGTGAAGAAAGTCATTGGTAGCTTGATGGGGATGGCATTGAATCTGTAAATTACCTTGGGCAGTATGGCCATTTTCATGATATTGATTCTTCCTACCCATGAGCATGGAATGTTCTTCCATTTGTTTGTGTCCTCTTTTATTTTGTTGAGCAGTGGTTTGTAGTTCTCCTTGAAGAGGTCCTTCACATCCCTTGTAAGTTGGATTCCTAGGTATTTTATTCTCTTTGAAGCAATTGTGAATGGGAGTTCACTCATGATTTGGCTCTCTGTTTGTCTGTTGTTGGTGTATAAGAATGCTTGTGATTTTTGTACATTGATTTTGTATCCTGAGACTTTGCTGAAGTTGCTTATCAGCTTAAGGAGATTTTGGGCTGAGACAATGGGGTTTTCTAGATATACAATCATGTCGTCTGCAAACAGGGACAATTTGACTTCCTCTTTTCCTAATTGAATACCCTTTATTTCCTTCTCCTGCCTAATTGCCCTGGCCAGAACTTCCAACACTATGTTGAATAGGAGTGGTGAGAGAGGGCATCCCTGTCTTGTGCCAGTTTTCAAAGGGAATGCTTCCAGTTTTTGCCCATTCAGTATGATACTGGCTGTGGGTTTGTCATAGATAGCTCTTATTATTTTGAAATACGTCCCATCAATACCTAATTTATTGAGAGTTTTTAGCATGAAGGGTTGTTGAATTTTGTCAAAGGCTTTTTCTGCATCTATTGAGATAATCATGTGGTTTTTGTCTTTGGCTCTGTTTATATGCTGGATTACATTTATTGATTTGCGGATATTGAACCAGCCTTGCATCCCAGGGATGAAGCCTACTTGATCAGGGTGGATAAGCTTTTTGATGTGCTGCTGGATTCGGTTTGCCAGTATTTTATTGAGGATTTTTGCATCGATGTTCATCAAGGATATTGGTCTAAAATTCTCTTTTTTTGTTGTGTCTCTGCCTGGCTTTGGTATCAGAATGATGCTGGCCTCATAAAATGAGTTAGGGAGGATTCCCTCTTTTTCTATTGATTGGAATGGTTTCAGAAGGAATGGTACCAGTTCCTCCTTGTACCTCTGGTAGAATTCGGCTGTGAATCCATCTGGTCCTGGACTCTTTTTGATTGGTAAGCTATTGATTATTGCCACAATTTCAGCTCCTGTTATTGGTCTATTCAGAGATTCAACTTCTTCCTGGTTTAGTCTTGGGAGAGTGTATGTGTCCAGGAATTTATCCATTTCTTCTAGATTTTCTAGTTTATTTGCGTAGAGGTGTTTGTAGTATTCCCTGATGGTAGTTTGTATTTCTGTGGGATCGGTGGTGATATCCCCTTTATCATTTTTTATTGTGTCTATTTGATTCTTCTCTCTTTTTTTCTTTATTAGTCTTGCTAGCAGTCTATCAATTTTGTTGATCCTTTCAAAAAACCAGCTCCTGGATTCATTAATTTTTTGAAGGGTTTTTTGTGTCTCTATTTCCTTCAGTTCTGCTCTGATTTTAGTTATTTCTTGCCTTCTGCTAGCTTTCGAATGTGTTTGCTCTTGCTTTTCTAGTTCTTTTAATTGTGAAGTTAGGGTGTCAATTTTGGATCTTTCCTGCTTTCTCTTGTGGGCATTTAGTGCTATAAATTTCCCTCTACACACTGCTTTGAATGCGTCCCAGAGATTCTGGTATGTTGTGTCTTTGTTCTCGTTGGTTTCAAAGAACATCTTTATTTCTGCCTTCATTTCGTTATGTACCCAGTAGTCATTCAGGAGCAGGTTGTTCAGTTTCCATGTAGTTGAGCGGTTTTGAGTGAGATTCTTAATCCTGAGTTCTAATTTGATTGCCCTGTGGTCTGAGAGATAGTTTGTTATAATTTCTGTTCTTTTACATTTGCTGAGGAGAGCTTTACTTCCCAGTATGTGGTCAATTTTGGAATAGGTGTGGTGTGGTGCTGAAAAAAATGTATATTCTGTTGATTTGGGGTGGAGAGTTCTGTAGATGTCTATTAGGTCCGCTTGGTGCAGAGCTGAGTTCAATTCCTGGGTATCCTTGTTGACTTTCTGTCTCATTGATCTGTCTAATGTTGACAGTGGGGTGTTAAAGTCTCCCATTATTAATGTGTGGGAGTCTAAGTCTCTTTGTAGGTCACTCAGGACTTGCTTTATGAATCTTGGTGCTCCTGTATTGGGTGCAAATATATTTAGGATAGTTAGCTCTTCTTGTTGAATTGATCCCTTTACCATTATGTAATGGCCTTCTTTGTCTCTTTTGATCTTTGTTGGTTTAAAGTCTGTTTTATCAGAGACTAGGATTGCAACCCCTGCCTTTTTTTGTTTTTCATTGGCTTGGTAGATCTTCCTCCATCCTTTTATTTTGAGCCTATGTGTGTCTCTGCATGTGAGATGGGTTTCCTGAATACAGCACACTGATGGGTCTTGACTCTTTATCCAATTTTCCAGTCTGTGTCTTTTAATTGGAGCATTTAGTCCATTTACATTTAAAGTTAATGTTGTTATGTGTGAATTTGATCCTGTCATGATGATGTTAGCTGGTTATTTTGCTCGTTAGTTGATGCAGTTTCTTCCTAGTCTCGATGGTCTTTACATTTTGGCATGATTTCGCAGCGGCTGGTACCGGTTGTTCCTTTCCATGTTTAGTGCTTCCTTCAGGAGCTCTTGTAAGGCAGGCCTGGTGGTGACAAAATTTCTCAGCATTTGCTTGTCTGTAAAGTATTTTATTTCTCCTTCACTTATGAAGCTTAGTTTGGCTGGATATGAAATTCTGGGTTGAAAATTCTTTTCTTTAAGAATGTTGAATATTGGCCCCCACTCTCTTCTGGCTTGTAGGGTTTCTGCAGAGAGATCCGCTGTTACTCTGACGCGCTTCCCTTTGAGGGTAACCCGACCTTTCTCTCTGGCTGCCCTTAACATTTTTTCCTTCATTTCAACTTTGGTGAATCTGACAATTATGTGTCTTGGAGTTGCTCTTCTCGAGGAGTATCTTTGTGGCATTCTCTGTATTTCCTGAATCTGAACGTTGGCCTGCCTTGCTAGATTGGGGAAGTTCTCCTGGATAATATCCTGCAGAGTGTTTTCCAACTTGGTTCCATTCTCCCCATCACTTTCAGGTACACCAATCAGACGTAGATTTGGTCTTTTCACATAGTCCCATATTTCTTGGAGGCTTTGCTCATTTCTTTTTATTCTTTTTTCTCTAGACTTCCCTTCTCGCTTCATTTCATTCATTTCATCTTCCATCGCTGATACCCTTTCTTCCAGTTGATCGCACCGGCTCCTGAGGCTTCTGCATTCTTCACGTAGTTCTCTAGCCTTGGTTTTCAGCTCCATCAGCTCCTTTAAGCACTTCTCTGTATTGGTTATTCTAGTTATACATTCTTCTAAATTTTTTTCAAAGTTTTCAACTTCTTTGCCTTTGGTTTGAATGTCCTCCCATAGCTCAGAGTAATTTGATCGTCTGAAGCCTTCTTCTCTCAGCTCGTCAAAGCCATTCTCCATCCAGCTTTGTTCCGTTGCTGGTGAGGAACTGCGTTCCTTTGGAGGAGGAGAGGTGCTCTGCTTTTTAGAGTTTCCAGTTTTTCTGTTCTGTTTTTTCCCCATCTTTGTGGTTTTATCTACTTTTGGTCTTTGATGATGGTGATGTACAGATGGGTTTTTGGTGTGGATGTCCTTTCTGTTTGTTAGTTTTCCTTCTAACAGAGAGGACCCTCAGCTGCAGGTCTGTTGGAGTACCCTGCCGTGTGAGGTGTCAGTGTGCCCCTGCTGGGGGGTGCCTCCCAGTTAGGCTGCTCGGGGGTCAGGGGTCAGGGACCCACTTGAGGAAGCAGTCTGCCCGTTCTCAGATCTCCAGCTGCTTGCTGTGAGAACCACTCCTCTCTTCAAAGCTGTCAGACAGGGACATTTAAGTCTGCAGAGGTTACTGCTGTCTTTTTGTTTGTCTGTGCCCTGCCCCCAGAGGTGGAGCCTGCAGAGGCAGGCAGGCCTCCTTGAGCTGTGGTGGGCTCCACCCAGTTCGAGCTTCCAGGCTGCTTTGTTTACCTAATCAAGCCTGGGCAATGGCGGGCGCCCCTCCCCCAGCCAGGCTGCCGTCTTGCAGTTTGATCTCAGACTGCTGTGCTAGCAATCAGCGAGACTCCGTGGGCGTAGGACCCTCCGAGCCAGGTGCAGGATATAATCTCGTGGTGCCCCGTTTTTTAAGCCCATCAGAAAAGCGCAGTATTCGGGTGGGAGTGACCCGATTTTCCAGGTGCCGTCTGTCACCCCTTTCTTTGACTCAGAAAGGGAACTCCCTGACCCCTTGCGCTTCCCAGGTGAGGCAATGCCTCGCCCTGCTTCGGCTGGCGCACGGTGCACGCACCCACTGACCTGCGCCCACTGTCTGGCACTCCCGAGTGAGATGAACCCGGTACCTCAGATGGAAATGCAGAAATCACCCGTCTTCTTCGTCGCTCACGCTGGGAGCTGTAGACCGGAGCTGTTCCTATTCGGCCATCTTGGCTCCTCCCTCCTTTTTTTTTTTTTTAAACAGAGTTTCACTCCCAGCCTGGAGTGCAATGGTTAGATCTTGGCTCATTGCAACCTCCGCCTCCCAGGTTCAAGCCATTCTCCTGCTTCAGCCTCCCGAGTAGCTGGGGTTACAGGCACTCACCACCATGCCCAGCTGATTTTTATATTTTTAGTAGAGACAGGGTTTCACCATGTTGGCCAGGCTGGTCTTGAACTCCTGACCTCAGATGATCCACCTGCCTTGGCCTCCCAAAGTGCTGAAATAACAGGTGTGAGCCACCGCGCTCAGCCAAGACTTTTTTTTTTTTTAAGAGACAAAGTCTCACTCTCACCCAGGCTGGAATGCAGTGGCGGCATCAAAGCTCACTTCAGCCTCGAACTCCTGGGCTCAAGCAATCCTCCTGCCTCAGCCTCTTGAATAGCTGAGGCTATTTTATTTTTGTAGAGACAGGGTCTCAACTGTGTTGCCCAGGCTGGTCTCAGACTCCTGGGCTCAAGTGATCCTCCCACCTTGGCCTCCCAAAGTGTCAGGATTACAGGTGTGAGCCTCTGTGCCTGGCTATACAACCATTTCATGCTCATCTCTGTTGCATGAACTTATGCAGAATCTCTGATGTATAGTAGCTGCTCAGTAGCTACTATGGGCAAGTGAATGAATTAATATGATGGGGAGATGGGGCTATGTGTATAAAACATGCATCTGTCTCCTTGAGAGTCCTTTTGTTTAGTTCACTGAGTACCTGCTTTGGAGGTTCTTGTGTCTGCCATACAAGAGATATAAGGCCCTGTTATTAAGGGGTGCAGAGCCAAGAAAAAAGCCCCTCCATGCACAGCTTCTTTGTTCTGCAGCCTAGAGGCAGAGTTACCTCGATCCTGTTGAACTCATCAAAGCACGCCCATGCTCCAGCCTGTGCCAGCCCCTTGAAGAACTTCCCCATAGCTTTGTAATCCAAACCATCGGAGCAGTTGAAGACCACACACTAGAAAGAGGGAGGATGTGGGTATCATTCAGGGTGGATTCCATCCCATCTGAATTACCCCGCACCATTCAACAGCAGTGGGCTCCTCTCTCCTTGCTCTGCTTGAAGGAGCTGGGGCCCATGCTGCCTGTTAATGCTAAACCATCTTAAAGTTGATGCCTACTTCCCACAGGAGGGGTGCAGAGAGGGCCTGGAAGAGAGGGAGGGGATAGATGGCATTTGCTTACCTGCTTAGCCAAGGCTTTGGCCAAATCTTTGGTGGTTTCTGTCTTGCCAGTCCCAGCTGGACCCTCTGGAGCACCCCCAAGGTTCAGCTTCAAAGCTCCCATCAGTGTCCTATGGGGAAGAAAATAGAACTTCAGTGCTTGAGGTCTAAGACACAGGAAAGAAACCGGCTTTTCATTTATTTTGACTCATACAAATATTTAGGTTAGTGCAAAAGTGATTGCAGTTTTTGCCATTGAAAGTAATGCTAAAAGCCGCGATGACTTTTGCACCAACCAAATAGTTAAAATTTTTCCCAATTATATGAGCAATACAATATCACTGTATTTTACTCGGCATTGTAACCTCAGAGCCCAGCACAGTGTCCAGCACATGAGTGGCACCCATGAATATTTGTTTGAATGAATAAATGAATACATGCATACCTATATAAATGAATCAAATAAAAGTGAGAATACTCATAAACTCTACATTCCAAAGATCACCAGTGCTAATGGAATGGTTAAAATATATTTCTCCAACTAGATTATGAATTCTTTTTTTTCTTTTGAGACAGGTTCTCACTCTGTCGCCCAGGCTGGAGTGCAGAGGCATGGTCACAGCTCACTGCAGCCTTGACCTCCTGGGCCCAAGTGATACTCCCATCTCAGCCTCCCAAGTAGCTGGGACTTACAGGCACACACCACCACACCCAGTTAATTTTCATATTTTTTGTAGAGATGGGATTTTGCCATGTTGCCCAAGCGGGTTGGTCTCAAACTTCTGGGATCAAGTGATCCACCCACCTTGGCCTTCCAAAGTGCTGAGACTACAGGCGTGAGCCACCATGCCCAGCTAGATTATGAACTCTAAAGTTCAGGAATCATATTTGATTCCATTTCATAACCTCAGTAAATTAATACAGCTCCTGGCATGTAATAGGTGCAAGATAAATGTTAGAAATGAATGATGTAATAACTGTGGTTCCATGGCCCATGGTATGAGTTTCTATGTTTTCATTTAGCACTCTATCTTGTAATCATTTGAATATGTCTCTCCCGACCCCCCAGTTAGATTTAGGGTTTCTTGAGGTCATGCATGGTGCACAGGAAACCTCAAAAAATGGTTGTTGAATAATAAGTGGAATAAATAAATGAATGAAGAGCAAAAATCATAGACCATAAAAAACAAGTGGTTGAGGATTTTGAAGGGAGAAAATACTCCCAAGTATTAGTTTTACAATCTAAAAAACTCTCACTGTAAGGAAATATATAAAAGCAAAGAACATCTAAACATCACAAAACCGACAAGTTCACAAAATCCCGATCTCAAAGGCTGAGTTCCACAGAAAATGTCAGAGGACTTTGCTGAGCACAGAATGGCCAGCTTTTTTCATGAGACTGGCTGGCAGAGCATAGAGACCCCTTGGCTACGTTCTTGACCTCACTTCTTGTCTATCTTATGGCCATAGGATCTCCAGGCACCATCTTGATTCCTGCCATTGGAGAGCCCTCTACGTTAAGTCCTGTGTCATGTTCACGGATGTGCACCAATATTCCACTTGTTGGTTCAAATACATTGATTTGCACTAGAATTCCTACTGGGTTCTCATGTCTAGCCTGAAGACCTAGTTTGCATGCCCATCTTTGGGACTATGGAGAATCTAATAATCTGAAGTGTGAAGGGTAAAGGTAACCCAAGACATCCCTAACTTTCCTCCCCAGAGTCTTCTTCCCCTGGAGTTCTCCGTTCACCCCTCAGATCTAGGAGCTCCAGAGTGTACCTGTAGCAGCGGTCGGTGAGGGGTGTGATCACCAGCCGGGGGGAGTTTCCCAGGTACTCATAGCCATACAAGGCTTCTGTGGTGATAATCTGCACCTGCACATCCTTGGCCACCCAGTAGTAGCGCAGCTGTGAGATCCATTGGAAATCATTCAGATCGGAGACCCTGTCCTCAGATAACTTGGCCACCACGTCGCGGGCTGTTGGGACACAGATGCAGAAACACGCACACAGAGCCATCAGAACTCTCCATCTTTGTAAGCTCCTCAGTTACAAGTGGATGTTATCAAGGTCCCCCATTCTCCAAACTATTTTATTTTATTTTATTTTATTTATTTTTTGCGATGGAGTCTCGCTCTGTCCCCCATTCTGGAGTGCAATGGCGCGATCTCGGCTCATTGCAACCTCTGCCTCCTGGGTTCAAGCGATTCTCCTGCCTCAGCCTCCCAAATAGCTGGGATTATAGGCGCACGCCACCACACCTGGCTAATTTTTGTATTTTTAGTAGAGATGGGGTTTCAACATGTTGGCCAGGCTGGTCTCCAACTTCTAACCTCAAGTGATCCGCCTGCCTCGGCCTCCCAAAGTGCTGAGATTACAGGCGTGAGCCACCGTGCCCAGCCCAAACAATTTTAGATTTCACAAGCCTCCTTGCCCACCCCCAACCTGCAGGCAGCAATATCTGTTAGAAGCTGGTCTTTGCTTTCTCCCAAAGCCAGGCAGAGAATCTGCTGCACTATCTTCTCTCAGACAGCACGGCAGAGGTATTAAAAGGTGCGTGCTCTGAAATCAGACTGGCTGCGTTCAAATTCTGATTCCACCATGACCTAGCTATGTGACTTTGGGTAAGTTCCTTGACCTCTCTGTTCTTCAGTTGTGTAATCTGTAAAATAGGGATAACATAGTACCTACATTATAGAGTTATCATGAGGATTAAATGAATATATAGGTACATACATACATATCTACAGCTAGACACAATAGAGAGAGAAAGAGAGCTGTCCTTGGCATATGAAAATGTTATACAGGTATTAGCTATTGTTATCATCCCCAAATTCTTGGAAGTCTGAGCCAGAGAGCTTTGCAATGCATAGTGACTCCAAATTCCATCCTATTTCCAGTATAACCCTTTTGGTCCCATTTCAGGCCCCTAGGATATCCTAGGAGAATGCAATCAGCGTGGCCTTATATAGCAGGGGAAGGAAGCCCGAGAATCCATGGTTAGATGTATCCTTTCCATCTGGGGGCCTGAGAAACCAGCTGGGAGATACATTTCTAGCTCTTCTTTTTTCTCTCATGGGAACGTAAGCCCTGATTTAATTTTATCCAAGTGACAGGGGCCTTGAAGTTGAAGAGTGGATCTAGGCTGATGAGAATCATTCATTACGTTTTTGGTAACTCAGGTGGAGAGCTATGGAGATCTCAGAGCTAGTACAGCCGACTCAAAATTAGGACCTCAGAAACGTCACTTTTCAAAGGGTTGCTTCCATTGAGCCTTTCCTTCCTCTCTGTGACAGAGTCTTCTTTATTACAGTAAAATAAAAAACCCTGCAGGGAAGAGTCCTTGAAGAAGATTATATCCACAGCTTTTTCTTCCTTCCCAAGGAATTTAATTCCCCTCCTGGCTCTTGGGTGAATATATAGGGGAACCACCTGATACATTCTCCCAAGGAAGAGGGTATAGGGCAGGAGTATGGTATGCCTGAGGGATCCAAGAGGAAAGCGAATTTCAAGGGTTTGAGTTGGGGATGCCTTCGCTATACAGTGTGTGTATGTGCACTTGCATGTGTGTGTGTATGTGCCATTGTGTACATGTGTGCATACATGCATGCTTGTGTTTGTGAACCCAACCACACTGGGGTACCCTGGGCAGTATAACCACATCTGCACCAATTATTCCTAACAGCTGAGTATGTGGCCGTGTGAAGAGCACATTTTCCCTTCTCCCTCCCTGATGTTATGCTGGTCTACCTAATGAAATCAGATTGAAGTGAGCATTAACCTGAGGGGAGTGAGATGCCATGAAATGCCAGGAGGGAGCTGGGAGTGTGAGCAAGAGACTCTGTTCCCAAGCAACCAGCCTGGTCCAGCCCTAGTTTCCTTGGTGATGGAGTGAGGGTGTGGGGGTGGTTTGTTTTATATAAAGACCCCAGTTTTTCCTCCTCCTCCTCCTCCTCCTCTTCCTCCTCCTCTTCTTTTTAAAGGAGGAGCTGGAAGGCATCCTCTCTCACCACCCACTGCTTGCAACATTGCCCATTTCCAGTCCCTTAGGCTTGGAAGCAGACAGACATAGGCGATTCTGTTGCTTACTATTATAGCTGTATGCCTCTCAGCAAGTTAGTTACCTCTCTAAGCCCCAGGTTCTGAATCTGTGAAATATCTATGAAAATGAGATAATGTATGTCAATCACTTAGCACAAAGCCTGGCACCTAGCAAGCATTCAAAAATATTATCTACGGCTAGCCAAGGAAATGATTCCACGTTGGTGAAGCTCAGAAATGACTTTGGCCATCATTGTCTCAGTACAAGCCCTGCTTGGAGGGTCCCTGGAAATCAGGTTGCGGATGGGAGAGGAAACACAGGTGGAGGGATGCAGAGCCCTTTGGCTCTCATCTTACTCTCAGTTGGAGAAAGCTCTCCCTAATGAGGAAGGAAACCCTGAATTATTCCGTCCAGGAGAACTGAGATGAGCAAGACTAGACTGCTTCTCCTGGATAGTCAGTAATGACAGGGGAAGCCCCCTGGCTTACCGTGGACATCGATGACCGTGAGGGCCCCGAGAGTGAGTCGAGCTCCACTGCTCAGCTTCCCTCGCACCAGCTGGACAATCTGCGCAATCTGATCATTGCTCTTTTTCAGAAAATCCTGGAAGGGGCAGAGGAGGGGACAACTGGTTACATTTGACTCTCCTCTGGTAATCCCCATGTCAAGAAATGGTACCATGGACCACCGGATGGCTCAAGCCAGACTCCTGGGTGTCATCCCTCAAGTCCAACTTTTCCTTACCCCAGTCCTTAATCTCTGAATGAATTCCTAATGCATTATGCTGAAAGAGGCAAGATTTGGAAGGTTTCATACTGCATGATTTTATTTTTATAGTATTGTGGAAAAGGCAAAATTATAGGAGTGAGCAGAAAATACCTTGGTAATTACTGGAGGCTTGGAGTAGAGAATGCAACTGACTACAAAGGGCCTGAGGACATTTTTTTTGGGTGGTGTGGAACTGTCCTATATATTGATTGTGATGGCCTACACAAATGCATGTGTTTATCAAAACTGAGAACCGTATGCTAAAAAAGGTGAATTTCACTGTATATACCATAAATCAGAATTAACCTCCCAAACTGGAAACTTTTTCACATTAAAGAGACAAAGGAGCTATAAAAACAAAATGCAACATGTAATCCTAGATTGCATCCTGGACCAGAAAAAAAAAAAAAGACAGTAGGGCAATTGGCTAATTTTATTTATTTATTTATTTATTTTGAGACAGAGCCTGACTCAGCCTCCCAAATAGCTAGGACTACAGGTGTGCACCACCACACTCAGCTAATCTTTGTATGTTTAGTAGAGATGGGGTTTTGCCATGTTGGCCAGGCTGGTCTCAAACTCCTGACCTCAAGTGATTCACCCACCTTGGCCTCCCAAAGTGCTGGGAATACAGGCATGAGCCACCACGCCCGGCCTGTCATTTCTTTTTCAAGATGACAAAATTTAAATTAGCCAATTTAGAAAGGTCTATAGAGTAGAGAATAAAATCGTATCAGTGTTGATTTCCTGATTTGGATAACTGTACTATGGTTGTCTAAGATGTTAATATATGAGGAATCTGGATGAAAGATATATGGAAATTCTTTGTATTATATCTTTGTATTATATTTTCAGCATTATTTATAAGTTTCATGTTATTTCAAATTAAAGAGGCAAAAAATAAAATAAAAAGAAAACTTAAAAAGGAAAAAAAGTAAGACCACCCTAGGTTAAAATCCTACCTTCCCTACTTTCTAGCTATGTGGCTCTTGGCAAATGATTTTATGCTTCTGAGTCTCAGTCTCCTGGTGTGTGTCAAATGCAGATTTTTTTTTTTTTTTTTTGAGATGGGGTCTTGCTCTGTCACCTAGGCAGGAGTGCACAGGCACAAACATGGCTCACTGAAACCTCGACCTCCTGAGCTCAAGCAATCCTCCCACCTCAGCCGCCTGAGTAGCTGGGACCACAAGCACACACCATCACTCCTGGCTAACTATTTGTAGAGATGGGGTCTCACTGTGTTGCCCAGGCTGGTCTTGAACTCCTGGCCTCAAGCAATCCTCCCGCCTTGGCCTCCCAAACTATTGGGATTACAGGCATGAGCCACCGTATCCTGCCCTGAATCTAGATGATTATAGCTGCCTCTTCAAGCTGTGTTGAGGATTAAATGAGGTAGTGTATGTGGTGTTGGGGCTTCTCCCCACATCTCTCCTACCCACACCCATTGCTCAGCTATTATAGACCGAAGTGTCTTCCTGCTGGAATACACCATGCTGTTCATCTTCAGGCTTTTGCATACTCCAGTTCTTCTCTCTGGAACACTCTCCCTCCTATTTTCTGCTCAGCTAATCCCTACTTATATTTCAGGTCTTTTCTTAGACACCACTTTTCTGGGAAATCTTCCCCAATCCTAACTTCCCTCCCCTCACTCTCTTACTCTTTCCTTCCTTCTTTTTTCCTCCCTCCCTCCCTCCCTCTCTCCCTTCCTTCCTTCCTTCTTTAAACCCTCCCTCCCTCCCTGCCTCCCTCCCTTCCCATACTTACTGGATGTCTGTTCTTTCCTTATCACAGTTCTGTAAAAGAGCCTTTTTCTCTCTCCCACTAGACTATAAATCCATGAGGAGAGGGACTATGTCTGTCTCATTCACATCTAATTACCTTCGTTAGCAGCAGTACCAGCACAGAGCAGATGCCAAATCAATATTTGTTAAATGAACAATAAATGGTTGGAGGAAGGGAAGGATGATTATTCTGTGTCAACACCTGCTTCCTTTAGGATACGGAGACACATCACACAGCATGCATGCACACCAGGGCCTGGATGTATGACGGGAAACATTCTCCCTAACTATGGGTGGGAAAACTGGGGCACATGAATCCACCTCCATCACAAAAAGTCAGAGATACCATCACAAAAGTCAGAGGATTTTAGTTTCTAAAGTTTGAAATGATGTACGTGAAAGCAGTTTGCATGTGTACAGTGCAATATGTCTATTAGGATTTATCAATATGGAATCTGTATAAGTTTAAACACTGGCCAAATATTAATGTTCTAATTTCAATTTATACAGCAAAATATAGGAAATTAAAACATATTCTAATCCACAGCCAATCCTCTAAGAGGAGTAACAGGAGGTCTGGTGAGATATTCATGGAGAATCAAACCATGGAAGAAAGGCTGAGTATGAAGTTTTCATTCATCCATTTAACAAATATTTGGTCAGGCATGGTGGCTCCCAGCACTTTGGGAGGCTGAGGCAAGGAGGATTGCTTGAGGCCAGGAGTTCGAGACCACCCTGGCCAACATAGTGAGACCCCCGTCTCTAGTTTAAAAAATAGAAAAAGTTTAAAAACAAACAAACAAATCCCCAAATATTTATTGATCATCTACTCTGTGCTGGGCACTGTATTAACCCCTGGAAATATAATAGTGAGCAGAGCAGACATAGCTTCTTCCCCGTAGGGTTTACAGCCTCGTGTCTAAGTACCGAATCATTTACTGGCATCTCATTTAACCCTCCCACAATATTATGATGTGTTGTGACAATTCCTTGCATGTTACAGACAAGGAGCTTGAGAGTCGGGTTAAGTTGCTCATGGTCACGCAGCTAACAAGAGACAGTGTCAGGATTTGAACTCAAGTCCATCAGGTCTTAACAGTCAAGCATTGGCATCATTTGGCTGGGAATATGTGTATTTGGATCTGAGGATAAACAGATGCTTGAGTATACTTGGTCACAAGAGAAAGCTGAAGGCAGGACGGGAGGTGGGTTCATTCGGGAGGGAGTAGGGGTGATGAGAAGGAGGCTGTAAAGGAGAAGGAGAGGCAGATGGTGGCCCCTTGGCTTAGGAAGAATATAGGAGGTCTCCCCTGGTGGAAATTCTGCCAGGTTAGCCCCCAGAAGCCAAGGGTATAAGACTTAGAATCCTGCAGTCCAGAATTTCTGTCTGGGAAGGACTATGAGAGGTCTCGTACCATAGAATTGCAGGACAGCTCGAATCCCAAATTCTCCATCCCACTGTCCTCATGGGAACCCTGATGTCTGTGATGCTGAGACCAAATGATTTTTGTTTAGACAACAAAACATGGCTACTCTAATTATACGTCATTCAAATCCTAATTGATGCTTGGATCTCTTCTGTAACTTTGCAGCAAGTTCACTTACCAGTAAGGTATTTTCCGCCAGGGCTTGGGACACCTCCTGGGTCCAAAAGATGGAGGAGACACAGATAACCACCTGTCCAGGCCACTGTAAGACCCAGTGATTTCGAGGGACCTGGAAAAGCACAGTGGGCATGTTATAGGATCAGTTCACGTGTGGTTTAAACTGAGTTTACGAAAACATGCCCCAACCACCTCACCACCGCAACAAAAACAAAATCTTCCCCCATCCTCAGACGCTACAAGGCTTGACATCTCTGGAATTACTGATTTATGTCTTCCTTTCTGAGTTTTATGAAAAAGAAAAAGAAAAAACACCAATCATCTCATCAACTTTGCATTTTTTCCATGCTCCCATTTATCAAATTTTTCCATAGTTATAATCAAGGTGATGTTCAGAGAGTTCTCATAACTACTGTTTTTTAATGGCTACATAATATTGCAGTGCTGAGTCACAATTTTTTTAGCTGTTTCTCCACCCCACAATTCTTTCCCTCAAGCTACAGATCAGGAGCGGGCAAACTATGTATATAAATTTTTTCATAAATAAAGTTGTATTGAAATACAGCCGCAGCATACAAAAGAATGAGTTCATGTCCTTTGCAGGGACGTGGATGAAGCTGGAAGCCATCATTCTCAGCAAACTAACACGGGAACAGAAAACCAAACACTGCATGTTCTCACTCATAAGTGGGAGTTGAACAATGAGAACACATGGACACAAGGAGGAGAACATCACACACTGGGGCCTGTTAGGAGGTGGGGGGCAAGGAGAGGGAGAACATTAGGACAAATACCTAATGCATGCGGGGCTTAAAACCTATACGATGGGTTGATAGGTGCAGCAAACCACCATGGTACATGTATACCTATGTAACAGACCTGCATGTTCTGCACATGTATCCCAGAACTTAAAGTAAAATAAAATAAAATTTAAAAAAATTTAAAAAAAAGAAATACAGCCATGCCCATCATTTAAATATTGTCTGATGCTTTTGTGCCACAAGGGCAAAGCTACAGTACCCATTTACTATACATATGTGTCTTATAACATTATGTTGTATACCTTAAATATATGCAATAAAATTTATTTTAAAAAATAGTTGCATTGGGAATGTGGCCTGCAGAGTTGAAAATATTTACTATCTGGCTCTTTACAGAAAAAGTTTGATCTGAGGATAAAATTTGATAGATTTGATTTGGATGAAATAATTTCATACTGGTAACTGCTTTTCTTTAATTTTTGATTCAGAGCATGTCATAGGAAAAGGGACTGGTCTTTCATTTTACAATGCAAATACTGTGTCAAGGGACAGCAGGGTCAGTCCCCAGGACTTTAGTGTGAGGGTGTTGAGTATTGCTTTGTTCTGTGGGTGCTGGGAATAAGAAAGTAAGAAAGTTAGAGTCAGTCAGCCGGGCACAGTGGCTCATGCCTGTAATCCCAGCACTTTGGGAGACCGAGGCAAGTGGATCATTTGAGGTCAGGAGTTCGAGACCAGCCTGGCCAACATGGTGAAACCACATCTCTACGAAAAATACAAAAATTAGCCAGGTGTGGTGGTGGTTGCCTGTAGTCCTAGCTACTTGGGAGGCTGAGGCAGGAGAATCGCTTGAACCCAGGAGGTGGAGGTTGCAGTGAGCCAAGATCGTACCACTGCATTTCAGCCCTGGGAGACAGAGTGAGACTCCATCTCAAAAAAAAAAAAAAAGAAGAAAGAGAGCTAGAGTCGCTCAACGTGAATGTGACTACAGGCTGGGTACCAAGTTATTCTGATAGATTCTTTTGTCTTAAGCCTTACGTCATACCTATTTCCCTTTAAGCTTTGGGAACACAATGAGTTATGCCACTCAGGGCATCTGTAAGGTAAATGAATTATTAATTGGAAGGGACTCTAAATAGACTTCGTGCCATTAATCCCATTTGACAAAAAGGACTGGTCCGTGGCAACCAGAGGGTTCCAGCTAACCCTCTTCTCTTGCATCACCTGCTTCTAACTGCCAGTATTTCACCAGGAATAGGTTCATTGCCCCAGGGTTCACAAGTGAAGGAAAGAGAGGTGCAGAGGGACAGGTTTTGGTAGAAAGCAGAGGGTCCAGCCAAACTACTGACACATGAACCTTCTCCCCAATGTTCTCTTTAGTGCACTAGTGTCCTGGCATGTGTACCCCGGTTCTTGTTTACCTTGACATATGCTTCAATCCCAAGTCCAATGACTTCTCGCATACTGGCCAGCATCATCTGCTCCACCTGCTGGAGCCACTTTTCCACCATGCCCTATGGAGCAAGACAGAGAGAGGGTGCAGCAGTCAACCAAAGCCCAGAGGGAGGGAGAGTGGGCAGAACACAGCTTTCTCTCTGGACACGGCTGGAGGGATGCCAAAGGCTTGGCACCTTTTCAAGTCAATATTCTCTGTCTCCCCGTTCTTTTTTTCTTTTTTTTTTTCTTTTTTTTTTTTTTTTTGATACAGAGTCTCGCTCTGTCACCAGGCTGGAGTGCACTGTCATGATCTTGGCTCACTGCAACCTCCGACTCCCTGGTTCAAGCGATTCTCCTGCCTCAGCCTCCCGAGTAGCTGGGATTACAGGCGTGCACCACCACCGCGGCTGATGAATTTTGTATTTTTAGTAGAGACGGGGTTTCACCATGTTGGCCAGGATGGTCTTGACCTCCTGACCTCGTGATCTGCCCACCTCGGCCTCCAAAGTGCTGGGATTACAGGTGTGAACCACTGCGCCTGGTCTCTTCTTTTTTTTTTTTTTTTTTTTATAGAGAGAGACAGGGCCTTGCTCTGTCATCCAGACTGGAGTGCGGTGGCACGATCCTGGCTCACTGCAGCCTTGAACTCCTGGGCCCAAGTGACTCTCCTGACTCAGCCTCCTGAGTAACTGGGACTACAGGCACATGCCACCATGCCCGGCTAACTTTTAAATTTTTCTGTAGAGCCGTGGTCTCTCTATGTTGCCCAGGCTGGTCTTGATTTCCTGGCCTCAAGAGATCCTCCTGCCTCAGCCTCCCAAAGTGCTGGGATTACAGGTGTGAGCCATGGCACCTGGCCTTGGCCCCAGCCAATATTCCAATATTCTTTATCTGCTTGACACTTATTTTCTGTATTCTCAGAAGCATATGCCTTCTAAAGGGGCGATAGGCCTTTTTTTTTTTTTTTTTTTTGAGACGGAGTTTCACTCTTGTCACCCAAGGCTGGAGTGCAATGGTGTGATCTCGGCTCATTGCAACTTCCGCCTCCTGGGTTCAAGCGATTCTCCTGCCTCAGCCTCCCAAGTCGCTGGGATTACAGCATGTGCCACTACACCTGGCTTTTTAGTAGAGACAGGGTTTCGCCATGTTGGCCAGGCTGGTCTCAAACTCCTGACCTTAGGTGATCCACCCGCCTCGGCCTCCCAAAGTGCTGGGATTACAGGTGCAAGCCACCACGCCCGGCCCATTTTTAATACGCATTACTTTCATGTCATTTTCTGAAACAGACAACTTCTCAGAAGGCAAATGAAACATTTATGTCAGTTCATAAAATAAATTGCATCTTTTAAATGAACAGCTCTGATTCATGCATTATTCCAGTGGGTCTCAAACTTTGCTGTTCCTTGAAATCACTTGGAGATCTTTTAAAAAATACTGATGACTGACTCCCACCCCTAGACTTCCTGATTTAATTGGTATGGGATGCAACCTGGTCATTTGGATTTTGATCAAAACTCCATAGGGAAATTCAAATATGCCCCAAATTATTCAGTGTTAGAATTTCAGGTAACTGTAGCTATTGACTTCAGGTGCTTGTAAGCTAGCTGGTGTCTGCATTGGTAATGTGACTCCTGGTTGCTGCAGTTTATACGCGTGGGTGGCAAAAACAGTCAACAAAGCAAGGCTCAGCTTGCTTGTCTATTTCCACTTGAGGGTGCTGTCACTGAGCAGAAATGGAAGTAATTTATACTTTACTCATTATATAAGGACATATGTATGAAAACCTGAGTTAAGTTGCATTATAGCTCTCATTGATTCTATGATGTTTTATTGATCTTTAAAATGAATGCCCCAGGAAGCTACCTGTCTAACTGAATCACTTTCAACTGAACTCTGCACATGGAAATCTAAACAGCATCGGCTGTTTGGATCTGATTCCTGCAATTGACTCCACATCGAGTTGGGTTAAAATCCACAAATTTAATATGTCATGTGGATTGCAGTGGAATCCCCATCTTAGAGATGGGTACACTGAGACTCAGAAAGATTGAGTAACTTCCCCAAATCTTCAGTCGTTACATCGTAGAACCCAAGTGTTCCATACCCCAGGCAGTCTGGTGCTTAGTCCCAGTGCTTAGCCAATACGCTCTCTGATTTACTCTGTTATGGAGAAAAGAACCAAAAATGGGTAAGAGGAGTTACCTTGGCATTAGCTGGGTAGATTTTCTGTATGAATGGAACAGTTTCTTTTTCCGAGCTGATCATGCCCACAATTTCCAGATTGTCTGTAAACTCAAGCTTGGCAATTCCTTCAAAGCACTTCTTCAAGTGCGGCTGCACTCGGAGAGGGTCCTTTGTCTCGGACAAGATTTCCAGCAGCTCATCGTTTGATAGGAAGAAGAATCTATTTCAAAGCAAAGAAAGATGGTAACTGGAACCTCTTCCAAGAACTTTTTCTAGCAAGGTGATACTTTCTGACAGGTAGTCCGCACCTACGTGAATACCAGTTATGTCTTGCGGTCTTCACAAAGGCCCACTCTCTTTTATCACTTTTCATCTGGGGCATGGAAGGTGGAGTTTTGCTTTTCTTAAGAGATGAGGTCTTGCCATATTGCCCAGGCTAGACTTGAACTCCTGGGCTCAAGCAATCCTCTCTCCTCAGCCTCCTGAGTAGCTGGGATTACTGGCATGAGACATTGCACCCAGCTTGGAGATGGTTTTGACTCTGAGATACCACACTTGATCTTAGTCAAAAGACCAAGAAGCGATGGTTTTGAGTCTGACAGCAAGAGAACGAATAAAAGCTGGCATGTGTGGGTTTAATAGGACTGGGGGATGGGTGCTATCAGTTGAAAGGAGCCCGGATAGAACAGCAATTCTCAGCTTTGGCTGCACTTTAGAATCACCTGGGGAGCTTATACAAAATTCCAGAGCCACAGTCCCATTGTCCAGAGATTCTAATAGAATTGATCTGGGAGTGCGGCTGATGAAATTTGTATTTTTTTAAATTTCAGGTCATTCTAATGTGCAGTCAGTGTTGAGAACCACTGGGTAGGGGCAGGAGAGAGAGACTTCCTTGTCTTTCCTTCTCTCCATCCGTGCAAGAACATTGTATAGGCATGATACAAGAAAGTAAATGTTAATAATGAGCCTATTTACATGCAGAGGCCTCTACCACCTTTTATTTATTTTATTTATTTTTTTATTTTATTTTATTTTATTATTTTATATTTTATTTTATTTTATTTTATTTTTATTTTTATTTTTATTTTATTTTATTTGAGACAGGGTCTGTCTCTGTCACCCGGCCTGGAGTGCAGTGGTGCAATCCTGGCTCACTACAGCCTTGACCTCCAGGGCTCAAGCAATTCTCCCACCTCAGCCTCCCGAGTAGCTGGGACTACAGGCGCATGCCACCACGCACGGCTAATTTTTGTATACTTTGTAGAGATGGGGTCTTGCCATGTTGGCCAGGCTAGTCTCAAACTCCTGGGCTCAAGTGATCCATCCACCTCACCTCCCAGAGTACTGGGACTGTAAATGTGAGCCACTGCACTCAGCCCTTTACTATCTTTTAAATTAGAGATAATAAGACAATTTCATCTCTTGTTCAGGCCTAAAAGCAGCAACAACAAACCTTCAGAAAATGTCCAATATTCAAACCTGTACTGTGACCATCAGGCTGAAAGTTCTATGATGGAGGGATTGTGTGATTATGGTCTTTACCAAATATGGTGGATTACAAAAATGGCCACGATATTTACAGTTCCTCTCATCAAGGGGTGGAGTCTGTTTTCACATTTCTCAAACTTGAGCTGGCTCTGTGTCTTGCTTTGGCTAATAGAATGTAAGTGAACATGAGTCTGTGCACGTTCTAAGCCTAGGCATCAAGAGGCCATGATGCTTTCACTCTTGCTGCTCTTAGGAACCCTGTGACCACCACCATATAAATAAACCCAGGCTAGTCTTCTACAGGATAAAAGACATGTGGCCCAAATACCTGTTGTCCAGCCAGTAGGAAGCCAATGACCAGACAAGCAATTAAGGATGCTGACTGATGGCTGACTGCAGTCATGAGTGAGCCCCAGTGAGGCCAGAAGAACCACCCAGCCAAGCCCAGCTCAATCTGCCAACCTAGAGAATTCTGAGCTAAACTGATCATGTGAAACATGATTGTTGTTTCACACTTCTAACTTTTGGGGTCATTTGTTACTCAGCAAAGCAAACGAATACACTGTATCTACAGTGTTGAGCAAGTACAAAGAGTAATAATTATTTGTTGCTGATCAACTAACAAATATCCAGTGAGATGTCAATTTCTCCCACTCCCAAGTGAAATTCAAATGGGTGATCTCTATGGATATACACTCCCTCTATCTCCATCATGTGCTATAATGAATAAGGCTCAATGGCCATAAGAGTAATAATACATTCGTATAATTTAAAATTAAAATCTTTTTTTAGCAATCTGTATTTTCAAGATGAAATTAACTTAAATTATGTGACTATCAACAACATTCTCAAAGTGTTTGCTGAGAGTGTTTAATTTTATTTTATAAAAATGCATAAATATTGAGGTAGGTGTGTGTGTGTGTGTGTGTGTGTGTGTGTGTGTGTGTGTGTTTAACTTAGGGTAAAAATGTGGCTCAGAGAGGTTAAATGGCTGAATATCTTATCCAGACTTCCTGGGTATCAATTCTAGCTTGATCATTTTACCAGTCTTGTATCTTTGGGCAAATCATTATTTTCTCATTTATAAAACAGGGACAATAATAATGTTCCCAAACCCATAAGAGTATTACAAAGATTAAATTAGTTAGTTAGTAAGTGTAAAGCACTTAGAGCAGGGTCCTGGTGTAAGGAAATGCTATATTAGTGCTATTATTCATATTTTTTTTTGAGAGAGAGTCTCGCTCTGTCACCCAGGCTGGAGTGCAGTGGCACCATCTCGGCTCACCACAATCTCTGCCTCCCGGGTTCAAGCAATTCTCCTGCCTCAGCCTCCCAGATAGCTGGGATTACAGGCACCCACCACCACGCCCAGCTGATTTTTGTATTTTCAGTAGAGACAGGGTTTCATCATGTTGGCCAGGCTGGTCTCGAACTCCCAGCCTCACGTGATCTGCCCACTTCGGCCTCCCAAAGTGCTAGGATTACAGGCAGGAGCCACCACGCCTGGTCTATTATTCATATTTTAATTAGGAATAACAGGAGTGGGTCTAGAACTAGAAGCCCAAACCTCAGGTGTTTCCTGAGTTTAATCTCTTCCCAAGCCTTATGTGTCAAAACCAGGGTTCCTTCCACTATACTGTGCTGTCCAATACAAAAGCTATTAGCCCCATGTGGCTATTTACATTAAAAAGTAATATTAACTAAGTTAAAAATTGGCTTCCTCAGTCACCTCAACCACATATAAAGTGCTCAGTGGCCACTGGCAGCTAAGGGCTACTATATTGGACAGTACGGACAAAGAACATTCCTATCATTGCAGAAAGTTCATTGGATAATGCTGAATTGAATAAATACCAAAGATACTTCTGAGTTTGTTTATTTATTTATTTATTTGAGACGGAGTCTTGCTCTGTCACCCAGGCTGGAGTGCAGTGGTATGATCTCGGCTCACTGCAACCTCCACCTCCCAGGTTCAAGCAATTCTCCTGCCTTAGCCTCCCAAGTAGCTGGGATTACAGGTGCCCCCCACCACACCTGGCTAATTTTTGTATTTTTAGTAGAGGCGGGGTTTCAACATGTTGGCCAGGCTGGTCTTGAACTCCTGACCTCGGGTGATCCGCCCCCTCGGCCTCCCAAAGTGCTGGGATTACAGGCATAAGCCACCGTGCTCAGTCATACTTCTGAGTTTCTAACAAATCATTTTTTGTTTTTTTTTTTGTTTTTTTTGGTAAACAGCAGGGAACTAACTTTGTCTCCATATAAAGAAACGCTAAAATTTATGTTTCTTAAAGGTAAATTAGGATCAAACATCCTAAGTGGGGTCAAATGACATGGAGTGACCATCAATGGTGAACTAGTCATGGATAGATTATCAGGAATGTCAGGAGTGAGAATTCACCTTTCCGAAACTAACCTTCTCCTTTTTTTTTATTTTGAGACATGGTCTGACTCTGTTGCCCAGGCTGGAGTGCACTGGTGCAATCTTGGCTCACTGCAACCTCTGCCTCCCAGGCTCAAGCGATCCTCCTACCTCAGCCTCCAGAGTAGCTGGGACCATGGGCAAACACCACCACACTGGCTTATTTTTTGTATTTTTTTGTAGAGGTGGAATTTCCCCATCTTGTCCAGGCTGGTCTCAAATTCCTGAGCTCAATGAATCCTCCCACCTTGGCCTCCCAAAATGTTGTGATTATAGGCGTGAGCCACCATGACCAGCCTGGAACTAACCTAAAACTCCCTTGACTTTTATGCAGAAGATTGGTTCTTGTGTGGAAAAAAAGAGTCAAATATGTATAAGCATACCTATCAGAAACTACAAAATTTGATGGTATAAAAAAATTGACTGGTGTTTCTTAAACACATAGGCTAGGTGCTAAATGTTTTTACATGTGTTAGTTCATTAATGTGTACAACAAATACATGAAGTAGGGGCCATTATTATATCCCAAATTTACGGTGGAGAACCTGAGGCTTGGATAGATTTGCTGGAGGCCTCAAGACCACTAGGTAGAAAAGCTGGGATGCCAAAGGAGGTCTAATTAACTCCAAAATCCAGGCTCACAGTCATGAATACTCTACCCCCGTAATTAGGAAAAATAACAGTGTTGGTTTGGACAACGTGTGCATTTGACACCCATTGCTGTCCATTCAACCTCACGCTAAGTAAAGATGGTGAAGCCATGCCCCATTCCTGAAAACTGTCTTGGAGAATGGAAAACCAGGAAAGAGTATGGACTAGATTGGTTGAAGCCAACTCTTGGCATGAAAAATGTAATTCTACCTACATATGGGGCAAGAATGTAATTCCAAATAAAAGAACAATGCTGGATACCTGGGGAAGAATAGTCTCTTCTTCTCCAAGTAATCATTCAGCCCTTTCTGGATGTCCTCCAAGAGAAAGTTGGCTTCTTGAAGCTTCTCTGCCATCCGTGGCTGGTCGGCTGCCACCAGAATCCTGTTATCTTTCACCTGGGTTCCATCAAAAAAAGTGAGACTCATCATAAGGTTCCCAAGTTCTGAGATTGGTCATTGTATTGAATGTGTGACCTATCAACTGACAGCACTCCTTGTCCAGCTAACTGCCTCCTGATCCCCCTCCTAACTGCACAGGGGTGAATGCTTATGGAACATGACCTTGTTCCTCTGATCATGGTTGACTGGGCAGGGATTGGGTACTAAAACCAACCAAACCCAATTATATTTTAACCCAAGGAGTTTAGAATCCAAACCATGACATTCTATACTAGTTTGGGCTGAGTGAGAATTATGTTTCTCTGTGTGACGGAGTGATAGAGAAAGCCAGTCTTGGGGGGGGGGGTGGGGAGGGAGAGAGAGAGAGAGAGAGAGAGAGACTGACTAAGGCAGGGCCAGGAAAGAGGAGCCAAGATCAGAGAGATGGAAGGAGTTCCTAAGAGAAGAGGCTTCTGGGTTCTAGATCCATCTTTTGTGAGGCTTGGCTGTGCTATTTGGCCTTGGGTTCCATGAGACACCCATTTGGTCTTCTCGTTTCAGCTATCCTGAGTCAGTTTCTGTCACTTGCACCCAAACAACCTTAACTAATAAAGAATTGGCTTATGCTGGCTGGACAATCTAAATTCCATTTATCTCACTCCCACAAACAAAGCAGGGAAGACAAATTGCTTTGCAGCAAAATCTTTTTAAGTGCACCCCAGTTTGATCACACTTGACTTAAGAAAGGAAAATGATTTGACCTCATAAAAGATCCCTCTAGGTGCCTTGCACGCCCAGTGAACTTACCATCCTTCAAGGCTTGATCCCAACGTTCCTGCTTTAGAGGCCTTCCTTGACACGCTGAGACAACTAAATCACTCTTCTGCATTCTAATAACTATTTGTATATTACTTTTTTTTGGGTGGGGGGGGGGACAGAGTCTCGCTCTGTTGCCCAGGCTAGAGTGCAGTGGCGCAATCTGGGCTCACTGCAACCTCTGCCTCCCAGGCTCAAGGGATCCTCCTGCCTCAGCCTTGGAATAGCCGGGATTACAGGTGCACACCACCATACCCAGTTAATTTTTTATATTTTTAGTAGAGACGGGGTTTCACCATGTTATCCAGGCTGGTCTCCAACTCCTGAACTCAAGCAATCCGCCTGCCTTGGCCTCCCAGAGGGCTGGAATTACAGGCGTGAGCCACCGCACTCAGCCAAGGCAGCAAATTCTATGAAGACAGAAATCATATTCTTGCCACCTTCAAGTATTTTCTGATTTCTAGTATAACACCTGGGTCATTGTAGGTACTGAATAAACATTTGTTAAATAACTGAGTAACCAAATGTGGGTAATTGTTGGAATTCTAAAAGGATTCACTATAAAACTGTTATTGCATTATCCTGTAACAAATACAACCTTGTAAGAAATGACAGTTAAATAATACAAACTGCCTATAGTTACTGCTTGGGAAGTGGGATTTCAAAAGGCTTCTGCTTTCTATGTTACATATTTGTATTTGCTTTTTTTTTTTTTAATTTTTTTTGAGACGGAGTCTTGCTCTCTCTCCCAGCCTGGAGTGCAGTGGCACGATCCCAGGTCACTGCAACCGCCGCCTCCTGAGTTCAAGCGATCCTCCCACCTCAGCCCTCCGAGTAGCTGGGATTACAGGCATTCACCACAATGCCTGGCTAATATTTGTGTGTGTGTGTGTGTGTGTGTTTTTAGTAGAGATGCGGTGTTTCACCATGTTGGCCAGGCTGGTCTGGAACTCTTGACCTCAAGTGATACCCCCGCCTTGGCCTCCCAAAGTGATGGGATTATAGGCATGAGCCATCGCACTGGTCATATGTTTGCATTTTTAATAATAACAACTTCTGAAATTAGAAGAAGATATAAAAAGATTGATTTTCCAAAACTCTAGTTCATTTACAAGTTTCAAGGAAGGTGACTAGAATGCATAATGAGGAAACATTTGTATTTCTGCTGGTAAGAGTTATTAGGGTATAAAAACTTACCGCTTGGGACATAAGTGATTTCCAGTAACTATCAACAATGCCAAATTTCCTCCCCTCTTCTGGCATCTGGGCTATGATGTCCTCTGAACTGAAGATTGGTTCCAGGTACAGCCAGGTGGCTTGGCATTTCAACCAGGCATCCAAATTGTCTTGTATGCGAATTAGCTTTTCTTCCCATTTCTGTGAATTTAGCATTTCATATCTGGATCATTAACCTGCCACTCTGCATCACAGGCCCATGGAGAGAGCAAATGGATGGAGCCGTACATTTATTCATTCATTCAGTCTGTCACTTGTTTAACAAATACTTATTGAGGGCTCCCTATGCTCTGGTCACTGCTCCAGGTGATGAGAACATAGCAATGAATGAAACACACAAGAGCTTTGCCCTTTACGGAGCTCACGTCCTAGCAGAATAATTACAATAGTTATACACGTAATCTGTGAGAAGTGATGGTCTGAGTGCTTTAAGTATATGGAACCAATTAAATCCCACAGCCTTACAAGGTAGATGTGATTACAAACCGTGTTTTCCAGATGTAGAAACTGAAACACAACAGTTTAGTAATGTGCCCAAGGTCACACCACTAGTAAGGAGCAGAGCCAGAATTTGAACCCAGGTAATCTGGCTTCAGAGTTTGTGTCCTTAGCCTATGTCACTGCTACAAACAATGAGCACAGGAGGCCAAACCCCTATCTTCGGGTAGCTTACATTCTAGATTACTACCATAAGATGCTTCCCAAATGCATGTGTATTTGGTGCATTCAAATGCCATCTTCTCTTTTGGCAGACAGTTGCAAAGGCTCAGCATGCCATATGCTTTCTTGGATGGTTATTGCTTTCAGCCTTGTGTCATTAATTAATTAATTAATTTACTTATTTTTGAGACGGAGTTTCACTCTTGTCGCCCAGGCTGGAGTGCAATGGCGCGATCTCGGCTCACTGCAACCTCTGCCTCCTGGGTTCAAGTGATTCTCCTGTCTCAGCCTCCCAAGAAGCTGGGATTACAGGCACCCTCCACTATGCCTGGCTAATTTTTGTATTTTCAGTAGAGACGGAGTTTCACCATGTTGGCCAGGCTGGTCTTGAACTCCTGACCTCAGGTGATCTGCCCGCCTCGGCCTCCCAAAGTACTGGGGTTACAGGTGTGAGCCACTGTATCATTTATTTATTTATTTTTCCAATTAGGACAAAGTGACTTTCTTTGTTAACTGAACGTGAAAACCTTTCCCCTCCTCTGAGAAACCCAGAGCTAACGAAACACCTCAAAGCATTCAACTTCATTTCCTCTTACCCGGCATTCTGCTTCTATTGGTTTGATGAATGGGGAGCCACACATGGTCTGGGTCTTTATCACGTGATCATCAAGTAGCATTTGAATGTCATCAATTGCACACAAGATGTTTGTATCCTGTAAATAAAGATGCCCCACCCTGTCAAGATTGTGAAACCTCCCCATTTTTCTTTTCCTTTTTTAAAAATTTATTTATTTGAGACAGGGTCTCCTCACCCAGGCCTGAGTGCAATGGCTCAATCCTAGCTCACTGCAGCCTCAAACTCCTGGGCTTAAGGGATCCTCCTGCCTCAGCCTCCCAAGTAGGTAGGACTACAGGCATATGCCACCATGCCTGGATTTTTTTTTTTAAGACAGAGTTTCACTCCTGTTGCCCAGGCTGGAGGGCACCAGCAGAATCTCGGCTCACTGCAACGTCCACCTCCCAGGTTCAAGTGATTCTCCTGCCTCAGCCTCCTGAATAGCTGGGATTACAGGCAAATGACACCACGCCCTGCTAATTCTGTATTTTTAGTAGAGACAGGGTTTCACTACATTGGCCAGGCTGCTCTCAAACTCCTGACCTCAGGTGATCCACCCGCCTCGGCCTCCCAAAGTGCTGGGATTACAGGCATGAGCCACCACACCCAGCCTGGATATTTTTTTTAAGAGATGGGGTCTCACTGTGTTGCCCAGGCTGGTCTCGAACTCCTGGCCTCAAGTGATCCTCTTGCCTCAGCCTCCCAAAGTGTTGGGATTACAGGCTTGAGCCACTGCATCCAGCTACCTCCCCATTTTTCATGCTGATCCCTTAGGACCTCCCAGCTCAGAACTCCACTCTCATGGAGTAGGAATCTATGTCTTGCAGGGAATAGGACTTCTACTTTCTTCCTTGAAAATGTTATTAAAGATATTTAGGCTGGACAAGGTGGCTCATGCCCATAATCCCAGCACTTTGGGAGGCTGAGGTAGGAGGATCGCTTGAGTCCCAGAATTCAAGACCAGCCTAGGCAACATAGCAAGACCCCATCTCTAAAAATTTTTTTTTTAAAAAGACATTTATTGTCCACCTCCTTTGCAGAAGTCAAATACAGTCTAATCCAAGACTCATAGACATAATCTGCTGGGGAGGAAGATTTCTTCCCCTTTCCCTATATTCCTGCTTCTTCACTTGCTTTCCTGGCTCTCCTTTCCCTTGGGTAGGAAGATCGGCTGCTAATCTGACTGGTTAGGCCTAGACCTGCGGTTTCCACACTGTGAACTGATGTGCCCCGGGGCACCGCAGCCAACTCAGAGTGAATGATTCTGGTTATTTAAAAATAAAATACAGCTATTAGTTTTTCTTTCATTGTAGGTGTATTTTTTTCAAACAGTGCCTAAGTTGTTAGAGCATAAATCCTTATTAAGTTGTTTGGACCTAATTACTGCATAAACAAAGCTATTAGGTATTTCTTTTGGCCTAAGGGCACTGTGAAAAAAGTACTTAGACACAAAGCCATTGTGAACCAAGAAAGTTTGGGGACCTTTGTTTAATTAATTAATTAATTAATTAATTTTAATTTTATTATTATTATACTTTAAGTTTTAGGGTGCATGTGCACAACGTGCAGGTTGGTTACATATGTATACATGTGCCATGTATTTATTTATTTATTTTTGAGACAGTCTTGCTCTGTTGCCCAGGCTGGAGTGCAGTGGCATGATCTCAGCTCACTGCAACCTCTGCCTTCCAGATTCAATTCATTCTCCTGCCTCAGCCTCCTGCGTAGCTGGGATTTCAGGCAAGCACCACCACACCGGGCTAATTTTTGTACTTTTAGCAGAGATGGGGTTTCACCATGTTGGCAAGGTTAGTCTCAAACTCCTGACCTCAAGTGATCTGCCTGCCTCAGCCTCCCAAAATGCTGGGATTACAAGCATGACAGGCACGAGCCACCATGCCTGGCTTGTTTTATACATTTATTGGGTCTTTTTTGAGACAGGGTCTCACTCTGTCACCCAGGCTGGAGTGTAATATTGCAATCATAGCTTACTGCAGCCTCAAATTCCTGGGCTCAAGCAATCTCCCTGCCTCAGCTTCCCAAATAGCTTTCCAAGTAGCTGGTGCACATCACCATACTCAGCTAATTATTATTATTATTATTATTATTATTACTATTATTATTATTATTATTTTGTAGAGAGGGGGTGTTGCTGTGTTACCCAGGCTGTTCTCGAACTCCTGAGCTCAAGTGATCCTCTCACCTGGACCTCTCAAAGTGCTGGGATTATAGGTGTGAGGCACCAAGCCTGACCAAGTGGTCCTGTTTTACAAGTAGGTAAGGTCTAAGGTGTGCCTTAAAGGCCAGGCCCTGTGGGTGGCACTTTTTCTCCTGGGCCATTGTGGCAAGCAAGCTGACAAGGGTCTGACCCTGGGGCAGGTTTGGTCTTTCTCGCTCTGTTCTCACTTCTTTCAAGTCTAATCTAGGAGGCTAAATTTGGGCCTAGCATGTATTCTCTTATCTATGTTTTACCAGTAGCTCAGCATTGGGAGGTATGTTGGGCTATTAATAAAGTGGTTTCTTGATCCCCATTTAGCTACTGATCCTTGTCTGTAGTTACTTTAGGCAAAAACTCTGCAGATTGGCCAGGTATAAGTGAGCTGTTCCCCAGGTCTCCTAGCTTATACTCCTCTTGTCACCCCAACAGCCTCTATAGCAGTGTCTAATCCAAGCTGATCATGCAGCCACGCTTCTGAGACCCATGGTGGCTGGGTCACCCTTGCTGGGAGAGGCTCAGTAATGAGGCCCTGTGCCCTCAGCTCTCTTCCCTCTCATCAGATCATGTATAGTTCTGTTGGGTCTCAGAACATGATACCCCGAAGCATTGCACCTTGATTTGCTGAGTATTTTGAACTGAAGGACATTGGAAGGCCTTGGAAGCAAGATCTTTCTGTCCATCTTTTTCTGCCTTTCTCCTGCTCCTTTATCTTTCCCCTAAGACAGTCCATAGAAACTAAACTCCTCTTGCCCGAAGCAAGCATAAAATCCTGAAATATCACTCTGACCAAGACAGCCGGCCATAAGGAAATTCTCTGAGCAACCTTGTCTGATAGTGGGTCACAAGACTGTCGTTCCTGAGGGGGTCTTGCCCTATGCCTGGGAGGAAGGACTGCTACACAGAGAGACCAAGAAGAATCTCAACAGCAGGTCTTGCTAGGCTTCCCATGGAGTCTAGACCATTATACCATACGCTTTTGTTCAATTTCATTTCCATACAGCTGTCCATTCTTCATCAAACCTAAGCCCCAAAACACAGTTTTCCCTGGGTCTTCACTTTCGATGGTTCCAAAGTCATGTAAAACTTTGATTAAATAAAATTTTAATGCTTTTCTCTTGTTAATCTGTCTTTTATTATAGGAGTATTGGCGGTGAATGACCTTCATGCTAGGTGAAGAAAGGGATCACACCTTTTCACCCCTACAGCTCTTCCTTGAGTGAAATCAAGACACTCCAACCATTTAAACTGAATAGGGAAAGAAGTCACAAGTAGATAACATGCAGCCTGGGGAAGGAGGGAGGCTTGGGAGCTTTTGGTTCTCAATCTACATTGCACATGAGAAAAACCAGGGGTGCCTGAAAAATACAGATGCCCAGGCATTCTGGGAGGGGAGGAGCCAGGAAGAATCCATTGGGAGATTTTAAAGCATTCCAGATGATTCTACAATGCAGGTTTGGAAGCACTGCTTTAGGAATCAATGGTTGGGCCTGGCGTGGTGGCTCACACCTGTAATCCCAGCAATTTGGGAGGCGGAGGTGGGCAGATCACTTGAGGTCAGGAGTTCAAGACCAGCCTGGCCAACATGATGAAACCCCATCTCTACTGAAAATATAAAAATTAGCTGGGCATGGTGGCGGGCACCTGTAATCCCAGCTACTCGGGAGGCTGAGGTATGAGAATCGCTTGAGCCTGGGAGGCAGAGGTTGCAGTGATCCGAGATCACGCAGTTGCACTCCAGCCTGGGTGACAGAGCAAGGCTCCATCTCAAAAAAAGAAAGAAAAAAAGAACCAATGGTCTGCAGGATGTGTGTATCAACCTGTTGCCTCCATGATTTACAGCTCCCCAAGAGCTGCAACCCTCATCCCTACCTCACACCCTATCCCAAAAGCAAGCCAGACCCTAACGACAGCTGAGCAAATGCTTTGGGTGTGTAGCACCTTCGCATGCACTGTACAAACTCCTGTGTTTTCTACAAGTGCAAGTGAAAAGAAAGAAACCTACACCCTTACTATTCAAAATTGATCAATATTATCTGGGAGCTTGTTAGATCTGCAGAATCCTAGATTCCATCCCAGACCTGCTGAATCAGAACCCGCATTTCAACAAGATCTCCGATGATTCCTGCATGCATTGACATCTGAGAAACACTAGTCATTGTCTGCCCCTGTGCTTCTGACGGGACTGGGAAGCTTTGGAATGGTGTACAAGCCTGCACCTTCACTGGGAGGTGCTGATTTAGAGGCTTGCTTGGTTCCTTTGCACTGAGAAAGCCTCTTGCTCTGAATCAAAAGACTTGTCTGATTTGAAGAATGAATCTCTTCGGTGGTGCTGACAGGAAAGGTGACTGACACAGAAAGGCAGACAGTAGGAAACAATCAAGACATGAGCGATTATTTCTCTGTGAGTTCTGTTGCCATTCTGAATGAATCGTTTCTGTAATCTATTGCATAATAAATGGGGCTGCTTTCAAAAGGGGCTGCGGTTGCAGTGAGACTCACAGTGTCCCTGTATTTCACGAAGCTGAACGTCACGTTAACCCAATCCAACTTCATTCTATCCAAGTTTTTCTCCAGAGAGTATTCCTTGCTGGCAGCTGCACCAATGGGCTCCAATCTAAAGAGAGAACACAGCAACAGCAACATCAACAGGAGGCAGAGAAGACACATCAAAGGAGGAACTTCAGGCCAGGCATGGTGGCTCATGCCTGTAATCCCAGCACTTTGGGAGGCCGAGGAGGGAAGATTGCTTGAGGTCGGGAGTTCGAGACCAGCCTGGGCAATATAGCAAAACCCCATCTCCACTAAAAACACAAAAATTAGCCAGGTGTGGTGTATGCCTGTAGTTCTAGCTACTCAGGAGACTGAGGTGGGAGGATCGCCTGAGCCTGGGAGGTAGAGGCTGCAGTGAGCTGAGATCGTGATTTCACCACTGCACTCCACTCTGGAAAACAGAGTAAACCCTGTCTCAAAAAAAAAAAAAAAAAAAAAAAAAAGGGAGGAATTTCAGCTCAGTCTTAGGAGAATCTCCAAAAGCCCTTAATTTGACCAAAAGGTTTACTATCCTGCTCTAAGATCTGCCAGCTACCGCCAGTGTTTTGCAGGGTTTCTCACCCTTGGCACCGTTGACTTTTTGGGCTGTGTTATGGGTTAAATATTGTCTCCTCAAAAATTCATATATTGAAATTCTAACCCCTAATATCTTGGAATGTAACTCTATTTGGAGAAAGGATCTTTAAAGAGGTAATTAAATTAAAATAAGTCATGAGGGTGGGCCTTAATCCATTATAATTGGTGACCTTATAAGAAGAGATTAGGACACAGACACACAGAGGGAAGACCATGTCAATTCATAGGGGAAGACAGCCATCTGCAAGCCAAGGAGAGAGGCCTCAGAAGCAACCAACCCTGCCTACAACTTGGCCTTGGACTTTAAGCCTCCAGAATTATGAGACAATAAATTTCTGTTGTGTAAGCCACTCAGTCTGTGGTATGCTGTAAGAGCAGCCTGTTCAACAAAAATTATGAGAGGTCATTATTCCGGACTGAGCTCCTGCACTAGACCCCAGCAGACCAGACCAAACCAAAATGGAGTCACTCACGCTAAATGGCATGTAATCAAACTGAATCTTTAAGGAAGGAGATAGATCCCAGAACAGGACAGTTTTTCCTGAAAACAGGAGATTCCAGTCTACCTGACTCAGAGAATAAGGAAGTTCCCTCTGCTTGAACCCTCATAAAAAAATAACCTGACATTAATTAATCCTTTTTTTTCATATTGTTCTGTTTCCTTATAAAACTTACCATTGTGCTACTGCCCAGTGGGAACTCTCATTCTATTTTGGAAAACAGAGGCTGCCCTGATTCACGAATCTTGATTAAAAGCCAATTAGACTATAACTCAATTTGTTGCTTTGTCTTTTGATGAGACCTAGCAAACTCACATAGGCTGAAATAATTGTCATGGGGAGCTGTACCGTACCTTCTAGGGTGTTGAGCAGCATCCCTGGTCTCTACCCACTAGACACCAGCAGCAGACTCCCCAGCCCTGCCCCATCTTTTGCCAGTCATGACAACCAAAAATGTCTCCAGATATTTCCAAGTGTCCCTTAAGGGTGGGAAATGGCCCCCAGTTGAGAACCACTGTTGTAAGGTCACTAAAATAAGACCTCTTCTTTCCATCTTTGTTTATGCCTTATTTGCCCATATTCTGATTTCTTTTATTTTTTTTTCCCCCAGATGGAGTCTCACTGCGATGCCCAGGGTGGAGTGCAGTGGCATGATCTTGGCTCACTGCAACCTCTGCCTCCCGGATTCAAGCGATTCTCCTGCCTCAGCCTCGCAAGCAGCTGGGATTACAGGTGCCCTCCACCACACCTGGCTAATTTTTGTATTTTTAGTAGAGACGGGGTTTCACCATATTGGCCACGCTGGTCTTGAACTCCTGACCACAAGTGATCCGCCCGCCTCGGCCTCCCAAAGTGCTGGAATTACAGGCGTGAGCCACCATGCCCGGCCAGTATTCTGATTTCTTATTCAGATTTTGAACCTCTGTTAATTTATGTGATGGCTCTTGCTCTACTTCCCATCCCTTCCCTTTTCAAAAACACCTACTATTTTCCTGATACTGGGTCCACCCGTCCATGGCCCCTCTATTCCACAGAAAGGGGCATAGAGGGAGAGAGAGAAGAGGCAAACAAATTCCTTTCTTCTTGTTTCCACATGGAGATCTGGGTCCTAAAACCGAGGTGTGGCAAAGAATTGGAAAGCCAAGTTCTTGGAAGTGGAAAGAGGGACTGTTCTCTCTGCCTCAGCCCTGTCTTTCATTGCATCCTTGAGTGTAGAAGAGACCATCTGATATTTACTCATAGGTCAGGAAACCAACGCTCAGAGGAAGCAAGTGACATGTCCAAAATCACAGAGCCAGGGAGTCCTGGAACTGGGTATTGACACCAATTCCTCCTAATCTGACTCCTACCCTGGTGTTTCTTCTTCCACCCTTATGATATGCCTTCTCCCTTCTCTTACTTAGAAAGAGCAATAGAACTAGGCCAGGCACGGTGGCTCACTCCTGTAATCCCAGCACTTTGGGAGGCCAAGGCAGGTGAATCACCTGAGGTCAGGAGTTCGAGACCAGCCTGACCAACATGGTGAAACCCCGTCTCTACTAAAAATACAAAATTAGCCAGGCATGGTGGCGCACGCCTGTAATCCCAGCTACTCAGGAGGCTGAGGCAGGAAAATCGCTTGAACCCGGGAGGTGAAGGTTGCATTGAGCCAAGATCATGTCATTGCACTCCAGTCTGGGCAACAAGAGTAAAATTCCGTCTCAAAAAAAAAAAAAAAAAAAAGAGTAACAACTAATAGAACTGTTCATATGTGTTCAATCAAATAGGACCAATTAAATAGAGCGGAGAACCCTCATTTAGCCTCTAGAAGGGAGGAAGATTAGGAGCAGAAAATTACAAACAAGGACTGATCAGGACCTCAGCAGCGTGGTCACTGACTTAAATATGGCCTGTGAGAGGTGACCAAAATGAGTGTGCATATAGGGAATAATTAATAAAGGCAGGTGCCAGCCCAGATTAGTATGAGACAAAGAGTCACAAGGCCCAGCCTCCAGTACTCACTGGCTGTGTGGCTGTGGCCAAGTCACTTGACAGGCCTCAGGTCCCCATATGCCCCTATCACAGGCTTTGGGGTTCAATTAAATAAGACCAAATGCTGGCACCAGGCCTCATGAATTACCCTAGGGTATGACTTAGAATGCAAATGATTGAACAGATGAGGGACTAATCAGTCTGGGAATTCATGAAATATATCAGGAGTTGACCTCACCCAAAATGTGCTGGAGAAGCTCATTAACTATGGGCTGTGATGAAGCTGCATTAACTATGGTGTGGGTGGAATACATGCAATATCACACCTCCCTAAATGGTGGTGGCTGAGTCCCCAGACATGGAATCAGTTCAGGTGACATGCCTTTTCTCCTAATCCTAACTCTAATCACCTAGCTACTCTCCCATGTTACAAATGGAACCAAGGCGCACAGAAGGAAACAACTTAGCCAAGATGCTTCCACTTCTGAATTGGTCACAGTTGAACATGTGTGCATGGAAAGTATAAGAATAGCTGTATGTTTATTTGCTCATTCACTGTCTCTGGAGAGGGGTTTACTTTTTCAGCAGTGAAGGGTCATGGTTAAGGCCTGCCTGGTAATGGAAGCCTGCTTATGTTCAAATCTTGATTCTTTCCTAAGTGAAATGTTCATTCTTTCGGTTA
Organism: Homo sapiens; assembly: GCF_000001405.40. Classification (NCBI taxonomy): domain Eukaryota; kingdom Metazoa; phylum Chordata; class Mammalia; order Primates; family Hominidae; genus Homo; species Homo sapiens. Next base: position 21,079,227 of record NC_000016.10, read on the forward strand.
CTAGTGTGATCAATGGCTAATAATCTGAAGTTTATTTCCTCATCTGTAAAATGAGAATAATATTAGGACGGTAGGACCTAGGACACTAGGTTTTTGTGATGGATAAATGTGTTAAGGTCGGGCATGGTGGCTCACGCCTGTAATCCCAGTACTTTGGGAGGCCAAGGCAGATGGATCACCTGAGGTCAGGAGTTCGAGACCAGCCTGACCAACATGATGAAACCCCATCTCTACAAAAATACAAAAATTAGCCAGGCATGATGGCAGGTGCCTGTAATCCCAGCCACTCGGGAGGCTGAGGCAGAAGAATCACTTGAACCCAGGAGGCGGAGGTTGCAGTGAGCTGAGATTGCACCGCTGAGATTGCACCATTGCACTCCAGCCTGGGACACAGAGTGAGACTCTGTCTCAAAAAATAAAAAATAAATAAATAAATAAAAAGGGTTCAGGTATATAAAATGCTGAGTGCAGCATAAGTGTTCAATAGCTAGTGTCTCTTGGAAACATCTTACTGGGGGAAAGTGAGGCCCTTTGGCCAAAAAACCTAAGGGTTTTTATCCTAAACCTGATAAAAAACATTTGCGTCTCTAGGCCTGCTCGTTAATGAGGAACATAGTGGTGGTATTGGAGAGGCATCACAGTATTCAGGTGGCAGAAAGATTCAGGAGCTGGGAAGTGCCTTAAATTAGACCTGCTCTGGTGCAGTATGAGTGGGGAATTCTCAGCCTTTCATGTATCAGAATCGCCTGGAGCAGTGCTGTCCATTAGAAATATAGAGTGAGCCACATATGTAATTTTAAAGTTTCTCGCCTGTAATCCCAGCACTTTGGGAGGCCGAGGTGGGCAGATCACCTGAGGTCAGGAGTTCAAGGCCAGCCTGGCCAATGTGGTGAAACCCCGTCTCTACCAAAAATACAAAAATTAGCCAGGCATGGTGGCGGGCACCTGTAACCCCAGCTACTCGGGAAGCTGAGGCAGGAGAATCACTTGAACCTGGGAGGAGGAGGTTGCAGTGAGCCGAGATTGTGCCATTGCACTCTGGCCTGGGTGACAAAGTGAGACTCCGTCTCCAAAATAAAATAAGATAAAATAAAATAAAGTTTCTAGTAGCCACATTTTAAAAATATTAAAAGACACAGGTGAAATTAGTTCCAATAATGTATTTGACTCAATATATCCAAAATATTATCATTTCAATACTAATCAGTATTAAAAATTGTTAGGTATTTTGCATTCTTTTTTCTTGTAGTATGTCTTCGAAATCCAGCCTGTATTTTATACTTACAGCACATCTAATTCAGACTAGCTGCACTGTAGGGGCTCAATGGCCACATGTGGCCAGTGGATGCTGCTTTGGACAGTGCTGACCTGAAGGATTTGTTAAAATGCAGACTGCAGGGCCCATCTGCAGAATTTGATTATGTGGGTTGGGTGGGGCCTGAAAACGTGCATTCTAGCTAGTTCCTAGCTGACGCTGATGCAGCAGATCTGGGTGCCACACTCACCTAACAGGGTCTCCAGTCCAGGCAATGCAACATCTCCCCACCCATCGCCCTGAAGGAAGTGTGAAAAAGCAAGTAGGGTCCTGAGAAGCTCTGTTCTAGAGGTAGCATCCAAATGGTAAAATTCTCACACACAAACTCCAGGGGAATTTGGAGAAGGGAAGAAAGCAAGAGAAAAGACTTCTTTTTTTTTCTTTTTTTTAAATTAAGATGGAGTCTCACACTGTCACCCAGGCTGTAGTGCAATGGCGCTATCTTGGCTCACTGCAACCTCCACCTCCTGGGTTCGAGCGATCCTCTGGCCTTAGCTTCCTGAGTAGCTGGGACTACAGGCATGTGCCACCATGCCTGGCTAGCTTTTGTATTTTTAGTAGAAACGGGGGTTTCACTATGTTGGCCAGGCTGGTCTTGAACTCCTGACCTCAAGTGGTCCGCCTGCCTCGGCCCCCCAGAGTGCTGAAATTACAGGCATGAGCCACTGTGCCCAGGCGAGAAGAGACTTCTTATTGGACCAGGTTTCACACAATCTTAAAGCTCAGAGACGGTTGTTGCTTTGTTTGTTTAAAGAAGAGGAAACCGAGGCACAGAAAGGCTGAATGGTTTTGCCCCCAATCACTGAGAGCTGGGCTTGAAGCTCAGGTTCAAAGAACATTAAAAAAAAAAAAAACCCTTTGAAATAAAATCCATGACTCAATTTTCTAGTCACAACCCATCAGCAGCTCTGCAGCTAAAAAACAGAAGCTTCACCAATACGAGTTGGTAGCTGCAGGTAATTAAATAGCCTTAAGCCACCCTACGCCACAAGGAAAAAAAAACAAACAGCCCGATATGGAGCCAATCAGATCACTGTGGGAACTTACAGATCCTTTGACCAAAACCTTATCTGAAGGAGGGGATAAGCCCTTACTTTTCAACGAATTTGCCGAATCCAAATTCGAGCATATTTGAGAGGCAGGTCGTTTCGGTGGGCTTTATCTCATAGCCAACAATCTCACTGATCTGCAAAGAAAAGAGGAAAGCAAATGTTTGTTGTCCGAGGCAGTGCTGTCCAGTAGAACCTTCTGTGATGATGGAGATGTTCTTTTTATCTGCACTGCTCAGCATAACAGCCACGAGTGGCAGGTGGCTGTTGAGCACCAGAGATGTGGCTAGTGTGACTGAGGAATTTATTTTTAAATTAAATTAAAAAAATTTTTTGAGACAGTCTCACTCTGTCTCCCAGGCAACACAGTGCCATCATAGCTCACTGCTGCTTTGACCTCCCAGGCCCAAGCAATCCTCCCACATCAGCCTCCCCAGTAGCTGGGGCCACAGGCACACACCACCTTGCCTGGCTAATTTTTAAATTTATTGTAGAGATAGGGTCTTGCTGTGTTGCTCAAAGTGGTCTCAAACTCCTGGCCTCAAGCGATCCTCCCACCATAGCCTCCCAAAGTAGTCACATTACAGGAGTGAGCCGCCACACCCAGCTAATTTTAATTAGACAGGGTCCTGCTTTGTTGCCCAGGCTGAAGTGCAGTGGTGTGATCATGACTCACTGCAGCCTTGACCTCCCAGGCTCAAGTGGTCCTCCTCCCTCGACCTCCTGAGCAGCTGGGACCACTGGCATACAACACCATGCCTGGCTAACCTTTTTCTTTTTAAAAATTTTTTTGTAGAGATGGGGTCTCGCTATGTTTTCCACGCTGGTCTTGAACTCCTATACTCAAGCAATCCTCGCACCTTGATCTCCCAAAAATGCTGGGATTACAGGTGTGAGCCATCATGCCCAGTCCCTTTTACTTTGTAAAATGTGGCTACTAGAAACTTTAAAATTATTGGCTGGGTGCAGTGGCTTACTCCTGTAATCCCAGCACTTTGGGAGGCTGAGGCGGGCGGATCACTTGAGGTCAGGTGTTCAAGACCAGCCTGTCAAACAGGTGAAACCCTGTCTCTACTAAAAATACAAAAATTAGCTGGGCACGGTGGCAGGTGCCTGCAATCCCAGCTACTTGGGAGGCTGAGGCAAAAGAACAGCTTGAACCGGGAGGTGGAGGCAGGAATCAGCCGAGATCGCACCACTGCACTCCAGCCTGGGCAACAGAGTGAGACTCCATCTCAAAAAAAAAAAAAAATTAACACAAATGGCTCACGTTATATTTGTACTAGTCACAGAGGGCCAGTTTTGGCATCTATCAGTGCAGTTTCTCCCTAAGATCAAATGTTACCTTGTTCCATCTTGCTTTTTTTTTAACAGTTAAATTTTTATTATTTTTTAAATTTTTATTATTTTTTAAATTTTTCTTTTTCCATACTTTTTTTTTTTTGAGAGAGAGTCTCGCTCTGTCACCCAGGCTGGAGTGCCATGGCGCAATCTCGGCTCACTGCAACCTCTGTCTCCTGGGTCCAATGATTTTCCTGCCTCAGCCTCCCAAGTAGTTGGGATTACAGGCGCATGGCACCACGCCCGGCTAATTTTTGTATTTTTAGTAGAAATGGGGTTTCGCCATGTTGGCCAGACTGCTCTCGAACTCCTGACCTCAGGTGATTTGTCTGCCTCGGCCTCCCAAAGTGTTGGGATTACAGGCGTGAGCCACTGCACCTGGCCAGACCAGGAGATTTTTTTATAATGACTCAGAAAGCACAAAAGCAAGGAACCCAGAAGTAGTTACCGTTGAAATAACGGTCTTGGAAGACCAAGAGTGTTATAGGCACATGATGAAAAAATAACCAAAATAACACTAATTGCAAATAGGACATCAGAAATGCACCTTAGTGTAGTGATCCAAAAAGCCTTTTAGATTTGTGGCTTCCATTTCGTTTGAAACCACAGTAGCAACCCCTTTGCTGTTATCTATAAAGTCTGTGCCCCAAACGTAAGGCTCTAACTTTTTCTACCTACGTTCTGTAAATGACCAGAACCCCCAGCACAGCCATGGCCTTGCTTCAGAAGATCCAGCTTCTAGACTTGAGTGCTACAGATGGCTCATCCTTCAGATCCCCCTGCCAGAGCTAGCATCTGTGGCAGTGGATCTCCTAAGTTAGGCATCAGGGCAGAGAATGACATCCCCAGGCCTGGGGCTGTCCCCAGGGCGGCCTGTGGTGTGACCTACATACACTGCAGGGAGGAATGGGCTCTGCCTAGGGGCAGTCCGGAGAGTATCTAGGGGCCTTTGTCCTTTCTGAACTTGCCTCTTAACTGCTCAGCCCACTGGGCTTCCATTTAGGGGCTCACTCCTTGGGAGCCACTGTCCTAGGGCTGTGCTCCCCGGCCCTCTCTCACTGTGGTTTACTGCCCCCTACTGCCCGCTCCCTTCCTCTGACCGGACCTTTTTTGCCTTTTTGACTTTTCCAGGCTGAGTCAAACAGTGTAGAAAAATTCCAATCCCCTTTCCCACCACCAACTAGCCATCTGACAATTCATCTCTCCAAGTCTCAGTTTTCCAATCCGTGAAATGGAGATAATAATAATCTCCACTTCAAAGGCCTGTTTTAAGGGTGAAATGTGAGAATCCAAATAAAGTATACAACACAGTACCCAGCACCATAGCTGGTACTCAGTACATTTTCAATATCATCATTATTATTATGGTTAGAATTTTTTTACTTTATTTATTTATTTATTTATTTATTGAGACAGGGTCTTTCTCTGTTGCCCAGGCTAGACTGCAGTGGCGCAATCACAGCTCACTGCAGCCTCAACCTCCCAGGCTCAAGTGATGCTCCCACCTTAGCTTCCCTAGCAGCTGGGACTACAGGCATGTGCCACCACGCCCGGCTAATTTTTTTGTATTTCTTGATGGGGTTTTGCAGTGTTGGCCCGGGCTGGTTCTCAGACTCCTGGGCTCAAGCGATCCACTTGCCTCGGCCTCTCAAAGTCCTGGGATTATAGGCGTGAGCCACGGCACCTGACTGGGATTTTTTAAATTTAAATTAATTAATTTTTTAAATAGATGGGTCACACTATGTTGCCCAGGTTGGCCTCAAGCTCCTGGCCTCAAGTGATCCTCCTGTCTCGGCCTCCTAAAGTGCTGAGATTAGTGGTGTGAGCTACCTCGCTTGGCCTGGTTGGGATTTTCTGAGTGCCCACATACAAGAATAGCATCATAGAGGAAGCACCAGGTGGAGCAGATGGCTTTCCCGGCCCCGCGGCATGTTCTCCAAATGCCATCGACAAGGACACTCTTGATAGTGCCATCTCATAGAGAAACCTGGCACTACCAGAGGCCACCTGTCCCACCTAAGCTCCCTAACCCCCCCATCCCCCCGATGCAGGTCAAAGTCCTAGTTAGGCTGGGTCCGTAGAGAGAGGCACCCCGTGAGCACCAGCTGACAGCAACTCCTCCTCTGCGGATCCCTCTGCTGGGGCGTTTCAAAACCAGAAGTCATGGCCAGGCACTGTGGCTCACGCCTGTAATCCCAGCACTTTAGGAGGCCAAGGCAGGAGGATCACTTGAGGCCAGGAATTTGAGACCAGCCTGGGCAACATAGTAAGACCCCCCCCATCTCTATTTTAAAAATCAATTAATTAAAATTACAATTAAAAAATATCCCAGCCAGGCACGGTGGCTCATGCCTATAATCCCAGAACTTTGGGAGGTTGAGGCGGGTGGATCACTTGAGGTCAGGAGTTCAAGACCAGCCTGGCCAACATGGTGAAACCCCATCTCTACTAAAAATACAAAAATTAGCAGGGCATGGTGGCACGTGCCTGCAATCCCAGCTACTCAGGAGACTGAGGCAGGAGAACTGCTTGAATGTAGTGAGCCGAGATCATGTCACTGCACTCCAGCCTGGGTGACACAGTGAGATTCCACCTCAAAAAAAAAAAAAAAAAAAAAGAAAAACAGAGGTCTACTCAGACAGCCTATCTCTTGTCTATACATCACCCCATCCTTTGGTTAGGTCTCCAGTTCAAGACTTTTTGGGAAACTGAAAGTAGCTTCTCCCTACAAAAAGACCCTGACTCTCTCATGTATTAAGAGAGTCTTCCTCTCTCTTCCTAGGGAGAACAAAGTGCTCCTTGTCACTGTGTTGTCATTGGGTCCTTTCAGAGAGAATTTCCTCAGTCTTATACGTGGCTTTTTTGTCCCCCCGTTACCCAGGCTGGAGTGCAGTGACACGATCATGGCTCAATGCAGCCTTGACATCCTTGGCCCAAGCAATCCTCCCACCTCAGCCTCCCAAGTTACTGGACCACAAATGTGCACCACTACACCTAGCTAATATTAATTAATTAATTAGGGAGAGATGGGGGTCTCACTATGTTGCCCAGGCTGGGCTCAAACTATCCTCCTGCCTCAGCTTCTCAAAGTGTTAGGATTATGGTCTTGAGCCACCGTGCCTGGTCTTGAATGTGGTTCTGAGAGGGGGAATTACAGGCCAAGTCAGAGAAGAATCTTCCCAAAGAAAGCCATTTTCACTTCTAATTCCATACAGAGCGACTCCTGGTAAAGGATGTTTCAAGGCCATTGCTAGCCCTTGGAAGTGACAATTATTTTAGAAACACAGTGAGTTTTCTTTTTTCTGCTTAGTGTTCACACCACACTTATCACCCTCACACTTGGTTCCTTATAAAAATCCCAGCTATTTTTAAGGAGAATATTTATTTTTCTAATTTGTAGGCCCAAAGGGCTGAAAGAGGAGTGCAAAGTTATTTCTGAACCTGTTTGACAATAAAATGCCACACCAAAGTCATCCTAAGTGGGAATCATCTGGTATTATTAGCAACCCCCAGGGAGAGATGTGACTTTCTTTTTTGTGTATCCTAGGTCAAGGAGCAAATCAAGGTCCTCTCACTGTATTGAACATCCCTGTTGCACCTTGGAGGCTCTTGGCCTCCAAAAGCCCATCTGCTTAGGAAGCAGGAAGGAGACCCTTTGTGGTCATTGGCTCGAACAACACTCAACGAACCACGACCAATGGGGGTTCCAAGGAAAGGGCCAACCTGTCCAGGGGGCAGGGAGTTCATTCTCTTCCTTCAGAAGTCTTGCCACTCTCATTTGCTATCCCTTTGCCCTTAAATAGAGTCTCCTTTCGGAAAGGAGAAGCTTGACCTAGTAATGTTTCCTGCCTTCCCAAGGACAGTCAGGGCCAGGCCTGGGCTGCGCTGCTTGGGGGCGGGCAGTGATTGATAGAAACCTGCTGCCAGTGTCGGTCTTTCATTCCTGGGTTGCAGGAAATACTGAGGATGGGAATGTACTGCTTGAACTTATCGATCTTGATCTTCACATTCTCTGCTAAGCGCCTGGGTGCAGGCACATCAGACAAGGTCTTGATCAGTTTATACGTTGTCCTCCACATATTCCCTATCTCCTCCGCAATTTGCTCAGCATTCAGTAAGAAGAGGGGTCCTGAAATAGAAGAGTGAGGGAAAGGTCAGACCATCATGTGGATGTTAGTCATGCGTACCTTTAATTCCCTGAACTTAGAGCTGTGCCTCCTGTCGTTTGGAGATTGGAACACATACAGGCTTTGAGGATCTGAAACCTGCACTTAGCCAGTGGAACCTTAGATATGATACAGGACTTTTCTAAGCCTCAACAGTAACTCCTGTGACACAGGGGTAATAATGGATACCCTGGAAGGTGATTGTGGAAATTCAGTGAGATAATATACAGTGGCTAACATAATGCCTGGCATATAATGGATGTACAATTAGCATATCAATAGCTTTTTGTTTTGTTTTGTTTTTGACCAGTTGCAATGGCTTACACTTGTAATCCCAGCATTTGGGGAGGCCAAGGTGGGAGGACTGCTTGAGCCTAGCAGTTTGAGACCAGCCTGGGCAACATAGTGAGACCCCATCTCTACAAAAAATGAGAAGAAAAAGAAAAAAGAAAAAAATTGTTATTATTGGTTTTAGAATCTGCTATAGTAGTAATTAAAAGTGCTTCACAAAAGCCATGAAATATTAACCATCGGGGAAAGGTGAATGGAGATATGAGAGGGAGGCTGAGGCAGGCAGATTGTTTGAGGTCAGGAATTCAAGACCAGCTTGTGCAACATGGTTAAACCTCATTTCCACTGAAAATGCAAAAAATTAGCCAGGCATGGTGGCATGCTCTGTAGTCCCAGCTATTTGGGAGGCTGGGGTGGGAGGATCACTTGAGCCTAGGAGGTGGAGGTTGCAGTGAGCCAGGATAGTGCCACTGCCCTCCAGCCTGGACAACAGAGTGAGACTCTGTCAAAAAATATATGTATTTTAAAAGCAAAAAGTAACACCTCATTGTTTAAACTTACTCCAAAACACTAATTTCCTTCCCCTTCCTTTATTTTGCTAAGAACCTTTAGCATTTGGGTTTCACATCCAGCCAAGACCTTTCCATGCTGCTGCCCCTGCTTGGATATTTCAAATTGGTATTAACTCTTGCTATGTGATGTTGCTAACTTACTCAAAAACACTTCTTCAGGAGTGCTGAAACTAAATCTAACTTCATTAATTTCACATGCTTCATCAACCCAACATTTTTGTTGCGTGATTAAAAATTTAAATTAAAAAAAAGTATCCTTCATGCACCAGGAAATATTGTAGGTGCTGGGCTAGAATAGAAAGGCACCTACGCAACAAGTGAGTAGCCTGTACTTGGGAGGGTTTGGCTGAATTATCACGGTGACTTTCCCAGTAGGATGAATAAAGTAGGTAAGGCTAACACTTCATTGTTCCCACTCTATAGTTGTAAGAGTGAAGCACAAACAGAGTGACTTGCCTGGGTTATTTGCAATCACTCAGGCAAAGAGGAGTAGTAGTAGCATTTCTATTAGAAGCAATTTCCCTCTGGTTATGATTATCTAGAGACAGCCTGAACTGACAAATTTATATCTACAACAAGAGAGAAGAACATAAAATAATCCAGGGATTTTAGACACTGCTATTTGAAGAGCAGTTATGGATCCCTTTATCCACATGACGTGGTAGCTTCTCACCTCATAGCTTATGGAAAGGCTATATTCTGAAATTCTAACTCTGATCTTAAAGGATGAGACAGCAGGTGGAAATTTTTGTAGCCCTGTGGATACAGTCAACTCAGTCAAGATTCAAATATGGAGGTTGCAGGAAATATTAATAAATTCTAGGGTCCTGTCCAGTCCAGAAATTCCAGAGTTCTAAGAAACATTGCTGAAGTCATTCTTCAAGGTTAATGATCTTCAGCCCCATGAATGTAAACAAATAACTTCTAGGCAAAGAAGCAATGTGAGGCCATGCAATTAACCACGTCTGCCTATTCTAACTCCCCACTAAATGATCAAAGGCAGATAATAAAGGGAAAAACATGTGTCTCTACTGGAAATTAAAGAAGGTGCCATCAAAATGTGAGCTATAGGGAGAAATTTCTGTAGGATATTCACAGTAGTTTTCCAAGTTTAGCAGGCATCAGAACTGCCAGGAGGGCTTGTTAAAACACAGATTTCTGGGCCCCATTCCCAGAGTTTCTGAGTCAGGTCTGGAGCGAGGGCTCAAGATTTTGCATTTTTAACACATTCTCAGTTAATGAGAATGCTGCTTTGTCCTGGAACCATACCTTGAAAGCCACTGCAGGGGAAAAGTGGAAGCGACACTCACTAGGAATCCCATTGCAGAACTTGCTGCTTATCCATGGAGAGGGATATGTCTAGCACAGTAACAGCCCTGCCAAAGCTGACTTTTAACAAAGGCAGCTTGATCCCTTGATAAAATATTCCACTCAATAACAGCAGAGTACACATTCTTTTTTATTGCAAATAGAACACTTACCAAGGTGAATCTTATTCTGAGTCATAAAACAAACCTCAATAAATTGAAAAGAAGTAAAATCATGCAAAGTGTCTTTTATGGCCATAATGGAATTAAATTAGAAATAACAATAAAAACATAACAAGAAAATCTCCGGTGACTAGAAAATTAAACAACACACTTATAAATAATCCATAGGTCCTAGAGGAGTCTCAAAGGAAATTAGAAAGCACTTTAAATTGAACAAAATTTGTGAGGGACAACTATAAAGGATAAATTTGTAGCATTAAAAAAGGAGAAATTTCTAAAATAAATCATCCAAGTTTCTACCTTAAGTAACTAGAAAAAGAAGAGCAAGATAAATCAAAGCTAGCAGAAGGAAGGAAATGATAAAAATAAGAACAGAAATCCATTGAAAACAAAAATAATAAGAAAGATTATTGAAACAAAAAGCTGTTTCCTTGGAAAACTAAAATTGATAGGCCTAAAAAAAAGATAAACTTCTAGCAAGACAGGCAAAGAAAAAAGAAAGAAGATGCAAATTACCAATATCAAAAATAAAAGATGGGATATCACTACCAACCTCTCAGACATTAACAGGGTAATAAGGGAATGCTATAAACAACTCAATGTACATAAATTAGACCATTTTTTTTTAAAATGAAGCCATTCTTCAAAAACTACAAACTTCCAAAAACTTATTCAAGATAAACTAGAAAACCTGAATAGTTTTATAACTATTGAAGAAATTGAATTTATAGATAAAAAATTTCCAAAATATAAAAACTTCAGAATCAGATGGTTTCACTGGAAAATTCTGCCAAACATTAGAAGAAGAAAAAAATAACAGCAAAACCTGTATAATCTCATCTAAAAAATAGAAGAAAACATTTCCTAACTTATTTTAACAGGTCAGTGATACGCTGATACAAAAACCACACAGATACATTACAAAAAAAAAAAAAACCCTACAGACCAGTATCTCTCACAGACACTAAAATTCTCAACAAAATATTAGGCATGGAAACTGAATCCAGCAACACATGAAAATAATAATACACCATGTCCAAGTAGGGTTTATCATTGGAGTGCAAGGCTGGTTTAATATTTGAAAATCAAACAATATAATATACAGTATTAACAGCCTCAAAATTTTCTGTAATTTGCAACAACATGGATGGAACTGGAGGACATTATGCTAAGTGAAATAAGCCAGGCACAGAAAGACAAATACTGTATGATCTCACTATTTGCAGAATCTAAAAATGTCAATTTCATAGAAACAGAGAGTAGAAAGGCAGTTACCAGAGGCTTGGATGAGGCAAAGGGATGGGGAAGGAAAGGAAAGATGTTGATGAAGGGTACAAAGTTTCAGTTATACTGGAGAAATAAATTTTAGTAATCTATTGTAGTGCATGGTGACTGCAGTTAATAATTATTGTATATTTCAGCTGGGTGAGGTGGCTCATGCCTGTAATCCTAGCACTTTGGGAATCAGAGGCGGGTGGATTGCTTGAGCTCAGGCGTTCAAGACCGGCCTGGGCAACATGGCAAAATCCTGTCTCTACCAAAAATACAAAAAATTAGCTGGGTGTGGTGGTGTGCATCTGTAGTCCCAGCTACTCAGGAGGTTGAGGTGGGAGGATCACTTGAACCTAGGAGGCAGAGATTGCAGTGAGCCGAGGTTACGTCACTGTGGTCCAACCTAGGTGGCAGAGCGAGACCCCATCTCAAATAATAATAATAATAATGTCTTGTATATTTAAAAGTTCTTAAAGAATAGATTATAAATGTTATCATCAGAAAAAAAATGATAAATTGGTGAGGGTGTGGATATGTTAATTAGCTTGATTTAATCTTTCTATGATGTATACATAGATCAGAATATCACATTGAACCCCATAAATATACATAACTACTTGTCAACTAAAAATAAATAAGTAAAAATTGGAAAAAAAAAAGAAATAGAAAGAAAATCCACCAGAATCAACAAAACAAACTCCTGGAACTAATAAGTGATTGCAGCAGGATCACAGGACACAATATTAACATTAAAAAGTCAATCACTTTCCAAGATAGCATCAATGAACAGTGGAATTTGAAATTAAAAGCATAGCCCAGGCACAGTGGCTCATGCCTGTAATCCCAGCACTTTGGGAGGCCAAGGCAGGTGGATCACGAGGTCAGGAGTTCGAGACCAGCCTGACCAACATGGTGAAACCCTGTCTCTACCAAAAATACAAAAATTAGCCGGGTGTGGTGGCATGTGCCTATAATCCCAACTACTCAGGAGGCTAAGGCAGGAGAATCACTTGAACCCAGGAGGTGGAGGTTGTAGTGAGCCAAGATCACACCATTACACTCCAGCCTGGGTGACAGAATAAGACTCTGTCTCAAAAAAGAAAAAAAAAAGAAATTAAAAGCATAATACTATTTACATTGGCACCCTAAAAATTAAATTTGTACTTGGGCAAAAATCTACCAAAATATTTGCAAGATCTGTATGAGGAAAACTACAAAAAACTCTGATGAAAGAAATCAAAGAAGATATAAATAATGGAGAGATATTCCATAATCATGGATAGGAAGACTCAATATTGTTAAGATGCCAGTTCTTCCCAACTTGATCTATAGATTCAACACAATCCCAGTAAAAATCCCAGCAAGTTATTTTGTGGATATTGACAAGCCGATTCTAAAATTTACACAGAGAAGTAAAAGATCCAGAATAGCCAACACAATATTGAAGGGGAAGAATAAAGTCAGAGGACTGATACTAGCCAGCTTCAAGAGTTACTATAAAACTATTGTAATCAAAAAAGCGTGGTATTGGCAAAAGAAAGTCACATAGATCAGTGGAACAGAATACATAACCCATCCAAAAATAGAACCACACAAATATAGTCAACTGGTCTTTGATAAAAGAGCAAAGGCAATATAATAGAGAAAAGATAGCCTTTTCAACAAATAAAGATGAAAAAATTGGACATCTATATACACACACAAAAAAAGAATCTAGACACGGATCTTACACCCTTCACAAAAATTAACTCAAAATGGATCATAGACTTAAATCTAAAATGGAAAACTATAAAATTCCTAGAAGATAACATAGGAGAAAATATGGATGACCTTGGATTTGAGAATGGCTTTTTAGTTACAACACAGAAGGCACAACACATGGGAAAAAAATGATAAACTAGGAATGAAAAGATTCTCCCCTGTAAAAGATGTTGTCAAGAGAATAAAAAAGGCACAGTCTGGAAGAAAATATTTGCAAAAAAAAAAAAAAAAAAAAAAAAAAGATCTGATAAATGACTATTATCTAAATATACAAAGAATTTTTAAAAATTCAACAATAGGAAAACAAAAACCTGAAACTTAAAAATAGGCAAAAGCTCTGAACAAATACCTAATCTAAGAAGATATACAAGAGGTGAATAAGCATATGAAAAGATGTTCAATATCATTGCCATTAAGGAACTACAAATTAAAAAACAATGAGTGGCTGGGTATGGTGGCTCATGCCTGTAATCCCAACACTTTGGGAGGCCAAGGTGGGAGGATTGCTTGAGCCCAGGAATCTGAGGCCACCTGGGGCAAATTAGTGAGACCCTCATCTCAATTTAAAAACAATAACAACAACAATAGCCAACAACAGATACCACTACACACCTATTAAAATGGTCAAAACTCAAAACACTGACAACACTAAATGCTGGCAAGGATGTGGAGCAACAGGAAATGTCATTTATATTGGTGGAAATACAAAACGGTACAGCAACTCTGAAAGACAGTTTGGCCGTTTCTTACAAAACTAAACATATTCTTATCATATAATCCAGCAATTGTGCTTCATAGTACTTACCTCAAAAAGTGAAATTCAAAAACATACATCATTTACAATAGCTCCAAAAAAGGAAATATTTATGTATAAATTTAACAAAACATGCATAGGAGCTGTATGCTGAAACCTGCAAAACACTGATAAAAAGAAGTAAAAGGAGAACTAAATAATTGAAGAGATGTAAAGTGTCCATTGATTGAAAGACTCAATGTAATAAAGATGTGAATTCTTTCCAAATTTATCTATAGATTTAAAACATTTCCAACAAAATCCCAGCAGAGTTTTTTGGTATGTATAGACAAACTGATTCTCAAATTTATGTGGAAAAATAAAGGGACTAAAATACTCAAAATAAAATTTTAAAAAGAAAAATGAAGTTAGAAGAATCACACTATGTGATTTTAAGACTTTCTATAAAAATACAGTTGTCAAGTTGATGTGGTATCAGTGAAAGGCTTGACATATAGATTGGCAGAACAGAATAGAGTCAAGACATCAACCCACGAAGATATGGACAACTGATTTTTGACAAAGATACAATTAAGTGGATAAAAATTTTTTTTTCCCAATTACTGGAACCATTGGACATTTATATGTAAGACAATGAACTTGAACTAAGCCTCGTATTTTAAAAAAATTAACTCAAAATGGACCATAGGTCTAAATGTAAAACATAAAACCACAAAAAATCTAGAAGAAAATATAGGAGAATATCTTCATGACCAGGGTTAGGCTAAGAGTCCTTAGAGATGATACCAAGAGCACAATCCATAAAAGAAAAATTGATACGTTGGACGTCATCAAAGTTAAAACCTTTTTCTCTGTGAAAGACACTATAAAGAGAATAAAAAAACAAGCCATGGACTTGGAGAAAATATTTGTAAATCACATAATCTCACAAAATTTATAAAGACCTCACAAAACTCAACAGTAAGAAATCAAACAACCAATTAAACAAATGGGTAAAAGACTTGAACAGACACTTCACCAAAGAGGATATACAAATGACAGGTATGCACATAAAGAAATGTTCAAGATCATTAGGCATTGGGGAAATGCAAATTAAAATCATAATGAGACATCACAACTACTTATGAGAATGGCTAAAATAAAAAAATACAGGCCAAGCACAGTGGCTCACACCTGTAATCCCAGCACTTTGGGAGGCCGAGGCAGGTGGATCACCTGAGGTCAGGAGTTTGAGATCAGCCTGGCCAACATGGTGAAACCCCGGCTCTACGAAAAATGCAAAAATTAGCCAGGTGTGGTGGCATGCTCCTGTAATCCCAGCTAAATGGGAGGCTGAGGTGGGAGAATTGCTTGAACCCAGGAGGCGGAGGCTGCAGTGAGCCGAGATCACACCACTGTACAAAGTATGACAAAGTGACACTCCATCTCAAATATATATATATATATGGACAATAATACCCAGTGGCTGGTTGATATGGTTTGGCTGTGTCCCCATTCAAATGTCATCTAGAATTATAGTTCCCATAATCCCCACATGTTGTGGGAGGGATCTGGTGGGAGGTAACTGAATCATGGGGTCGAGTTTTCCCATGCTGTTCTCATGATAGTGAATAAGTCTCATGAGAACTGATGGTTTTATAAAGCTCAGTTCCCCTGCACATGCTCTCTTGCCTGCCGCCATGTAAGAAGTGCCTTTGCTCCTCCTTCACCTTCCACCATGGTTGTGAGGCCTCCCCATCCAAGTGGAACTGTGAGTTCATTAAACTTCTTTTTCTTTACAAATTACCCAGTCTCAGGTATTTCTTCATAGCAGTATGAAAATGGACTAATACACTGATGAAGAGGTGGAACAACTGGAATTATCACACATTGGTGAGGGATGCACAACGGCACAGCCACTGTGGAAAACAAAAGTTTGGCATTTTCTTATAAACTTGCAAATATACTTTAAATATAATTCAGCAATCCACTGCTGGGCATTTACCCTAGAGAAATAAAAACTTACATTGACACAAAAACGTTGACATAAATATTTACAGCATCTCTATTTATAATAGTCTGAGAGTGAAAACAGTGGGTAAATGGTTAAGCTGGTGTATCCATAGAATGGGATACTACTCGCAATAAAAGGAAATGACCTATTGCTACATCCAACAACTCGGATGAATCTTAAAGGCAGTGTGCTGAGTGAAGGAAGCAGTCTTGAAAGATTGCATACTGTATCATTCCATTTGTAGGAGGAGCCTCAAAAGGACAAAACTATAGGAACAATGAAGAGATCAATAGTTGCCAGGGGTTACAACTGGGGGGAGGATTTGACCACAAGGAGACAGTCCAAAGAAATTTATTGAGTTGATGAAATTGCTGTTTTCTGATTGTAGTGATGTTTATATGAAAGTCAACAACTGTTAAAATTCATAGAAATGTATGCCAAAAATGTCCATTTTAATGTATATAAATTTAAAAATAAAATGTAAAATGTTTTTAAAATACAATACCTATTTCTAATAAAAACACTTGGTAATTTATAAATACTGTTTTTTTTGAGACAGGGTCTCGCTCTGTCTCCCAGGTTGGAGTGCAGTAGTGCCATCACAGCTGATTGCAGCCTCAACCTCCCAGGTTCAAGCGATGCTCCTGCCTCAGCCTCCTGAGTAGCTGGGACTATAGGTGCACACCACCATGCCCAGCTAACTTTTTCATTTTGTTTTTAGTAGAAATAAGGTCTTGCTAAGTTGCTCAGGCTGGTCTTAAACTCCTGAGCTCAAGTAATCCTTCTACCTTGGCCTCCCAAAGTGCTGGGATTACAGGTATGAGCCACCATGACTGGCTTTCTTGTGTTTATAAATACTGAAGCACTAGAAACTTGCTAAAGGCTCAAACCTAAGGGTCTCTGATTTTTTTTTTTTTTTTTGAGACAAGGTTTTGCTCTGATGCCCAAGTTGGGGTGTAGTAAGCAGATCATAGCTTACTGCAGCCTTGATCTCCTGGGCTCAAGCGTTCCTCCCATCTTAGCTTCTCGAGTAGCTGAGACTACACGTGCACCATCACACTTGGCTGATTTTTTATTTTTTGTAGAGACAGGGTTCTCACTATGTTACTGAGGCTGGTCTCGAACTCCTGGGCTCATGCAATCCCCCTGCATCAGCCTCTCAAAGTGCTGGGACTACAGGTGTGAGCCACTGCACCCAGACAAGGATCTCTGATTTTGTCCTCTGTTCTTCAACACCCTCCACAGGTGTTATCATTCATGGCTTTGATTGTAATCTACACATCAATTATTCCCCAACATAAATCCCACCCGCCAAATCTCTCTCCTAAAATCCACACTGATACACTCAATTGCTATTTAATATTCCCATTTGATTGTTTCCAGGTGCCTCAAACTCAATGTATTCAAGTTGATGGGTTTTTTTTTATTTGTTTGTTTTGTTTTGTTTTTTTCCCAACAAATCTGTCACTTCTCTTTTTCAGTGATGGTAATACCAACCAAATTGCCTGAGCCAGTCATCTGGAAGTTGGTTCTTTGCTGTTATTATCCTCACTCATCCCTGAAGTAAGAGAACTAAGTCTTGGAGAAGCTAAGTAACTTTTCCCAAAGGTCAGCTAGTAAGTTCTTTAAGCATTAAAATTCTTACCTCTGAGGCAATAAAATTCTTACCTTTGAGAGGATAGTAACCTCTTCCTCCCTGCCCCTTAACCCATATCGGATCAATCATTAAGTCCTGTTGATTCCAACTCCTCAATACCTTTCTGGACCCCAGATCCTAGAGTAAAAGGTAGTTTACAAATGTCTATGGCACCCTGGCACCCTGGTCTTTCCTGAAGCAGCACCATCGTGAAACTGCCATCTGTTCTCCTACCATCTGCAAATCTAAGTCGTGACTCTGGGTGGCTGCCTATTGTGTTTTACCCTGGAAATAGATCTGGCTCTTTCTCCACCTTCCATTTTTATTATCACATCAGATAATTTTGACTGTGGCTGCCTTAATCTGGAGTGTCAGAATCTGATTAAAAGTCCAGCCAGATTCTTAAGTGCAAACCATATTTCAGAAGTGACTGGGTGGATCCTCCACCTCATCCCCATCTGTCCCAGCAGAGTGAGATCACCACATACCATTCATCCATTCCTCTGACTTGATGCTGAACTCATAGGCTGTCGACCACAGCTGCTCATAAGGTACTTTGTTCTTCAGCATGGCCTGCAGAAGAGGGTAAGTACTCTTCTCCTTTTCCAATAGCTCTTCCTCCTTATTGATCAACTGCAGGGCAAAAGGAGATGCTGTTTATGGGATGGGTTGTTCTCCTAAGCCCTCGAAGACACCAGGGCAAATTCCTCAGTGCCTTGAAAACCAAGTGGAGGGAAATGCTTATTCATCTGGAGAGTAAGAGAGGAAACTAAAGCATGAACTCAAGCAAGAATGTCCCTCTGCCACCTCCAAGGACCTTGGCAGCTGAGGTCTGTCTGGTTGAAACTGTAGGATAATCAGCTACTTGCCCTATCATCTCTGTTTCCACTCTATGACAGCCATATCTCCGTTTTCATAATTTTCATATGTACTTTAGCTACATATATGATGTTACCTCCTTGTACTGACTTGCCTCAGAAGTAAGAATTTTAATGGTTATTAAAGAACTTACTAGCTGATCTTTGGGGACAGTTACTTAGCTTCTCCAAGACTTAGTTCTCTTACTTCAGGGATAAGTGAGGATAATAACAGTACCTAACCCAAAGATGTGTTACAGGCATTAAGTGAAATATTGCATATGAAGCTCTTGACCATTGCTAAGCACATAATAAATGTTCAATAAATGTGAACAATTACCTTACTATAATTTCTTCTTTGGATGCTCAGTAACTAATAAAGGGAAAAGTCTGGTGTCATGAAGGGATATGGGAAAAGGTAGTTGAAAGTACCAGTGAGCCAGGTGTGGTGGCTCATGCCTGTAATCCCAGCACTTTGGGAGATGAGGCAGGTGGATCACTTGGGGTCAGGAGTTCAAGACCAGCCTGGCCAACATGGCAAAACTCTCTATTAAAAATACAAAAAATGAGCTGGGCATGGTGGCACACGCCTGTAATCCCAGCTACTTGGAAGGCTGAGGCAGGAGAATCACTTGAACCCAGGAGGTGGAGGTTGCAGTGAGATGAGGTCACATTACTGCACTCCAGCCTGCGCAACAGAGTGAGACCTTGTCTCAAAAAAAAAAAAAAAAAAAAGAAAAGAAAAAAGAAAGTACCAATGAAAGAACTGGCCAATGAGTTAACCAATACTATCCACCTAGTAGATGCTATTAGGAAATAGGAAATTCACAACCAAGGATCAGAACCAATAGACCAGTACAGTGTCATAAGTCCCCATCTCAAGATCCCAAACCTCAAACTCTGCAAACGCCCGATTTAGGTTCTTTGAAAGCTCATTAAGCTTTTCAACATTGTGCTTCATTTCTTCTGTAGTCATCACTTCGCGCTTCCTAAAACTTTCCAGTTCTCTGTGGTAGCCCTCAAGTCTCAACTCAAATTCTGAGCATCTGAAAATAAAGACAGCCTGGTTACCTTTGGACTTTGCATTTTGTGCACTTTCAAAACATCAGCACTGCTTGCCCATATTTAAGCCTGCAGACAATTTGATCAGTTACCTGCAGATTTCCTCCCCCAATACTCCCAACTCCATCTTTCTCTCTCTCTCTCAAGATAAATGAAGATGAAAAAATAAGTTAAACTACCTATAAGACCACCTCCCAGAAATCGAGCTGTTGTGAGCCTGTTGGTGGTTAAACATTTCCAGATATTTTCCTGTACAGGTAAATACGTATAAGATATATGTACACGTATACATACTGTTTATTCATTCAGCCATTAGACATTTATTATTGAGTGCCTAATATATTCTATAACTGCCCTAGGCATCAGGAATATATTTGCGAAGTATGCTATTAAGTTCTCTACCTTCATGGAGCTTCTATTTTAACTGAGGGAGACCTAGACAATAGACATGGATGGATGGATGGATGGATGGATGGATGGATGGATGGACAGATGGATGGATGGATGAATGGATGGATGGTTGGATGAATGGATGAATAAATCCATAGACAGGACAAACAATAAAATATTTCTGTTAGTAATAAATGCTCTGAAGAAAATAAAATAGGGCAGAATGACTAGCAGACGGAAGTGGAGGGCTACTGTAGCTACAGTGACCAGGAGAGACCTTTCCAAAGATTTATCAACTTCATCCATATTATCAACAAAGCAGGTCTCAATGAGAACTGCTCCCTTTTTCTAATGAGGTAGAATAATATAGTGTGAAGTGGACAGGGTCTTGAGACAAACAAGCTAGCTTCAAATTCCCACCTTGCCACTTAGTAGCTATGTAGTCTTGGGAAAGTCACTTAAACTCTCTGTGCCTCGGGTAGATAAAACAAGGATAGAAAAAATGCCAGCTTAATAGTTAAAGTCAATAAGAACAACAATAACAAAAAAAAGCTCAGAATTGAGCCTGGTATACAATAGTCAATACATAAGTGTTTGCTCACATTCACTAAAATGTAAACTCTATAAATAGTTGATTTTTACTTATTTATTAATTTTTACCCAGCCCTGTTCAAGGAAATAAATATGTTTCTTGTCTCCTTAATTCCTTTTAGTGTCTTCAGCAGTTAGACCATCTGATACATGGCAAATAATCAATACTCTTCAAACAAATAAGGGAACTTGTCATTGAGATCAGCTATAGTGACATTTCATAAATTTGGTTATCCTAAGAATGCTTAATTCTGTTATGGCAGTTTTAAAGTTGCTTTTTTCTTAAACATGATTTAGAGAATTAATTTTCAAGTGGTTTGAGTCTCTCTCTCTCTCTTTATCTCTTTCTTTCTGGAGTGCAGTGGCACAATCTCGGCTCATTGTAACCTCTGCCTCCCAGTTTTAAGTGATTCTCCAGCCACAGCCTCCCAAGTAGCTGAGATTATAGGTGCCCGCCACCATGCCCAGCTAATTTTTGTATTTTTCATAGAGATGTGGTTTCACCATGTTGGCCAGGCTAGTCTCGAACTCCTGACCTCAGGTGATTCGCCCACCTTGGCCTCCCAAAGTGCTGGGATTACAAGCATGAGCCACATATTCCGGCCTCCATTCCTTTTCTCAGCTTTTTATTTTTGTTTTGTAATAAGCTGTAATTTTAGACTCTGGTCAGTGTTCATTTTCAAGAATATCCTTAGTGTAAAAACATTTCATTCATTCACTCATTAAAATGGTGAACATCCACTATAAGCAAGGAACCGTGTTCTATCTGAATCCTTAGGCTTTGGTGAAACACAATGTCGGGTGCTCTCCCTAAGATGTCTTCCCTTCTTCCTCCAGGGTGCCAAAGTGTTTTCCTTTGCCCTTTTATGGCAGAGAGCAGCAGCTCACATCCCTGAGTCATCCATCGTGTAAATATCACATAACTTCCAGAACCACGGAACCTACCACTGAGTTGGATGAAATGATGGGGGAGAGAGGCAATGCTTATTATTCTTCTGTTGTACATGCAATTAGGTGCTGCTAAGTGCCTTTTCACATCATTAAATTCTTTTTGAAGCTCCAAATACTATACTCACATAGAAATCTCTGATGAAAGCAGTTTTGAATTCCTCCCAGAGGGCAACTGCATGTAAGCTCAGTGATTACCTTAAAATATTACTATTATTATTGTTTCTAATTTCTTATAATTGCTAAGTACATTATAGTTTCCAAAGTACTTTCATGTCCCCACAACACACACACATACAAACAACTGCTCCTTGACTTACAATGGGGTTACATCCCTATAAACCTATTGCAATTTGAAAATACTGGAAATTGAAAATTCATTTAATACACCTAACCTACTGAACATCAGAGCTTAGCCTAGCCTATCTTAAATGCACTCAGAACACTCACATTAGTCCACAGTTATCATCTAAGACAAAGCCTGTTTTATAATAAAGTGTTGACTATCCCATGTAACTTATTGTATACCGTACTGAAAGTGAAAAACATAATGGTTGTATGGGTACTCAACATATCACTTTCACACCATCAGAAAGTCAAAGAATCGTAAGTTGAACCATCGTAAGTCAGTGACTAGCTGTGTGTATGTGTGTGTGTATATATGTAAATTCCATACATATTTCATATAAATAAATTCCTATATATATATCCCAATATATTATATTCCATAGAATAATACAATCATTAGCAAATAGTAGGCACTCATGAAATTAGGTTGAATAAGAGTTGTATTTGTGGGACCATTTAGAGTGTAAGGGGAGGATTCTGGCAGGAAATAGAATTCACTCCCATGTTCAAAGAAAGATACTTTAAGGATTACTTGCAGGGGTGAGATATGGATAGGATTAAAGGAACAAATAGCAGACAGTGAGGCACCCAGAGACTAGCATCAGAGGGAAGCCATTAGGACCCCCAGGCTGGGGACAATGGAAACTGGAACCATGGAGGAGGAGGCATTGACATCAGAGGGATGCAGCTACTGCCTCTGAGCCCCAGGGCCAGGCAGGGAGGGAGAGGAGGAAAAGCTTGCTAGCTACTCTCCCACCTCCTGCAGGGCTCTGTGGACAGGGCCCAGCCCGGATCCAACAGACAAGAGAATCCAACACTGCAGATTGGGCATCACCTTCCAGGTGCAGAGCCGGAGGGTGGGGTAGGAACAGCAAATGGAGAATAATCGGCATGGAACCCCAAAACCATTAATGTGGACTGGGAAAATAAAGCCAGATTTCTTGCAGAGGAAGCAAGATTGTTTTCTCATGAGATGGATGGATGCATGAATATGGCTTAATCCATCTCACAGGCTGTTCTCAGGATTAATGCAACATGATGGACATAAGGATTTAAAGGTTCACCGAAGAGAGGGGTGAGCCCAGGGCTGCCCTGCTGAGCCTCTTCTAGAGCCGCCCTCTGCTGGCCCCTGCTGTTAAGAGCTGGGGAACCAGCGGATGAGATCAAGCTGAGAGTCACCCCTCAGAAGGAGACAAGGACACTCTACTCCTCTCGTCATAAATGACAATTGTTCCCATTCCTCACAGAGCCACCCCTCACTCCTCCTAACTTCAACAGCATTTACTGTCTCTAATTGGTCTTGGAGTAATATTCTAAAATCATGCATGCAAAATTGATGCCTTGGAAGTTGAGAAGCGTTTTTCTCCCCACAGAGGTCCCTGTTCAAAGGGAGAAGGAAGCTGATAGTTTTGGGATTCCTACCACGTGCTGTTTACCACCTAAGCACAATCTCAGATCATCTCATTTCATCCTTCAGCACCATGAGAGAGGGTCTGATTCTATCCCGTTCTCCAGATGAGGGGCACAGAGTCTCAAAAAGATGAGCCTTCTGTTTATTTATCTAACAAAAAAAGTGATTTTGCCACCCAAGTTGTAAGTTTACTTATATAACAAACCTGCACATGTACTCCTGAACCTAAAATAAAAGTTAAAATATATTAAAAAGCAAATAAAGAAATTGCTGGGGGAAAATGATTTTACTTTCCTGGTTAGACATAAAAAAGTGGTAGATATATAGAGTGGATACTACTCAGCCATAAAAAGAATGAATTAATGGCATTTGCAGCATCCTGGATGGATTGAAGACTATTATTCTTTTTTTTTTTTTTTTTGAGACAGAATCTCGCTCTGTCACCAGGCTGGTTTCAGCATGTTGGTCAGGATGGTCTCAATCTCTTGACCTCATGATCTGCCTGCCTCGGCCTCCCAAAGTGCTGAGATTACAGGCATGAGCCACTATGCCCGGCCAGGAGACTATTATTCTAGGTGAAGTAACTCAGGAATGGAAAACCAAACATCGTATATTCTCACTCATAAGTGGGAGCTAAGCTATGAGGATGCAAAGGCATAAGAATGATACAATGGACTTTGGGGACTCCAGGGAAAGGGTAGGAGGGGGGTGAGGGATACAAGACTACAAATTGGGTTCAGTGTGTACTGCTCAGGTGATGGGTGCACCAAAATCTCAGAAATCACCACTACTTACTCATGTAACCAAATACCACCTGTTCCCCCAAAAACCTATGGAAAAAAAATCAGTTCCATAGAAAAGGGTGTAGAGGGTGTGTGTGTGGGGGGGGGCAGGGTGGGGGAGTTGGGAGGTATATGGGAATTCTTTGTACTTTCTGCTCAATTTTGCTGTGAATCTGAAACTGCTCTAAAACATAGTCTATTAATTTAAACACAAATCAATTCCTTCCATCAGGCTAAGTTCTGGGCTCCAGGGCCAGTATCCATCCAGGTGGAGGCAGGAAAATACACACACACTCACAAACACACACACACAAATGTTTTGCACTCCCTGGGGAGCACACTTAGGCCACATTTTCCAGGTAGCAACTACATGGGTTGACCCTTCAGCCAAAACTCTCCCATTTGGTGTAGAAATCCCTGCTTTTATCTATTCTTGTCCTTTCTTGTAAGTATTTGCAGGAACTATGGCAGCTCAAGTTGGGAGTGGGAGTTTCTTATGTGAAGGGGACAGGGTAATTGATATGAATCTGCAGGTCATAATCAAAACGTGAACCTGGAGTGGGTGTGTGTGTGTGTAAAACCATGTCCATGGCACTGGCCCACTTCACTTGACATTATTGGATTTGTCAGTATGTCTATATTTTCTATGTCGCTGGATTAAAATCTTTATTTAGCAGCCAAACACACATAGATGTCTAGAACAGAGCATAGCACATCATGAAAATCCGCAATAAATACCAACTGAATTGACAAATAATGAATGAATAAGTGATTACAGCCACATTAGCTCTGAATAAGACCAGCTGCAAAATAGGCAATTTCTCAGCCCCCCTGCCATGCCTTTATTATCTTGATATCTTGATATCTTACAGATCTGTGGTCTCCAATGTAAGGCTGACAATTTCACTATTATTATTGGGGAGGCCGTTATAACATGCCACTAGTTTTGCGTTTTTCTCTCTGCACCACCAAATTCCAATTATTCAAGGCAGGAAGGGAAGACATTAGCAGAGGTTATTACAGTGAAGCAGTCTTAAAGAAAACATCCCTCAGTGGGAAACCAAAGGAAATGCCTTCTCCACCAATTGTTTTCAGACTTCGCCCACACGTTGCCATGGAGTGAGCTGGGGGATGGCTTAGACAGAACCAGGAACCTGCAGCATGGGTGAAGAAGTCAGGTCTCATTTCCAAGACAATCCCAGACTCTCCCGGTACCTTTTAATCAGATCCATTTCTGCCTGATCCCTCTTGTGAAGGAGCAAGTTCCGGCTGTTGTCAAAGATATCTTCAATCTGGTCTGGCCAGAGGAACAGAGTGCTGTTCAATTTGATGTCCTCATCTGCAAAACACATACTGCCTGCTCCAGGACACTGTTTAGCATAGGTCGGGTCAGCATGTGGCGAATTAATTAGACAGAACAAGAGGTCAACAGGAGTGGTGTGGGGGTGGCAATGAACACATGGATGAGTGACAGTGACATTTGTTGAGCACTTACTAAGGGCCAGGCTAGAAGGTAGATGATATTATCATCCTTGTTTGCACAGATGGCAAACACAGCCATTGAGCCTAGTGGTCAAGGTTACACTGCTAGAAGGCATCAGAGAGGAATTCAAATCCAGGTCTAATTCCAAAGCCTGTGTTCTAACCTCTCTGCTTGATTGCCTTCCTAGGCTAGGTCTGAGTCAAGTCAGAAACCCAGATTGATGCTCTCGTTCCACAGTTCAAACTATTTCACTTCATCTGCATGTCGGTTTCCCTTTAGGTTAAATGGCAGTCATGGTATCAAAGCCAAATGCCCTACCCATTTTATGACTCTGGTGAATTAAAATGTCCACCCTGGGTTTCCTTTGTGAATTTCGGGAGGCAGAGCCCACAGTGAGAGTCCACGGTGTATCCAGGGGTCGAGGGCACAGCTCGTGAACATGCAGGTGGATGGTTAGGGAACCACTTTTCACTCCCAGTCCCCATCTCTCCCTCCCATCAACCTCCCCCTGACATCCATACATTGTGAACACCAAGTAATTCACAGGTATTTTCAGATAGAAAATGGCTTGTTGAGAGGTTATTAACTTTTCCTTCAGAATCTGCTTCTCACTTTAAAACTCTAACTTGACCCAACAAACTTTCAAGGAGCCCTGACTATTTTTTTCCTTTTACAATACACAGGAGCATGAAGAAAAGTGTCTCGGCCTCTTCAAAAGTGGGATTGATGAAGATTACAGATGGGCGGCCAGGGGCTGTGGCTCACGCCTATAATCCCAGTACATTGGGAGGTCGAGGCAGGCAGATCACTTGAGGCCAGGAGTTCAAGACTAGCCTGGCCAACATGGAGAAACTCTGTCTCTACTAAAAATACAAAAATTAGTTGGGCGTGGTGGCACGTGCCTGTAATTCCAGCTACTCAGGAGGCTGAGGCATGAGAATTGATGGACCCTGAGAGGCAGAGGTTGCAGTGAGCCGAGGGTGGCACTGCACTACAGCCTGGATGACAGA
Organism: Homo sapiens; assembly: GCF_000001405.40. Lineage (NCBI taxonomy): Eukaryota > Metazoa > Chordata > Mammalia > Primates > Hominidae > Homo > Homo sapiens. The sequence goes on from NC_000016.10 coordinate 21,105,749, forward strand.
GCAAGACTCTGTCTCGACAAAAAAAATAAATAAATAAAAGATTACAGGTAAGTAAAATCTACTCATTTAAAAAAATGATTCTGCATTTGGAAGTGACTTTTCCAGGAACACCAGACACAGATGCCAAGACAGGGATCTAAGAACTGGAGGTCGGCCAGGCCCCATGGCTCACGCCTGTAATCCCAGCACTTGGGAGGCTGAGGCGGGCGGATCATGAGGTCAAGAGATAGAGACCATCCTGGCCAACATGGTAAAACCCCGTCTCTACTAAAAATACAAAAATTAGCTGGGCATGGTGGCACGTGCCTGTAGTCCCAGCTACTTGGGAGGCTGAGGCAGGAGAATTGCTTGAACCCAGGAGGCGGAAGTTACAGTGAGCCTAGATTACACCACAGCACTCCAACCTGATGACAGAGCGAGACTCCATCTAAAAAAAAAAAAAAAAAAAAAAGAACTGGAGGTCAAGTGTCTATCTATGTCTCCTTTGTGTCTAACAAGATTCCTTTTGTGTGATTCAAATTACTGTGGATATGAGTATAAAATTCGTGCCTCTAACATATGGGGGCACTTGAAAGGCAGCTCTTTTATATTTAGTGGTAGAATTCATATAACTATCCTTTTGCTCAACACTTTACCCCTAAATATATAAATACATATAGACTATTTGAAATGTTATATATACAAATATAAAATATACATATAGGTATGCATTTCGATGGTCACACATGGCATTGGACTTACACGGCAAGTCTGCATAGTCCATCAGGAACTCCAGCCGTTCACTTGCATCTCTAAGTTGCCTCCTGAGTTTGAACACAGTGACAGCACTGGATTTCTTTAGGAATTCAATGAGGGATACCAGCTCCTTAGTGTTGGCAGGAACCTCACTGACTTTGTCTGCGATGTGGCTGTACTGATTACAAATGCTACAGAAAAGAAACAGCCATTGTTATCATCATCATCATCACCATCATCACCATCTAAAATGACTTTCTTGTAAGACTCCATGTTCAAAATACATAATTCCTATTTGAAAAAAAAAGAAAATTTTTTTTTAATTTTTTCCCTGCCTGCAAATCCTTGATGGATAATATTCACATGCACACTAAACTCCAGGAATAATAGCAGTTGTAATGATAATAATACCTGTTATGTATTAAGCCATTATGAAGTAGCACACCCCATTCTAATCATTTACATAGATTAACTCATTTAATCCTCACAACAATTCTAAGAGGTAGATACTACTATTATCTATACTTTATAATGGAAGAAAGTGACCCTGAGTAACATTATCGAAAGCAACATGGTATGTGGGTGTCAGAGCCAAGATCTGAACCTGGGTTAATTGACTCCAAAGCTCATACTCTTAACAAATACACCATACTACCTCTCATACACAGAACCTAGATTTAGACCAAAACACCACCACCACCACCAGCAATTCATCACATTTTGTGTTGAAATAGAGCACTAAATTAATTTTTAATCTTTTTTTTTTTTTTTTTTTTTGAGACAGAGTCTTGCTCTGTCACCCAGGCTGGATTACAGTGGTGTGATAGCTCACTGCAACCTCTGCTTCCCGGGCTCAAGCAATTCTCCTGCCTCAGCCTCCCGAGTAGCTGGGATTACAGGTGCCTGCCACCATACCCGGCTAATTTTTGTATTTTAAGTAGAGATGGGGTTTTGCCATGTTGGCCAGGCTGGTCTTGAACTCCTGACCTCAGGTGATCTGCCTGCCTTGGCCTCCTAAAGTGCTGGGATTACAGGCATGAGCCACCGCACCCAGCCTTAATCATTGCTTTTAACAGAACAACAGTAAGTTTATCCTCATGGGCTACAGGTAATCCCTCTTGGCAGAGAAAATGTTCCATTACTGGGACTACCAGGTCTAACTGGCCACTTTTCAAACATAAGACTGAAAAATGATGTTATTATACAGATAATTTGAATATGCTCTAATTTATGCAAAAGCAAATGACTGACGGTCTTGGCATCTTAACTACAATTAGAAGCAAATCATCCGCAATACGTCCACTCCTAGCACAGAGTGGCCCTCAACAAATGTTAGCAATGATACCATAGTTTTGTTATTATTACTTGATCGTGACATGTTTTTTTTTTTCTTTTTTGAGATGGAGTCTTGCTCTGTCACCCAGGCTGGTGCACAGTGGTGTGATCTCAGCTTACGGCAACCTCCGCCTCCTCCCAGGTTCAAGCAATTCTCTGCCTCAGCCTCCCTAGTAGCTGGGATTACAGGCACCGCCCCCACCCACCACCACACCCGGCTAATTTTTGTATTTTTAGTAGAGATGGGGTTTCACCATCTTGACCAGGCTGGTCTTGAACTCCTGACCTCATGATCCACCCGCCTCGGCCTCCCAAAGTGCTGGGATTACAGGCGTAAGCCACTGCGCCCAGCCCTGTTGATGTTATTTTTAAGGCAGACAGAAACTTCAGAAGTCAGCCACCAACCTGGAGTTCAGCTGCCAACCTGGGGTGTCTGCATTCTTAGATATTCCTGGGTTCAGAATGAGGCTCTTATTTTCACTTATATTAAAAAGACCTAAGGACATTATACATTTATTTGGATAAGGATGAATGCACTGATCAACTAAGGCACCATGTTGCTTTGATTTGACAGGAACAAATGGATGATTGCTTAAGGGAAAAAAATGCATGGCTCAAACTTTCCAAAGAAAGTCTCCAAGTAGGCCGGGTGTGGTGGCTCACGCCTGTAATCCCAGCAGTTTGGGAAGCTGAAGTGGGAGTATTGCTTGAGCCAGGGAGTTTGAGACCAGCCTGGGCAAATGGCAAAACTCCATCACTACAAAAAATGCAAAAATTAGCCAGGTGTATTGGTGAGCATCTGTAGACCCAGCTACTTCGGGGGCTGAGGCAGGAGGATGACATGAGCCCAGGAGGTCGAGGCTGCAGTAAGCTTTGATCATGCCACTGCACTCCAGTCTGGGCAACAGAGTAAGACCCTGTCTCAATTTTTTAAAAAGTGTCCGAGTAGTGTGAAGGCTGAAAACCTTTTGCTGTCCTCGTCCCAAACCCATATCCTATAGGCAAAGAAGCTGAAGATACAGGCTGGGTGCGGTGGCTCACCCCTGTAATCTTAGCACTTTGGGAGGCCAAGGCAGGCAGATCACCTGAGATCAGGAGTTTGAGACTAGGCTGACCAGCATGGTGAAACCCTGTCTCTACTAAAAATACAAAACATTAGCCGGGTGTGGTGGCACACACCTGTAATCCCAGCTACTCAGGAGGCTGAGGCTGGTGAATCACTTGAATCTGGGAGGCGGAGGTTGCAGTGAGCCAAGATCATGCCACTGCACTCCAGCCTGAACAACAGAGCGAGACTCTGTCTCAAAAAAAAAAAAAAAAGAAAGAAAGAAAAGAAAAAGAAAAAGAGAAACTGAAGATCCAAGAGACAAGGCCAGCTATTCTGGCTCCAAAACCAAGAATCTGACCTCTTCATCAATGAATGAGAAAGCTGCTTGCACATGGACTTTGAGGTCAAAATGGGTTAATTCCCAGATATGCCACTGCCTAACCTGTCAGAGTCTCAGTGTCTTCATCAACACGATGGGGAAAATAATGAACAACCTCTTAGGGCTGTTGTGAGTTCCTGATTAGATCTATTCTGTGCAGGGTACTTATATGGTGCCTAGATTATACCATGTGCTGGGAAGATGGTCACTAGTATTATTATTAATTTGCTGATGATTTTCTGATATGTATTTTGTAAAACTTATAGTACTATAAAATGCTAAAATTACACATATATGAATAATACAGTATACAATATAATATTAATAGCGGTGATTATTACTAAATCATTTTATTTTACATTTATTTATTCTGAGGTAGGGTCTTGCTCTGTGGCCCAGGCTGGAGTGCAGCGCCTCAATCATAACTCACTGCAGCCTTGACCTCCTGAGCTCAAGTGATACTCCTGCCTCAACTTGCATACCTCTCTCTTTTTTTTTTTTCTTTTTTTTTGAGACAGAGTCTTATTCTGATGCACAGGCTGGAGTGCAGTGGTGTGAACATGGTTCATTGCAGCCTCGACTTCTGGGGCTCAAGTGATCCTCTCGCCTCAGCCTCTTGAGTAGCTGGGACCACAGGCACATGCCACTATGCCTGGCTAATTTCTTAATTTTTATTTTTGTAGAGATGGTATCTTCCCATGTTGCCCAGGCTGGTCTTGAACTCCTGGGCTCAAGCAATCCTCCTGCCTCCACCTCCCAAAGTAAACCCAATCTCATGTTGGGACTATAGACGTCAGCCATGGCACCTGGCCACTAAATCATTTTAGTCTATAGTTTAAAGTGCTTTGAGGAAGAGAGCTAGGATAACATGGAATAACCATTTTCTAACCTTCAAATAGAGACACAGTAGAAGGCAGTTGCCATCTCAGCCAAGCATCCATTACCTCTTTCTGTAACAACACCTATGTATTATCGGGGACCCCCACCCCTTTCAGCTCATGTGGTTTAGGTGGTGTTGACACCCATCCCAGAGATGGGAACACCCAGCCAGATCTAAGCCATCCTCTTGGCCAGTGTTTGATTCAATGTTGTACAAACGACCTAAGTCAGGCCAACCTCACATGGGCCAGGACTTTTCCAAGGATGATAGAAAAAGAAATTTTTTGCCTCCTCTGGATAGGAATCCGGGAGGATGTAAGCCTGGAGCTGCAGAAGCCCATAAACTGGAGAGAACCTGTTAGAGAATGGAGCCAACGTGGAGGAAAGCCAAGCAGAGAGAGAGGAATTGCATCCTAATTGCAGCATTGAGGGCCTGAAGCTAGAAACCCTAAACTTTTCAACATGTGAGCCACAAATTCCCTTTTTAACCCAAGCTAGTCTGTTTGAGCTTCTATCCATTATAACCAAAAACATCTTGTCTAACACGTAGTTGTCAGTAAAATAAAGGCATAATATAGAGTTTAAGATTGAACAATGGAACCAAACATGGTGGCTCACACCTGTAGTCCCAACAGACTTAGGAGGTTGAGGCAGGGGGATCACTTGAGCCTGGGAGGTCGAGGCTGCCATGAGCTATGATCGCGCCACTACTGCACTCCAGCCTAGGGGACAGAACAAGACCATGTGTCTAAAAAAGAGAAAGAAAAATGATATGCAAATAGAGGCAGGAGGATTGCTTGAATCTAGGAATTTGAGGCTACCGTGCACTGTGACTGTACCTGTGAATAACCACTACAATCCAGCTTGGACAACATAGCAAGACCCTGTCTCTGAAAACAATTAGAAAATTCGCCAGCCATGATGGTGGATGCCTATAGTCCTAGCTACTCAGGTGGCTGAGGCAAGAGGATTGCTTGAGCCCAGGAGTTCGAGGCTACAATGAGCTATGATCAGGCCACTGCACTCCAGATAGAGTGAAACCTCCTTTTGAAAAAGAAAAAGATTGAACAACAGAATTCCCGGACCTATACAGCAGAATTCTGCCTAGGAGTGATTCTAAGGAAAATGCGCCTGTAAGCACTTTGTGTTTCAAAATATGTGCTAGATGAACAGTGAGAAGGGCCTGTGACCTCAGACAGACAAGCCCAGGAAGCAGTTTGCATTCTCCTGAATTTGCCTGCAAGAAGACAAAAGCTTCAGGATCAGAGACAAACTGCTAACAAATGCCCTCCACCCGCCTACTCCAACCCCCATGTCGCTTTCTCTTGACTGTTCACCTCCTAGCCTGAACCTGAATTCCTCACTACCCTTACTTAGGGGCAGAAAAAACTTGATCTAGAAAATAATCTGTTCATTGCTGGAAGGTGCAAGTTCTGGTCACTTTTTCGTCTCCAGTTGGTGCCAAATACCATTGCTATTTGTCTGCACAGAATTACAATACCTGGTATTGGTGTCTCGGTTTACATCCACTTGGAATTGAATCAGATGGTCTTTAAGATTTTGAGCTCGCTCACAGAGATCATGATTTAGGGCCGTAGCATCAAGGCAGAACATGGCTAAAGGCACGGTGATGTTCATGGATGCAATTTCATTTCTCCGTTTCTTTATGGCATTGATCTTCTGCAGAAAGGAGCACATTCAGTAGCTTGATTTGCCCTTGAGCCTCTCCCACTTGCCCCCAGCCTAACCCCTGGCCAACCCTAGTCCAATGCTGAGCATGGTCTATGCACCAAAGAGACACTAACTGCTCATTGGATTGTCTGCAGCACATGTCACCAAGGTATAAAATCTCAAGTGGCATTTCCTACCGTCACAAAATCATCAATGTCATGATTTTCTTTCAGGAACGCAGCGATGTTTTGCTCTGCCGTGTTATCCAATAAGTCAACATACTTTTTGTAGACATTTAAATATCTTCCATATTGAAGGGTGTGAAATCAAACACACAAATATAAGTCAACCAAATCAGATGAGTCAGAGTGGCAAATGAAGACATAGTAGCATTTTAAAAAATGTAGCCCAAGCCAGGAAAGAGAACTATAATGTGGCAAAAGTTTCATTAAACAGAGAACTCAGAATTTTGGCTCTGATTTTCAGTTTCACCACTTCCTAGCAGTGTAAACTTAGACAAGATATTTCAGTTTTTCAAGGATGGGTGTTGTATTAGTCCATTTTCATACTGCTGATAGAGACATACTCGAGACTGGGAAGAAAAAGAGGTTTAATTGGACTTACAGTTCCACATGGCTGGGGAGGCCTCAGATCATGGTGGGAGGCAAAAGACACGTCTTACATGGCAGTGGCAAGAGAAAATGAGGAAGAAGCAAAAGTGGAAACCCCTGATAAACCATCAGATCTCATTAGACTTATTCACTATCATGAGAATAGCACAGGACAAAACAGCCCCCATGGTTCAATGACCTCCCCCTGCGTCTTTCCCACAACACGTGGGAATTCTAGGAGATACAATTCAAATTGAGATTTGGTGGGGACACAGCCAAACCATATCATTCTCTCCCTGGCCCCTCCAAATCTCATGTCCTCAAATTTAAAACCAACCACACATTCCCATGCTGCCCAAGACCATGGGAACCCACCTCTTGCATCAATATAACCTGGATGTGAGACCTGGAGTCAAAGGAGATCATTTTGGAGCTTTAAAGTTTGACTGTCCCACTGGATTTTGGACTTGCATGGGCCCTGTACCCCTTTGTTTTAGCCAATTTCTCCCATTTGGAATGGCTGTATTTACCCAATACCTGTACCCCCATTGTATCTAGGAAGTAACTAACTTGCTTTTGATTTTACAGGCTCATAGGCAGAAGGGACTTGCCTTGTCTCAGATGAGACTTTGCACTGTGGACTTTTGGGTTGGTGCTAAAATGAGTTGAGATTTTGGGGGACTAATGGGAAGGCATGGTTTGATTTGAAATGTGAGGACATGAGATTTGGAGGGGCCAGGGGCAAAATGATATGGTTTGGCTGTGTCTCCACCAAATCTCAACTTGAATTGTATCTCCCAGAATTCCCACTTGTTGTGGGAGGGACCCAGGGGGAGGTAGTTGAATCATAGGGCTGGTTTTTTCCCATGTTATTCTCATGGTAGTGAATAAGTCTGGTGAGATCTGATGGGTTTACCAGGGGTTTCTGCTTTTGCTTCTTCCTCATTATCTCTTCTGGCAACACCTACACAAACATACCCAGGATTAATACTTTGTATCCCTCAATCCAATCAAGTTGACACTCAGTATTAACCATCACAGTTGTCTTTAATTTTATTTTATTTTATTTTTTGAGATAGACTCTCACTGTAACCCAGGCTGGAGTGCAGTGCTGTGATCTCAGCTCACTGCAATCTCCTCCTCCCAGCTTCAAGTGATTCTCTTGCCTCAGCCTCTGGAGTAGCTGGGATTAGAGGCATGTGCCACCACACCCAACTAATTTTGGTATTTTTAATAGAGACAGAATTTTGTCATGTTGGCCAGGCTGCTCTCAAATTCCTGGCCTCAAGTCATTTGCCCACCTTGGCCTCCCAAAGTGCTAGGATTACAGGCATGCATCACCAGGCCGGGCCCAATGTCTTTAATTTTAAGTGGAAATGATCATTAACACCTCATAGGATTATTGTAATGCTTAACTGTAATAAAGCACACACAAATGAATTAATGCTGTGCCTGACATACAATGAATGTGCTACAAATATTACGATAGTCCCTCCTTACCCTTGGGGATATGTTCCAAGACCCCCAGTGAATGCCTGAAACCGCAGATAGTACTGAACCCTTTATATACTGTTTTTTCCTATACACATATATGTATTTATGATAAAGTTTAATTTATAAATTAGGCACAGCAAAAGATTAACAATAACTGAAAATAAAATGGAACATATAACAATATAATGTAAAAATAAAAGTTATATGAATGTGGTCCCTTTCTCTGTTTTTCTCAAAATAGCTTGATATTTTCCAACCTTAGTTGACCTCGGGTAGCTGTAACTGCAGAAAGCAAAACCGCAGACAAAGGGGACGCCTGTGATTCCTATCCCTTCTTCAAGTCCCAAAATTCTAAGCCTAAATCTTAAGATGAAAATCTAGGACTAATTAACCTAAAATCTATTAAATAAAATCAAAATTTTCTCTGCCTGTAATCAAATGACACAAAAATGGCTGGACAGTTTCCCCAAAATTGGAGGATGTGTTTGGGATGGTCTGGTTTAAAATAAGTTTGAATTAAAATAAAGATGATAGTGAGTAAGCAGAATTAACTTTGTGGGACTCAGTGGCATGCTTCCAAGAGGTGATCAACACTTTAGAGACTCTGAAACTGAGATGCAATGAGAAATCCGTGGAACTGTCAATCCAGAAAGACAAACAACCCCATCAAAAAGTGGGCGAAGGATATGAACAGACACTTCTCAAAAGACATTTATGCAGCCAAAAGACACATGAAAAAATGCTCATCATCACTGGCCATCAGAGAAATGCAAATCAAAACCACAATGAGATACCATCTCACACCAGTTAGAATGGCGATCATTAAAAAGTCAGGAAACAACAGGTGCTGGAGAGGATGTGGAGAAATAGGAACACTTTTACACTGTTGGTGGGACTGTAAACTAGTTCAACCATTGTGGAAGACAGTGTGGTGATTCCTCAAGGATCTAGAACTAGAAATACCATTTAACCCAGTTGATCCCATTACTGGGTATATACCCAAAGGATTATAAATCATGCCGCTATAAAGACACATGCACACGTATGTTTATTGTGGCACTATTCACAATAGCAAAGACTTGGAACAAACCCAAATGTCCATCAATGATAGACTGGATTAAGAAAATGTGGCACATATACACCATGGAATACTATACAGCCATAAAAAAGGATGAGTTCATGTCCTTTGTAGGGACATGGATGAAGCTGGAAACCATCATTCTCAGCAAACTATCACAGGCACAAAAAACTGAACACCACATGTTCTCACTCATAGATGGGAATTGAACAATGAGAACACTTGGACACAGGAAGGGGAACATCACACACCGGGGCCTGTCATGGGGTTGGGGGATCGGGGAGGGATAGCATTAGGAGATATACCTAATGTAAATGACGAGTTAATGGGTGCAGCACACCAACATGACACATGTATACATATGTAACAAACCTGCACGTTGTGCACATGTAACCTAGAGCTTAAAGTGTAAAAAAAAAAAAAAAAGTAGAAAGAAAGACAAAACGTGCCAGGCAAGGTGGCTCACACCTGTAATCCCAGCACTTTGGGAGGCCGAGGTGAGTGGATCACCTAAGGTCAGGAGTTTGAAACCAGCCTGGCCAACATGGTGAAACCTTGTGTCTACTAAAAATATAAAAATCGGCTGGGCGTGGTGGCACATGCCTGTAGTCCCAACTACTTGGGAGGCTGAGGCAGGAGAATTGCCTGAACCCAGGAGATGGAGGTTGCAGTGAGCTGAGATCATGCCACTATACTCCAGCCTGGGTGACAGAGCGAGATGCCATCTCAAAAAATAATAAAATAAATAAAATAAAATAAAATAAAATAAAAATAAAATAAAATAAATAAAATAAAATAAAATAAAATAACTGTGTGTCTAAGAGTCCATGAATAGGGAAAACAGAGGTTTCAAATAGAATCTCCCAAATCAAATTCACGAGGGCAGGGCTTCCAAATATGAGGCCATGATTTTTTGACTAGGTTAGCAGTTGTTCTCAACTGGTGGGGACTTTTGGCCACACCTGAAGACATTCTTGGCTGTCACAACCAGGGGATTCCTGCCGGCATGCATAATTCCTACAAGGATTCTGCTAAACAGCCCACCACGCACAGGACAGCCCCCACAATATAATTTTCCAGTCAAAAATGTCAGTAGAGCTGCAGTCCAAAAACTCTGGGTTAGCGTGACCATATCTCTTGGTTTGCCTGGGACAGTCCAGGTTTATACCTGTTGTCCCATGGTAATTGTTAACAACACTCTTTTCACTCGTAAATTGTCTCACTTTGGAAGCTATTTACAGGATCACCCTAAACTAGTGTGATATGGTTTGGCTGTGTCCCCACCCAAATTTCATCTTGAATTGTGGTTCCCATAATCCCCACGTGTTGTGGGAAGGACTCGGTGGGAGGTAATTTAATCATGAGAGCGGTTACCCTCATGCTGTTCTCGTGACAGTGAGTTCTCACGAGATCTGATGGTTTATAAGAGGCTTTTCCCTCCCCCTTTTGCTCAGCACTTCCTCTTCCTGCTGCCACGAGAAGAAGGATGTGTTTGCTTCCCCTTTTGCCACGACCGACCGACCATAAGTTTCCTGAGGCCACCCCAGACCTGCAGAATTGTGAGTCAATTAAGCCTCTTTCTTTTGTAAATTACTCAGTCTCAAGCATGTCTTCATTAGCAGCGTGAGAACGGACTATACATAGTGACTGCTCACGTGTGCAGCTGTGAGATGTTTTACAGTGTGATGATTAAAGGACATGGCCTGTGGGTTCAGATAACTGATTCTCGATCCCCAAATCCAAAAAGTTCTGAAAACAGACAGTTGCCTCAAAATTCACTTGGTAGCAAAAGTTGGCCTGAACAGATATGAGGCTATTATGTGAATATTTATAGGTTTCCCTGCAGAAATATCAACATGTTGCCCCAGACCTCACAGAAACTGCAGGATAATATATGATATACGCATTATGTTACTTTTATATAACCCAGAAATTTTGAAGTGCCAAAACCCATCTGGCTTCACAACTATCAGATAATGGAGGTGGATCTGTAATTGAATTTGAATCCTGGCTCTACTAACTATTTGCTATGTAACACTGGGACAGTTAGAGTTTCCTCATTTGTAAAGTGGGAATAAATAGTAATACTCATGTAAGTATTGGCTATTCTTACTATGTATGTGTTCAGGTGTTTGGGAACAGGAATACCTTATTGGATGAGAGTTAAGAACACCAAATCAATCCCAAAAAGCTACATAGCTAATAAATTTATAACTCAACTTACTTGCAGGGGCCAACTTGATTTTTCTGAAATACCTTGAAAGTTTGAATCAAAAAATCAGAAACAAGTTTTTCTTCTGCGTTAACAGTTCCAAGGAGCAGATTATATCCTTTCAGCTCTGGGAACAGGACAGATTCCACCTGAAGAGTAAACACCACTTTTGCATGTTGCAAGACTTAAGAAGGGAGATGGTACCCAAATGCAAAGCCTTCTCTAATGCACTCATTTCCAGGGCTGCCAGCTGCATTTTTACTCTATTTCCTCTTAGATAGTGCTGGAATCACCCTGCTGTTTCCTCTACCTCTGTTCTCTCTCCTTTCCTTCTTGCCTGGATTACTCATCTTTCAAATCCCTGACCTTTCAAGGGTCTTGTCCTTTGAGAGTCCCCCTTGTCCTGCTCACCGCCCCACAACGCTCCAGTGGATGTTGGTTTCCCTGTTTCAGGCTCACCTTCTGAACTTTTCCTGCTTAGCACTCATCACAATTGCAATTAGATGAATGTGTAATGAGATGTTCTAGGTGTGTCATAGAATACAAATTCCATGAAGGTCTGGATCATATTTGACTTCTTCACTGTTATATCCCCAGGGCCTAGCAAAAGCTTGGCACTTGGTAAGTGCTCAAAAAATACTGGGTGAGTCAATGAATACTATCGTAGTGCTCCCCTCCTCCCCTACTACCCAGTTTTCCTCTCTAATGAAAATTCTGGAGACGTGGATTCTAATTCTGAATCTGCCACTGAGGGACAATGTGACCTTAGGTAAACTACTTCTCTCGTGGGTTTTTTTTTGTTTTGTTTTGTTTTTTTGAGACAGTCTCACTCTATGGCCCAGGCTGGAGTGCAGTGGCACGATCTGGGCTCATTGCTACCTCTGCCTCCTGGGCTCAAGCGATTCTCCTGCCTCAGCCTCCCGAGTAGCTGGGATTACAGGCATGCACCACCATACCCAGCTAATTTTTGTATTTTTAGTAGAGACAGAGCTTCACCATGTTGGCCAGGCTTGTCTCAAACCTCAAGCAATCCACCTGCCTCAGCCTCACAAAGTGCTGGGATTACAGGCATGAGGCACCACATCTGGCCTAAACTACTTCTCTGAATCCCCATTTTCTCATCTGTAAAAAAGAAGAGATGTACTAGATTCTCCTCTAAGCCCAGAGAAAACAAACGATGGCTTTATGATCATGAGGCACTGAAAGTATCTTCTGAGAGAATTCATACTCTCTAACTTCTTTTTATTTATTTATTTTTTTAAAGAGATGGTCTCACTCTGTCACCCAGGCTGGAGTGCAGTGGCACCATCATAGCTCCTATGCTATGTGACTCCTCAGCTCAAGCAGTCTTCCTACCTCAGCCTCCTGAGTAGCTGGAGCTACAGGTGCCTGCGACCATGCCTAATTTTCTTATTTTTATTTATATTTTTGTACAGACAGGGGCTCTCTCTATGTTGCCCAGGTTGGTCTTGAACTGGTGGTCTGGCTTCACAACTTTCAGAAAATGGAGGTGGACCTGTAATTGTATATGAACCCTGGCCCTCGGCTCAGCCTCCAAAAGTATTGAGATTGCAGGCTTGAGTCTCCACGTCTAGTCACTCTAACTCCCTCATGGCACGTGTGTGTCTCTGAGAATGTTCTCACTTGCATGGCTCATGCAGGCTGCAAAGTTCCTGCCTGGGACCCATTGTCTTCCATTGTCCTCTCTGCTAAGAAAGATTTTAGTGGCTGGTCTCAGAAAAGGTCTTCAGAGTGTTTCAGTGAGTTACATGGGTTATATGCCTTTGATGGAAATGCATCAATTTAGAAAGGGGGAAAATCAAGTGCAAATGATCTGTGTCTTGTTTGGCCAATCCAGAGGTTTTGAAACCAGTGGAGGAGCAACTTCTTTGCTGCAGCCATACTACAGACAGCTGCCAAAGGCAACGAGATGGAGGGACTGGCACTGGTCAATGCGTGAATGAAATGGTTTAGGGCAGCACAATTGGTGCCCCCAGGCCATGTGACAGATCACAAGTGGGCAGGATAATGGATCGTCTCATGGGAAGAAGTCTTCAAACTTAAGAGGATGAAATACCTCTTGCTGCTCTTTCAATGTGGTGGATTCTCTTATGCCCTGTAGAGCAGTCTGTGAAATGGAGTCAAGAACAATCGCATTCGGCCGGGTGTGGTGGCTCATACCTATAATCCCCACACTTTGGGAGGCAGAGGCAGGCAGATCGCTTGAGCTCACGAGTTCAAGACCAGCCTGGGCAACGTGGCGGAACCCTGTCTCTACAAAATACAAAAATAAGCCGGGCATGGTGGTGCACACCTGTTATCCCAGCTACTTGGGAGGCTGAGATGGGAGGATGGCTTGAGCCTGGGAGGTAGAGGTTGCCTCCCGGGCTCAAGCAGAAAAAAAAAAATTCTTTTTTTTTTTTGAGATGGAGTTTCACTCTTGTTGCCCAGGCTGGAGTGCAATGGCGCAATCTAGGCTCACTGTAACCTCCGCCTCCTGGGTTCAAGTGATTCTCCTGCCTCAGCCTCCCGAGTAGCTGGGACTACAGGCACCCGCCACCACACCCGGCTAATTTTTTGTATTTTTAGTAGAGACGGGGTTTCACCATGTTGGCTAGGCTGGTATTGAACTCCTGACCTCAGATGATCCAGCCATCTCGGCTAATTTTTTGTATTTTTAGTAGAGACGGGGTTTCACCATGTTGGCCAGGCTGGTATTGAACGCCTGACCTCAGGTGATCCAGCCATCTTGGCCTACCAAAGTGCTGGGATTACAGGTGTGAGCCACTGTGCCTAGCCCCTTTAATAATTATTTCTCACAAATATGCTTTCCTGCTTTCTTTCTGTGTCTTGAATAATGCTATTTACTCTATTTTCTATTTTCAAAAGTCTCTTGTTAGCTTTTCCCTACCAACTTTTTTTTTTTTTTTTTTGACAGAGTCTCACTCTGTTGCCCAGGCTGGAGTGCAATGGTGCAATCATAGCTCACTGCACCCTTGAACTTCTGGGCTCAAGCGATCCTCCTGCCTCAGCCTCCTGAGTAGCTAGGACTACAGACGTGTGCCACCACCCCAGCTAATTTAATTTTGTAGAGATGAGGTCTTGCTATATTGCCCAGGCTGATATTGAACTCCTGGCCTCAAGCAATCTTCCTGCTTCTCGACCTCCCAAAGCTCTAAAATTATAGGTGTGAGCCACCATGATTGACCTTAACTAACTTTTAAAATTCTTTTTAAACCATATATACGGCAGATCTTGCAGTGAGTGAAGGTAACACCCACCAGTTGCCATTCTTAAAGATTTTTCTTAGTCAACCTGCAGGACTATGTTTTTAAGTCTTCACTAACCAGTTCAGAGATAAAACAGTCTGAGGGGCTTAAGGAGGAAGCTAGGGCTGTGGGTGTCACTAGATGGGGAACTCAGTCTACGTTGTTTTTCCTTATTGTCTCGTAAAGTCATTGGTATTCACATAGGCCTTGTTTTCAAACCTGGTACAAACCATGTCTTCTTGGCATTGTAATTCATCAAATGTAGTACCGGCCCTGGTACCTGCCATTGCAGTGGCAGCCGCGTGCATGCTGGGCTCTCCTGGCTCAGCTGCTTTCACACATTGCCGATCAGCAGCAGCAGCAGTGAAGGAGAACTTAAGTGGTATGTATTTCAGCTGTCCCCATACATAGTCATCCAAATTACAGGGTCTTTTCTTCCATTTCCTTCCTAGGGATACTGGTTGTAGGAGAGCTGCCCAGTGTTTCTTCTCCTCCCACACACCCAGTTTTAATGGAGTACTTAGAACCCTGTAAGTACCAGATTGCAAAGAGAAGAATGCTTGGGCCTCCTTGCACTGCAACCTTGAACTCCTGGGCATTCGTTTCACATGAGCAAGGCCCATGTGAAGCATACATAATGCATGGAGAGAGTGAGAAGGTGGAAGGGTGAGGGAGCTAGCCAGCAAGACCCCACAGATCCCTTCCCTATATGGAACTGGACAATGGCCCTTTGGTCATACCAACCAATCAGAGGGAGTGAGGAAAAGATGGAGCTAAAAGGAGTTACATCCATGTGCATGATCCTGTCTAGTAATAAAAGTTTGTTAATAAGTGTCTGGAATTTAATTAGTAACTCTACCCTGGAAAGCAAACTGGAAAGGGCGTGGGCCAGGAAAGGAATGGTTATTCTCTCTAGAAGCCTACAGTGGCTAAAACATAACAAACCAACAAACAAATAAGCACACAGAAGAGTGAAACTTCAAACTGAAATTGAAAAAAAGTTCTTGGCAAGTTAATGGCAATTGATTCATGATGGATTATTAACCCACAGATATGGCTTGGGACCTATCTGATTCATTGAGGTTGACATCATGGAGGACACTATACTCTCTCACAAAGTAGGTCTTTTTTTTTTTTTCTTTTTTCTTTTTTTTTTTTTGGAGATGGAGTCTCGCTCTGTCGCCCAGGCAGGAGTGCGGTGACGCCATCTCAGCTCACTGAAACCTCTGCCTCCCGGGTTCAAGTGATTCTCCTACAAAGCAGCTCTTCGTGCTCTTGTTAGAAGCACAATTCTGGGCTGCGTGAATATTTCTTTATGGTCTAAATCATTTGTCTGGGGTCAAGGGGTTATATTCAGGATATATCTCCAAAGTGAAGCTCCCTTAACTGAATATCCCAGCGACCTGACTTGTACAACCTCTTTCAATACATTTTATTCACTAAGTGAAAAAATCATGCAAATGAATGATTAAGTGACTACTATACCTTGGGGATCCCATTAGAGTTCTTAATAATTTCCAGGAAAGAGTCACGTATTAATTCCCAGCAGCCATCAAAAGATGGATTGAAGACAATAATGGGTTCACTGACTTCAAGTTTGATCATGATTAGCTGAGGTATGAAAAACTTCATCTCTTGGTAGGGCTCCTTAAAATCATTCCCATCCTTCAGGAGACATAAGGTAGGGCAAGCGTTACAAAATTGGGCCTTCCAAAATCAAGGGAGTGAATTTTATACATTCATAGAACTACATGAGGACCAGAAAAGGCAATGAAGGGCATCATACACTGTTTATATTTAAAATATGGGCTGGGGCTGGGCACCGTGGCTCACACCTGTAATCCCAGCACTTTGGGAGGCCGAGACAGGTGGATCACCTGAGGTCAGGAGTTCAAGATCAGCCTGGCCAACATGGTGGAACCCCGTCTCTACTAAAAAACACAAAAAACTAGCCAGGCATGGTGATGGGTGCTTGTAATCCTAGCTACTTGAGAGGCTGAGGCAGTAGAATCACTTGAACCCAGGAGGCAGAGGTTGCAGTGAGATCACGCCGTTACACTACAGCCTGGGCAACAAGAGTGAAACTCCATCTCAAAAAAATAAAAAACAAATAAAATATGTATTGGGTATAGCTTAGCCCACCCTGACTCCATGCACTCTCCCTTTCCCAAAGCCTTTATTCCCTTTTGTTTATGCGGCTTGGTAATTCCTGCACCCAATATCTAGATCCTTCCCATCCTTCAAAATTCAGCTAAAACATTTCTTCCTTTGGGAAGCCTCCCTGTTTCTCAGCTGGATATAATCTCCTCCCACTTCTGAACTTGTGTATTTCTACTTCCTCTGTTTTTTTTTTAATTTATTTTATTTGTGTCCTTAGAGATGAGGTCTCACTATGTTGCCCAGGCTGGTCTTAAACTCCTGAGCTCAAGTGATCCTCCTGCCTCAGCCTCCCAAAGTGCTGGGATTACAGGTATGAGACACTAGGCCCAGCCTAGTATTTTTTTCTTTCTCTCTGGTAGGAATTTATATGCGTATCTCAACTTGTCTATTCTAAAGTTGAGGGCAGGATCTATGTCTGATCACCTCTCTCCTCCAAAATACCTGAGACAGCATATAGTACCTAACAGGTGCTCAATAAAAATTTATTGATTCAGTCCAAAAGTATTAATCATAATCCATATAACCCCAAATGGAGTTGCTAATGAGCATAGTTTATTTTAGACACTCAAAATGTCAACCTTGCTACAACAGAAATATTGACATAGAGCTATTTCCAATTCCCTACAAAAGCTCTAACCCAGGATGCCCTCATAAACTACAGCGCCTAATGAAATTGTCAGAAGGCAGCTGTAAAGTACTTCTTACATAGAGATTTCTAGATCCATTTAAAGATGACTGATGATATTTGGTGAATACCTACTGTATATCAAATACCTATAAATTCCCCCCTATTTTCCAGACACAGGAAGATTTTACATTTCCCTTTGTGTGGAATTTTAGAGTGAGATTGGCTTCCACCCCTGGGTTTCTTATGCTTAGCAAAGTAGACAATCACAATGACATTTATAGATTGGTCTTCTTTAGAGAGCTAACATTGCAATTCAGCCCCACTGGTTTCTATATTTTTGAGCAAAAGACCAATTGTTAATCTTTATTACTTCATTTGGAAAACTTAACCTTTTATAACCAGGTAATTTTTAATTTTTGTTACTTTGTTAAGGTAAAATGTGCACACGGCATAAAATTCAAAAGAATATTCATCGATTTTTAGGCTATCCAAATTCAGGGAATGCTATGGTGCTTTGAAAACTAGGACTTAGTGTTTTCAGTTTTCTCTCTTTTTTTTTTTAGACAGAGTCTCGCTCTGTCACCCAGGCTGGAGCCAGGCAGTGGCGTGATCTCGGCTCACTGCAACCTCTGCCTCCTGGGTTCAAGTGATTCTCCTGCCTCAGTCTCCTGAGTAGCTGGGACTACAGGCACACACCACCACACCCGGCTAATTTTTGTATTTTTAGTAGAGATAGGGTTTCACCAGTCGACCAGGCTGGTCTCAAACTCCTGACCTCAGGTGATCTGCCTGCCTCGGTCTCCCAAAGTTCTGGGATTACAGGCGTGAGCCACCGTGCCTGGCCAGTGTTTTTAGTTTTCATTTTGACTTCCCTAAAACAGTTTCATGAAAGAATTTCTTAATTAGGTCAACAAAGCCTTTTGTCTTTAGAGGTGCCCCTTGCCAAGACCAAAGAACAAAAACCCATATCTACAATGAAACCTACAGCACTCCCTCAATATCAAGCCAAAGATTGAAAACAAACCTTTTCCAACCCCTTCTTGTAAAAGAGAGGATGAAAAAAATGATTCCTTCTCCCCAAACTGTAAGACATATGTCTTTCATTTTATGCAATTTTTCTTTAAATTTTCTTAACAACTTCTCTACTTCTGTACATTTTTACCAACTTAATACTGAGTGATTATCTCAAGAAAGTTTGCCATGTATTTAAGGAAATTATTTTTAAAATTATTCCAATCCACAGCTGGACTGGACTTCTTAAGATTTTATTTATGGTTTTATACCTCTCTTTAAAAATTAAAAAATTGATACTGATTAATTGTACATATTTACAGGATACATATAATGTATAGTGGTCAGATCATGGTAATTAGCATATCTATCATCTCAAACATTTACTTTTTTTTTTTTTTCCTTTTTGAGACAGAGTTTCACTCTTGTCGCCCAGGCTGGAGTGCAATGGCGCGATCTGGTCTCACTGCAACTTCCGCCGCCTGGGTTCAAGCAATTCTCCTGCCTCAGCCTCCCGAGTAGTTGGGACTACAGGCATCCGCCACCATGCCAGGAAAATTTTTGTATTTTTAGTAGAGACAGGGTTTCACCATGATGGCCAGGCTGGTCTTGAACTTCTGACGTCAGGTGATCTGCCCGCCTTGGCCTCCCAAAGTGCTGAGATTACAGACGTGGCCTGTAATGCACCCGGCCACATTTACCATTTGTGTGTGTGTGTGTTGGGAACATTCAATATCCTTCTTCCAGCTAAAAGAAGACATTTTTATAAACTAACAACTGCCTGATGTGGGTGGAAGTCAAGCATTTCACTTTGTGCCCTGGCTCACAGCTGAGGACGTACATGACAGAGTCCTGGCTCTAACCAAGTAACCAGGTTATTCCCCTCAAAAGGTCCAAATGCAGGTCCCTGACTTACTTTGTGTATCATGAAAAGGGAAACGAGGTCCTCAAGTGACTTAATGACCAGCTCCCTAAGCTGCAGCGACATGAATGATGCCACAGAAGCAAAATATTCCTCAATGTTTCGACTTGAGTCATAGTTGCTCTTGGGAGCAAAATGAATCCAGTGCTCCTTCCGTGAGGTAAAAAGCTGGGCGCAGGTGGGGATCCACCTGTAAAGACAGAAGGGTGTCCATGTGAGAAGCTCTTCTGGGCTCCGAGGAACCCACTTGCCGTGCCCCCTGAGCTCAGTGATGAGGCAGATGGGCTCAATGTCCCACCAAGCAGCCTTGCAAATCAGTACTTTCAATTTCCAGCCACCTTACCTGCCATGCCTCTTTCTTGGGAAGAAAGTAATAAGATTTGAATTAAGAGGTTATTCTTCCATTGAGAATACCCAAATGGAAAGGGGATATTGGTGGCACATCCTGCTGAAAGAGTCTACACTTTCTTCATTATAATCAGAGATTGGGGTAAAGGGGCATAAGGAACTAGAATGTTCTGTCCAACTTCTCTCTCTCTAGCAGATGCCTGGTCTCTGATTCAAACTTCATAGGGGGAAAGAGAGAATGAGGAGCAAAGAAAGAAAACATGAAAGGAGAAACTCCAGTGTGGCCCTGGCTGCTCAGAAGTTGATGGTAGAAATCAGAAAACCAAAAGAAGAAATAGCCAAGTGTGGTGGCTCATGCCTGTAATCCCAGCACTTTGGGAGGCCGAAGCGGGCAGATCACTTGAGGCCAGGAGTTAGAGACCAGCCCGGCCAACATGGCAAAACTCCATCTCTACAAAAACAAACAAACAAACAAAAATTAGCTGGGCATGGTGCATGGTGACACACACCTGTAGTCCCAGCTACTTGGGAGGCTGAGGCAGGAGAATCACTTGAACCTGGGAGATGGGAGGTTGCAGTGAGCTGAGATTGTGCCACTGCACTCCAACTTGAGTGACAGAGTGAGTGAAACTCTGTCTCAAACAAACAAACAACAACAAACAAACAAAAAGAAATAGATGCTTCATTGTTTCTTTCCTCCCATGTCCCCCAGTTTCTAATTCCCAGTGGAAACCACTGGCCTTTTCATCCTATTGCATCTTTTCTCTGATCGCTAAAAAGGTACTACTCTAGCAACCAGAGAAGCACTACTACTGGTTGTAGTCATAGAGGTATGAGATTTATTGAGCAGCTATTATGTGCCAATGATAGCATCTACATTTTCTCTGCTAAAGAAAACCCATCTGCAGGTATTATTATCACTGTTTTACACAAGGGAATTTCTCTGGCTGTGGAGGTAGTCTTGCAGGCATTTGCAAAGGAAAAAGGAATTGTGTAAATGTATGAAACCCTTTTGCCTTGAAATCTTGAGGCCGTTTATCTGGACTATCTGAATATAAGTCATTCAAATGCATTCCCCTGTAACACAGCAAGGTCTAAAGCAGGGGTCCCCAACCCCTGGGCCATGGACTGGTTGTAGGAACCAGGCTGCACAGCAGGAGGTGAGCAGCAGGTGGGCGAGCCAGCTTCATCTGTATTTACAGCCGCTCCCCATGGCTTTTTTTAACCGCCTGAGCTCTGCCTCCTGTCAGATCAGCAGCGGCATTAGATTCTCACAGAAGCGTGAACCCTACTGTGAACTGCACATGCGAGGGATCCAGGTTGCACACTCCTTAGGAGAATCAAATGCCTGATGATCTGTCACTGTCTCCCATCACCTTCAGATGGGACCATCTAGTTGCAGGAAAACAAGCTCAGGGCTCCCTCTGTTTCTACATTATGGTGAGTTGTAGAATTATTTCATTATATATTACAATGTAATCATAAAAATAAGGTGCACAGTAAATGCCGTGTGCTTGAATCACCCCGAAACCATCCCACTGGCCCAGTCTGTGGAAAAACTGTCTTCCACAAAACCAGTCCCTGTGGCCAAAATGGGTGGGGACCGCTGGTCTAAAGGATTCGAGGAGGAGGAAATGGGGGTGACAGCCTCCCAGGGAATGGTGATAGGGGAATTTCAAGAAGGCAGAGGGAGACCAGGCATGGGGCAGAAAGCAGCTGGACATGAAAAAAAGAGGACACGAGGCCAGGCGCGGTGGCTCATGCCTGTAATCCCAGCACTTTGGGAGGCCGAGGCAGGCAGATCACAAGGTCAGGAGATTGAGACCAGCTTGGCTAACACAGTGAAACCCTGTCTCTACTAATAATACAAAAAAAAAAAAAAAATAGCCGGGCATGGTGGCATGCACCTGTAGTCCCAGCTACTGGGGGCGCTGAGGCAGGATAATCGCTTGAACCCGGGAGGCAGAAGTTGCAGTGAGCTGAGATCACACCACTGCACTCCAGCCTGAGTGACAGAAAGAGACTCTGTCTCAAAAAAAAAAAAGACACGAAAGGATGCCAGTGGGACAAACCCCAGGCTGGGTACCAGCTTCATTTCAGAGGGTTTTCAGTCTTTAAGATACCATGGTGCAGCCCCACTTGGAGGGCAGATACTGACTTGTTGAGAAGAGTCTGGTGTGCCTCCAGGCAGTGTTTCTGGATCACATCCCAAAATTCCTGAGGCTGCAGAGGCAATTTTCCCGCTAGTATTTCTGCTGTTCGAACAAACCTGAGGTCTCTGAATCTGCCAAAAGAGAGGGAGAAATTTCCTAAGCTAAAGAACGCTTAATAACAAATCCCGCAGGACAGGTTCCAAGGGTGTGTGTTCACGTTTCTCAATGAAAGTTAAGCAGAATCAAATGAATTACAGGATATGGGAAAGATGCTGAGGAGGATATGGGAGGCTGAGGAGGGAGGAGCTAAGTCCTAAAGAACGCTTGCAGGGAGGAGACAAATGAGGTGACCCAAGAGTGCTCCTGAGCCTTAGAGATATGCCTCACTCTGCATAACCCATCAAGAAGTGGGGCTGTGGCACCAGCTGGAGACTCAGCTGGCTGAGAACTTGGGTATCAAATGGACGAATCAATGTTCTTTACAACAGTGAAGACCCAGAGGCCAGGACCAAGCAGAACATCTTCATCATCAAATGGGATTCACCCAAGCCTCTGGGTGAGCTCTTGAAGGTAACTTTGAGGACTGCTTTGATTTAAAACAAAGAGTTTATGGATCCCAGCACTTTGGAGGCTAAGGAGAGAGGATGGCTTTGAGCTCAGGAGTTCAAGACCAGCCTGGCAATATAGTGAGACATCATCTCTCCAAAAACAAAACAAAACAAAACAAAAAAGGCCGGGCGCGGTGGCTCACACCTGTAATCCCAGCACTTTGGGAGGCTGAGGTGGGTGGATCACAAGGTCAGGAGTTCAAGACCAGCCTGGCCAAGATGCTGAAACCCCGTCTCTACTAAAAATACAAAAAAATTAGCCGGGTGTGGTGGCGGGCGCCTGTAATCCCAACCACCCGGGAGGCTGAGGCAGAGAATTGCTTGAACTCGGGAGGTGGAGCTTGCAGTGACAGGAGATCACGCCACTGCACTCCAGCCTGGGGGACAGAGCGAGACTCGTCTAAAAAAAAAAAAAATAGACGCGCTGGGTGTGGTGGTGCACACCTGTAATCCCAGCTACTTAGGAGGCTGAGGCAGGAAGATCGCTTGAACCCAGGAGGTCAAGGCTACAGTGAGCCCTGATTGCATCACTGCACTCCAGCCTGGGTGACAGAGCAACACCCTGTCTCTACAAAGAAAAAAAAAAAAAAAAAAAGCTTGTGGAGCCAAAAAAGCCTCTTTAAGCCCTCTAACTCCTGTCACTGTGAGGGTGAAGAAAGGCCAACCAGTGAGAAGAAATGAGAGTTTTCTCCACTACGAGGGGTATCCTTTTAACACCTAAGTCAGATTCTATCTGCTCCAAACCCTCCAATGACTTCCCATTTCAGAGTAAAAGCGTGCCTAGTGACTGGGGCCCACTAGGTGCTCTGCACCCTATGCCATCTCTCTTGCTCCTGTCCTGCCTGTCACCTCCCCCCCTCCCCATCTCCTCTCCTACCCACCTCCGTGACTCACAGTGTTCCAGGCACGCTCACCTCATACTGTTTCCAGGCCGTGCCCACCTGCTGCTGCTTGGGTCCTGTGCACAAGCTGTTCCCGCTGCCTCCAATACTCATCCCCTCGACTTCTATGGAGCTGACTCTTCACCTTCCAGCCTTGGCTCAAATGTCACCTTCACAGTAAAGGCTACCCATGGCTGGGTGTGTGGTTGTGCAGGATCTGCCCCTTCCAAAGGGCCAGAATGGGTGAGTGCTCTGCTTGTCAAGAAATGCACCCTGGGGCTGGGTATGGTGGCTCACTCCTGTAATCCCGGCACTTTGGGAGGCCAAGGTGGGTGGATCATTTGAGGTCAGGAGTTAAGAGACTAGCCTGGCCAACATGGTGAAACCCTATCTCTACAAAAAAAAAAAAAAAAAAAATTAGCCGGGCCTGGTGGCGGGTGTCTGTAATCCCAGCTACTCAGGAGGCTGAGGCAGGAGAATTGTTTGAACCTAGGAGGCAGAGGTTGCAGTGAGTCGAGACCGCACCACTGCACTCCAGCCTGGGCAACAGAGCAAGGCTCTGTCTCAAAAACAAAAACAAATGCACCCTGGTGTTAGGCTGCATCCATCCCATTAGTGGACAGGGGTAGCGGGGAGGTTTGTTAGATTCAAACAAGTGTTTTATGGGCAAGCAGCCCCACCCCAGCCCCACACAAACCACACTCCCTATCCCCATTACTCTGGCTAATTTTTCTTTTCATAGTACCCATCACCTTCTAACATATTATATAATTTATTTACCTAATATATTTATTGTCTGTTTTCCCCCTAGAAAAATGAACTCACTTCTGTTCTCTACTACACTAAAACAATGCTTAGCACATAACCAGGACCTGGCACCTATTTGTTAAATGAATGAATGAATGAATGACTAAATAAATGAAAAAAAAAAAAAAAAAACAAATGAACTCACAGTTTGGAAGCCAAGAGACAGAAGAGCCTTTGGACCTAATATATATTTATTTTCTATCTTATGCTTGAGTGACACCTCCTAGAACTATTGATGCTAGAGTTGTCCAGAGTATATCGGTAGGATAGAGCGGCTGGATAAGGAAGAGCGGAAACTAATAAAAAGCTCTCATCAAGCCCTCCACTTTTTTTTTTTTTTTTTTCTTGAGACAGGGTCTCACTCTGTCACCCAGGCTGGAGTGCAGTGGCGATCTTGGCTCACTGCAGCCTCAGCTTCTGAGGTTCAAGCAATTCTCCTGCCTCAGCCTCCCAAGTAGCTGGGACTACAGGCACACACCATCACGCCTGGCTAATTTTTGTATTTTTAGTAGAGACAGGGTTTCACCATGTTGGTCAGGCTGGTGTCCAACTCCTGACCTCAGGTGATCCACCCACCTCAGCCTCCCAAGGTGCTGGGATTACAGGCATGAGCCACCACGCCCAGGCTCTCATTGCTGATTTTTTTGGTTCAGTTGATAAAATTCTTCTAAATGATTTCAGTTCACTTTGGTGCTGCTGTTGCTGGCATAATCTTCCTCAGGGAACCATGAAAAGCAAGTGGTAAAAAGCCTTTCTTCTCAGTGAAGCTATAGGCTCAACAATTTGCCGTCTTTGCTACGAGATCAATTTAAACTCAGGTACATGTGATTATCTATTATCTTCTGAACTTCTTTATGAAGTTTCTGGCTATTCATCCAGCTCTAAGACTGACTTCCTCACTAGTTTCTATGTTAATTTATTTTTTTAGCTCATAAACACGCTTGTACTTAAAGCAATACCTTAATTTGTTGAGCAATTACTGTGTGCCAAGCAGCAGTCTAAGCACTTTCTTTAGCTAACAACTCCAGGAGGTAGGTATTGTTATGATGATTCCCATTTGCATGTAGAACACAGGGTCAGACTAGGCGGTGGCTCATGCCTGTAATCGCAACACTTTGGGAGGCTGAGGAAGGAGGAATTCTTAAAGCCAGGAGTTCAAGCCCAGCCTAAGCAACCTAGAGAGACCCTGTTTCTACAAAAAATGTAAAAATTAGTCAGACATGGTGGCATGCACCTATAGTCCCAGCTACTTGGGAGGCTGAGGAGAGAGCCCAGGAGTTTGAGGCTGCAGTGAACTCTAATCATGCCACTGCACCACACCCTGGGTGACAGAGCAAAAGCTTGTCTAAAACAAGAAAGCAAGCAAGAAAGCAAGAAAGAAACAGGGTCACAGAGGAAGGAAGGAAGGAAGGAAGGAAGGACAAACAGGGTCAAAGAGAAAGAAAGAAGAAAAGAAAGGAAGAAAGAAAGAAGGAAAGAAAGGAAGGAAGGAAGGAAGGAAGAAAGAAAAGAAAGAGAGATGAGAGAGAAGGAAGGAAGGAAGGAAGGAAGGAAAGAAAGAAAAAGAAAGGAAGGAAGGAAAGAAAGAAAGGCCGGACGTGGTGGCTCTTGCCTGTAATCCCAGCACTTTGGGAGGCTGAGGCAGGTGGATCACCTGAGGTCGGGAGTTCGAGACCAGCCTGACCAACATGGAGAAACCCTGTCTCTACTAAAAATACAAAAAAAAATTAGCCAGGCATGGTGGCACATGCCTGTAATCCCAGCTACTAGGGAGGCTGAGGCAGGAGAAATGTTTGAACCTGGGAGGCAGAGGTTGCGGTGAGCCAAGATCGCGCCATTGCACTCCAGCCTGGGCAACAAGAGTGAAACTCCATCTCAAAAAAAAAAAAAAAAAAAGGGGGAGAGAAAGAAAGGAAGAGAGAAAGAAAGAAAAGAAAACAGTCACAGAGGGATTAATTTCTCTCAAATTATACTATTAATTAGTAACAGAACAAGAACCAGAATTCAGATCCCATTCTATAAGTTATTACTTTATATGGTTCCACTTAGTTAGAAAATTACTTCTTTTTTCTCAATGTCCTGACTGCTGACTGGTACTTCCAATGCTTTAGAAAATTGAATTCAGTTCAAAGAAAAGAATACAGCTATTTCTTTTCACTGATGGGCTCTGTCCTACGTTGACTTCACCCCCTCAATTCCTTTTTAAAATACAAGCAAAACTAAGGATTTGAAAAACAAGTAGGTTCTCCAAGCCACAGGGCTCCCTTAAGACTGAACACGTTCAAAGCTAGAGATCCTCCCAAAGCAAAATACATGAGCTACTAATAAGTTCGGCCAATCAAAGTTAAGTAAGCATATCTGCCTCTAATTTTTCTAATACAAAACTCAGATGGGGGCAGCTCATCATTTCATTAGCCTGGCCTTTCAGTGAACTCCGGTGTCTTCATCCTCTCACCAGGATGTGTACCTTCTTGAAGGGCTCACTAAAAAAACCAGAGTCTTCCACCTCCAGGCTCACTGCAATTGATGCATAGATAAAACAAATGTCGGATAGCCATCCAATGGATTAGTATGCCGCCATAAAAAGGAAGCACTCACTACTGATACAAGCTTCAGTGTGGATGAAGACTGACAATATTGTTCATTGAAAGACACCAGACACAAAAGATCATATATTGCATGATTCCATTTCTATAAAATGTCCAGAATATGCAAATCCATAGAGACAGAAAATCACTTAGTGGTTGGGAGGAAATGGGGGAAGGTGAGAATGCGGAGTGACTGCTAATGGGTTTCTTTTTGGGGTAATGATAATACTCTTGAATTAGACAGTGGTAAGGATTAAACAAACTTGTGAATATATTAAAAACTTGCATTGTGTACTTTCAAAGGGTGAATTTTATGGAATGTGGATATCTCACTTTTTTTTAAAATGAAAGAATGAAAAAAGGTGGCTTCTGTCTCATCTGGACTCCTACAATTTTTTTTTTTTTGAGACGGAGTTTCGCAAATTTAATTATTGATAAATATACCTGAGAGATCACTGCTTGCCAGCCCTGTACTGGCACTGAGTTACATAAAGGAATAAGACCGTCCGGGCGTGGTGGCTTACACCTGTAATCCCAGAACTTTGGGGTGCCGATGTGGGTGGATTGCTTGAGCTTAGGAGTTTGAGACCAGTCTGGACAACATGGTGAAACTCCGTCTCTATCAAAAAATACAAAAAATTAGCTGGGTGTGGTGGTGTGGGTCTGTGGTCCCAACTACTCAGCTAACTTGGGAGACTGAGGTGGGAGGATTGCTTCAGCTTGGGAGGAGGAGGTTGCAGTGAATCGAGATTATGCCACTGCACTCCAGCCTGGGTGACAGGGTGAGATTCGTCTCAAAAAAAAAAAAAAAAAAGGAATAAAACCCAAGCCCGCACACACTTCATAGGCTAAAGGGAGACAAATAAGTAAATGTTCTATTATAACCAAGGGTGAGCTGGGTGCGATGGCCCATGTCTCTAATCCCAGCACTTTGGGAGGCTGAGGCTGGCAGATCACCTGAGATCGAGAGTTCGAGACCAGCCTGACCAACATGGAGAAACCCCATCTTGACTAAAGATGCAAAATTAGCCAGGCATGGTGGCGCATGCCTGTAATCCCAGCTACTCGGGAGGTTGAGACAGGAGAATCGCTTGAACCCGGGAGGCGGAGGCTGCAGTGAGCCAAGATCGCGCCATTGCACTCCAGCCTGGGTAACAAGAGCCAAACTCTGTCTCAAAAACAAAAACTGAGGGTGATGTTGTAATGGAGGTAATGCCAAATTAACAATTACTGGTGCTTAAGTTATATTAGATACTGTTCTAAGTGCTTTGGATGTAGTAAGTTATTTATTCCTCTTATCAATCCTATGAAGTGGAAACTCTTATTAACATTATCGCAAATTTAGAGGTAAAGGAAGCAAGGCACAGAAAAGTGATGCGACCACATATATGCCTGTAAAGCAGCAGAGCTAGGAGTTAGACCTGAGCAGGCTGGCTCCAAGTCTGTGCAATTAAGCAGGATATTCCAGTGCTTAGAGACAGGCACAGGGTGCCCTGGGGACACAAAGGAGGGCCACGTAAGCCTGCAAGGAAAGGTGTCACTTATAATTCACATGCATATTTGGCCTAGATTTTTTTTTCTTTCATTTCTCTATGCTGTCAGGGCTACCCCCACTGTGCACAGCAGAATAGGCTTGCTTACACGTGGATGTGGTCAAGAAAGGGAATGAAAAAAAAAGGGAGGGACTTCTTACTCTGCAAACCACAGTTCTTTCAGCCTGAGCATCATGGGGTTCACCGTGTGCAGATGCTCCTCGTTCCACTTCTTGGCGCTCCTGTAGACACTGTGCCAGGGCACAGGGGCCCGGATCACTCTTTGAGGAAACAAGCGGGGGATGCTCTCAATAAAGAGCCGTTTTCTCTCCATTGGGTCCATGAGGATGTAATCAACTACAACCGGAAAGGGCGAACACCTCATTATTAAGCTCTAAGGGTTGTGCTCTTAGCTTCAACTCATTTAGTTTTGTTTTTAATATAGAGACGGGGTCTCACTAAGTTGGCCAGGCTGGTCTCAAACTCCTGGGCTCAAGTGATCCTCCCACCTCAGCCTGCCAAAGTGCTGGGATTACAGGCATGAGTTGCTATGCCTGGCCTTAGAGTCAACTCTTTTTATTTATTTATTTATTTATTTTTTGAGATGGAGTCTCGCTCTGTCGCCCAGGCTCGATTGCAATGGTTCAATCTCAGCTCACTGCAACCTCCACCTCCGCCTCCTAGGTTCAAGCCATTCTCCTGCCTCAGCCTCCTGAGTAGCTGGGATTACAGGTGGCTGCCACCACACCTGCCTAATTTTTTGTATTTTCAGTAGATACAGGGTTTTGCCATGTTGGCCAGGTTGGTCTTGAAATCCTGACCTCAGGTGATCCACCCGCCTCGGCCTCCCAAAGTGCTGCGATTATAGGTGTGAGCTAGCACACCTGGCCTTAGCTTCAACTCTTAGAATATAAATGAGCCTCTGTCCATTTGCAAGGTCATGGGTAATCCCCTGGGTATAATTCAACTGGTGAAGCTTCACTCTTGGTGTTTGTTTTCTTTCTGAGGGTATTTTACAGAAAGGAGGAGTGTGACTTCACGGTGTGGAGCACTTAGAATCTGGGGTTGAGCCCTGGTAGGATGTCTAGTATCAGGCAGGACAATGAAATAGGATTTGCTGATAACTCATTAGTCACTGATTGATTTCTCACACCAAAATAGATGCACACAAAAAAACCCACCATGGATGATACCATCCATTATATTTACAAATAGAAGTTTAAAGACCAAATGTTTTCCATACTAAGAAAGGTTGGTAGAAAAGCTTCATAGAGGATGTAACATTTGTGCTGGGTCATAAAGAACAAGTAGCAGGCTGGGTGCGGTGGCTCACACCTGTAATCCCAGCACTTTGAGAGGCTGAGGTGGGTAGATCACTTGAGGTCATGAATTCGAGACCAGACTGGCCAACATGGCGAAACCTTGTCTCTACTAAAAATACAAAAATTAGCTGGGAGTGGTGGTGCGTGCCTGTAGTCCCAGCTACTCAGGAGGCTGAGGCAGGAGAATTGCGTGAACCCAGGGGTCCGCCCAGGTAGGTCTTGAAATCCTGACCAACCTCTGCAGTTGCAGTGAGCAGAGATCACACCACTGCACTTCAGCCTGGGCGACAGAGCAAGACTGTCTCAAAAAAGAAAAAAAAAAGAAGTGTAGAATCTCAGCCAGGTGTGATGGCTCATGTCTATAATCCCAGCACTTTGGGAGGCCGAGGCAGGAGGATCTCTTGAGTCCAGGATGTTCAAGACAAGCCTAGGCAACATAGGGAGACCTTGTCGCTAAAAAAAAAAAAAAAAAATTGTTTTAAACTTACAAATGTAGAATCTCAGGCCCCAGGTTCAGATCTACTGAATCGCAATCTGCATTTTAAGATCTGCAGGTTACAGGGATGCACGTGAATATGTGAAGTGCTGGTGTAGACATCAGTGATGGTAGGGGGATGCAGGACTTTGAATTAGCGGTTAAATGATGTTTTGGGTATTTCCAGTGGAATCAGGGTGGCAAATGACAAAGTGAGAAGAAAGAAGATGCCTTCCAGGCCAGGCATGGTGCCTCATGCCTGTAATCCTAGCACTTTGGGAGGCTAAGGAGGGAGGATTGCTTGAGCCCAGGAGTTCCAGACCAGCCTGAGCAACAAAGCAAGACCTTGTCTCTACAAAAATAAAAATAAAAAAGAAGGTGCCCTCTACATAGAAGCTCCCCAGCCCCCTTTATGCCCACCAGCCTTACCGATGCTTTTCATGAGGCTACAGTAATAGTCATTCTCCTTCTCCTGCACGAGGACCACCATCAGGGGCTCCAGGAAGGGACTCGTCAGCAGCGTGTTAGAAATCAGCTTTGAAATCCGAACCATCACTTCACCCTCCTCAGGGGCAATCATGTCTTTGCGAATTCCATTGGTCAGATAGTAATAGTATCTCTTCCATAAACAAACCACCAGCGAGAAAATGGTCATGATTGGATCATGGGTTCAACTGTCCTGCCCATCAGCTGCCAAGGGACCCCATTCATACAGCATTCGTCTGCACCCTTCACTTGCCATAACCATGCATTCTGGGCCTGTCGCTTCACACTCATGGCAAGAAGATCACTGGCAAATTTTCCCCAGGACTTCAGAGGATTCAACCAAAGCCAGAGAGATGTCAGTGGGGTATAAGGAAGGATTTGTCAAATACCACCCAGATAGGAACAGTGGAGTGAGTACAGAGTCCAGGGATGGAGGTGGCATATCTGGTGACCTTTAAGAAGAGGAATAACAGGCCAGGTGTGGTGGCTTACACCTGTAATCTCAGCATTTTGGGAGGCAAAGGTGGGAGAATTGCAAGGTCAGGGGTTCGAGACCAGCCTGGCCAATATGGTGAAACCCCATCTCTACTACAAAATACAAAAATTAGCCGGGCGTGGTGGCGCACACCTGTAGTCCCATCTGCTCAGGAGGCTGAGGCAGGAAAATTGCTGGAACCCAGGAGGTGGAGGTTGCAGTGAGCCAAGGTCATGCCACTGCACTCCAGCCTGGGTGACCAATCGAGACTCTGTCTCAAAAACAAACAAAAAAACATTAGATTTTCCTGATCCAGAGCTAGAATTTACCCCCCGGAAGCTTTCACTCACTGGTCCTGATTCTGCCTTCTAAGGTAGCTCAGACAAACAGGGTTGGATTTCTGTCTAAAAAAAAAAAAAAAAAAGTAAAGGAATGACAAGCTCCTAAAATGGCCTCGAATCACATACCCTCCTGAACAGCAATGATCTCCTACAAAACACTTTGATCCCATGGCTTCTAGCTGTCAGTGGGGAAAAATAACCCCAAAGTCCAAGATCTATTGTTGTTCTTTTTTTTTTTTTTTTGACACAGAATTTCACTTTTGTCGCTCAGGCTGGAGTGCAGTGGCACAATCTCAGCTCACTGCAACCTCTGCCTCCCGGGTTCAAGCAATTCTCCTGCCTCAGCCTCCCAAGTAGCTGGGATTACAGGTGTGCACCACCACAGCCAGCTAATTTTTGTATTTTTAGTGGAGACGGGGTTTCACCATGTTGGCCAGGCTGGTCTCAAACTCCTGACCTCAGGTGATCCACCCACCTTGGCCTCCCAAAGTGCTGGAATTATAGGCATGAGCCACCACACCCAGCTGATAGTTCTTCTTACCCAAGCAAGGGCTTTTGAGTTTCAAAAGCAACATAAACACACAAATGAAACAAAAATGGCCAGTGGAACCTAGTGACTTCAGGAAATTTTGTATATTTAGGGTTTGCCTCTGAGCTGCTGGATGGCTGAGTGGCTCTGGGAATGACTAATGTCAGATAGAGGAGAAGCACAGAGTGTGAGGAAAGGGCTTGAAGTCTGTTTTTAAGTTTCAGATCAGAAGAGGTTGCTGGCCAGGCACGGTGGCTCATGCCTGTAATCCCAGCACTTTGGGAGGCCAAGGCGGGTGGATCACCTGAAGTCAGGAGTTTGAGACCAGCCTGACCAACATGGTGAAACCCTATCTCTACTAAAAATACAAAAATCAGCCAGGTGGGGTGGTGCATACCTGTAATCCCAGCTACTCAGGAGGCTGAGACAGCAGAATTGCTTGAACCCAGGAGGTGGAGATTGCAGTGGGGCAAGATCACGCCACAGCATTCAAACCTGGGTGACAGAGCGAGATT
Source organism: Homo sapiens (assembly GCF_000001405.40). Lineage (NCBI taxonomy): Eukaryota > Metazoa > Chordata > Mammalia > Primates > Hominidae > Homo > Homo sapiens. Next base: position 21,138,241 of record NC_000016.10, read on the forward strand.
CTGTCTCAAAAAAAAAAAAGAAAAGAAAAAGAGGTTGCTGCTGCCAGCCTCTTTGTTACTCTCGCCTCTCTCCAACGTTAGTAAAAGCAGCTGCTAACAGGGGAGTATTGCAAAGCTTTTCTGATTTTAAGAACTGCCTGGGTGCAGGGTGGGGGTAAAAAGTGCTTGTTAAAATGCAGATTCCCAGGCCCCTCCTCAGGCAGTTAGGGTGTTTACCAAGGACCCCAGGTGACCCTTATCTTCAGGCAAGTTTCAGAAATGCTGCACAGCTCTTAAGAACACAGAGACTGGCTGGGTGCGGTGGCTCACGCCATAATCCCAGCACTTTAGGAGGCTGAGGTGGGTGGATCATTCAAGGTCAGGAGTTCGAGACCAGCTTGACCTACATAGTGAAACCCCATCTCTACTAAAATACAAAAATTAGCTGGGCATGGTGGCAGTTGCCTGTAATCCCAGCTACTTGGGAGGCTGAGGCAGGAGAATCACTTGAACCCAGGAGGCAGAGGTTGCAGTGAGCCGAGATCGTGCCACTGCACTCTAGCCTGGGTAACAGAGCAAGACTCCCTCTAATAAAAAAAAAAAACAACACAGAGACTTTGGTATCAGCCAGACCGGCTTTCAGTCTTAGTTTTGTCTCCTACCCTGTAGCCCTAAGCACATTGCTTAAACAGTCTATACTCCACTTTCCGCAACTGGACAATAGAGATAATCATAGAACCTGGGTCTCAAGTGGGGTCAAGTAGCTATAGAGGGTTTAGCAGGGAATTTTGCCAACAGCACATAGTCACTGTGAGTTTTTATTAATCATTTTATTATACACCCTAAACCCACAAGACATTTGCTCTAAAGTTTTATTGTTCTTTTAAGACGGGTTGGAAACTCCAACATCTATCTAGAGCCAGGCAGGTAATGTTAATAAGTGAAAGTTGTCTAGACCTAAGAAAATAATAAGGAATGGTGGGAACTATGACAAACTGAAGAGTGTATTTCTCATCTAAAGGAGGTAGCTACTGCTTAGCACCAAATATTTTAGTTTTCTCAAGAGAAGTTGGAAAATGTAGCTTGAGACTTTCCTCATGCTTTTTTTTTTTTTTTTTTTTTTTTTTTTTTGAGATATGGTCTTGCTCTGTTGCCCAGGCTGGAGTGCAGTGGCATGATCATAGCTGGGATGCCTGAGGTGTCAGAGAAGGGGACCAAGGGATAGGTTGTCTTGTCCTAGAAAGGGTTGTGAATCCCTCCCCCTACCCTTTTTTTGAGACAAGGTCTCACTCTGCTGCCCAGACTGGAATGTAGTGGCACAATCATAGCTCACTGCAGCCTCAGCTTCCCAGGGACAAGTGATCCTCCCACCTCAGCCTCCCAAGTAGCTGGGACCACAGATGCATGGTACCATACCCAGCTAATTTTTGTAGAGATTGGGTTTCTCCATGTTACCCAGGCTGGTCTTGAGATCCTGGGCTCAAGTGATCCTCCCCATTCCTCCTCCTAAAGTGCTGGGATTACAGGCATGAGTCACCATGCCCAGCCACCTCATTCTTTTTTTTTTTTTTTTTTTTTGAGATAGAGCCTCGCTCTGTTGCCCATGCCGAAGTGCAGTGGCTCAATCTTGGCTCACTGCAACCTCCACCTCCCAGGTTCAAGTGATTCTCCTGCCTCAGCCTCCCGAGTAGCTGAAATTACAGGCGCCTGCCACCATGCCTGGCTAATTTTGTTTTTGTATTTTTAGTAGAGACGGGGTTTCAGCATGTTGACCAGGCTGGTTTTGAACTCCTGACCTCAAGTGATCCACCTGCCTCGGCCTCCCAAAGTGCTGGGATTACAGGTGTGAGCCACCATGCCCAGCCACCTCATTCTTAAAACACATCTACAGGCCAAATTCAGCCTATGATAGAGATCCCATATAAAATATGGGATGCTTTGGGATATACTTATACTAAAAAGTTATTCATTACCTAAAATTTGAATTTAACTATGTGTCCCATTTTTTGTCTTGCAAAATCTGGCACCCCCAGCCTATGGGCCACTATTTTTGCAACTTATATTCTAAAAGGACTCAAGGTATCAATTTCCATCACTTACTAGGGCAGAGAACATGTACACACACTCTCTCTCCTTCTCTCTCACTCGCACAAGCACACAAACATGCGCCCTCTTCAGTAGCCTGTCTTGGGTCTAGACTTTGGTGTTTTTCAAACATTTCCCAGGTGATTCTGCTGTTCTCCCTGAATTTAGAATCACTGAGATGCCGAGAGTAACCCTCAGCAAACCGAGGGAAAGGGGGCAACAGGAACGTACCTCCAGGTCCGATTCAGATGGCTTCTTTTCTTTACTTTCCATTTCCATCTCCTGCTGTAACATGACATCGAGCTGCTGTTCTGGACTCATTGGTCTGCTTCCTGGGAACGTCAAAGATGTCTTTACCTCCTTCTTCATGGGTGAGAAGATTGACGTCTTGAAGGCCAACTTGATCCTGAAAAGTAGACACAGCTCAGCCCTTGGTGTTTGGTTCTCCAGAGAGGTGCTGTGGTGTTGCCTACTTTCCCTAGCCTGATGAGTGTGGTTCTGCAAATAGAAGCCTCTCTCCTCTGTGTCATCTAATGGCATGTGTGTATACTTCCAAGATGACCCTAATGACTGAACACCTCATAGGTATTTTAGCATGGTTTTGTTCAGTTGGTTTATTTTTGTCTACAATCTCAAAAAGCCTGGCCAACATGGTGAAACCACGTCTCTACTAAAAATACAAAAATCAGCCAGGCCTGGTGGCATGCACCTGAAATCCCAGCTACTCAGGAGGCTAAGGAAGGAGAGTCGCTTGAACCCGGGAGGCAGATGTTGCAGCAAGCTGAGATCATGCCACTGCACTCCAGCCCGGGCAACAGAGCAAGACTCCATCTCAAAAAAAAAAATTTTTTTTTTGATTAAAGTGATTCGTGGATAAGAATATGATTATCTGGGAATGCTTTGAAGCCAAGAAGCAGAGTGTGGCTTTAGTGAGACCACATCCTTCTGTTCAGCCCACCGTCCTGCCTTCTCTGGTGCCCACAGTGATATCTTACCTAGTGGAATCCTCTTTGTTTCTGGAGGAAAACTTCGTTTTTTTCCTCATGGGCTCTGATGAGCTTCTATTTCCTGGAAGAATGGAGAAGAAAGACATCAGTGATGGGCAATGGCCTTGGGCCATTCTCCGTCCACAGGGGCATGACTCTCGGAACAGTCCAGGAGCACACTAAGGGGAGCGGACATGGTACGGTGTGACGTGGCAGGAGATGTGGGCTCAGGTCTCATGTGCATCACTGATTACCTGTGTGACCCTGAAGAACTGGCTTCATCACTCCGGACCTCAGCTTCCTCAACTGTAAAGTGGGGATGTGCGTATCTTCCATTCGTTCATACATTTGGCAAGAATTAATAACTGCTTGTTTCATGTACTCTCCAATATTGTATGCTCTATTTTCTAAACACCTGTTATATTACTGTTTAATATTTCTCTTTAAGTAGACCTGGGCATTTAAACTTAGTACATTTGGCCAGGCACGGTGGCTCATGCCTGTAATCCCAGTACTTTGGGAGGCTAAGGCAGGCAGATCACCTGAGGTCAGGAGTTCACGACCAGCCTGGCCAACATGGCGAAACCCCATCTCTACTGAAAAATACAAAAATTAGCCGGGCATTGCGGCGAGCGCCTGTAGACCCAGCTACTTGGGAGGCTGAGGCAGGGAGAATTGCTTGAACCCAGGAGGTGGAGGTTGCAGTGAGCCGAGATCGTGCCACTGCACTCCATACTGGGCGACAGAGTGAGACTCCGTCTCAAAAATAAATAAATAAAATAAAAAATAAAATAGGCCGGACACGGTGGCTCATGCCTGTAATCCCAGCACTTTGGGAGGCCGAGACAGGCAGATCACGAGGTCAGGAGTTGGAGACCAGCCTGACCAACATGGTGAAATCCCCCATCTCTACTAAAAATACAAAAATTAGCCAGGCATGGTGGCACACGCCTGTAATCCCAGCTACTCAGGAGGCTGAGGCAGAAGAATCGCTTGAACCCTGGGGACGGAGGTTGCAGTGAGCCAAGATAGCACCATTGCACTCCAGCCTGGGCAATGAGAGCGAAACTCCGTCTCAAAAAATATACATACATACATACATGCATACATACATACATAAATAAAATAAACTTAGTACATTTATTTTTAAAAGAAATTTTATGATTATCACAAATAAAAAATAAGTACATATTTATTGCAAGTAGAAAAACCAATATCATTTGCAATAAATAGAAGGTAGCTACAATTAATTCAATAAGTGATATAAAAACTATATTATTCAACTTTAATTAGATATTACTTCCTAAAGTGTCTATCTTTGAACTTCTCAAAATAGTCCACATATAACAACAATACAAAAATCCTTTTTTTTTTTTTTTTTGAGACAGGGTCTCACTCTGCTGCCTGTGCTGGAGTGCAGTGGCATGATTTCAGCTCACTGCAACCTCAACCACCCAGGCTCAGGTGATCCTCCCACCTCAGTCTCCTGAGTAGCTAGGAGTACAGGCGCATGCCACCACACCTGGCTAATTTTCCTATCTTTTGTAGAGACGGGGTTTTGTCATGTTACCCAGGCTGGTCTCCAACTCCTGGGGGCAAGCAACCCTCTCAATAAACACAACAATCAAGGTACAGATTCACAAAATGGAAATAATACAGCAATAACAATATTGCTCCAAAATAAATTTTTAAGATCCTCCAAGTACAAATGTATTTTAATGAATAATAAGCAGAAATCATCTCAAGCAAGGACATGAATAACAGACACCAGTGCCGCTCTGAAGAAAGCATCTTAGTACTTTATATTCAAAGACTCTGGCTTGCCTGAGAATTTTGGGGACAATGAAACCTGGGAAGCAATAGCACTAGTTCTTCACAGATATTAATAATTTTGGACTAAGAAAATTATTAAAGACTGCTACAGACTGAAAGCTAATGTCTTGTCAAAATTAGTATGTTGAACCTTAATCCCCAGCATGATGGTATTTGGAGGTGGGACTCTTGGGAGGTGACTAGGTCATGAGGGCTCCATCTTATGAATGAGATTGTGCCTTTATAAAAAAAACAGCAAAAAGATTTCTCACCCCTTCTCCCATGTGAGCATGCAGCAAGAAGATAGAGAAGACAGATGTCTATGAATCAGGAAGAGGACCTTCATCATAGACTGAATCTGTTGGTACCTTGATCTCGGACTTTACAGACTCCAGAACCACAAGATATGAATTTCTGTAGTTTATAAGCCACTCAGTTTATGATTCTTTGTTATAGCAGCCCAAAAGGAACTAAGATGATGACCATGAAATTACCAATTAGAGCAGCAAACTTAAGGTTCTGTGTATCATGATCTTGAACATTTGGGCATTAATTATTTGCTACATGTCCTTAAAGCAGGAACATGCAAAAGCAGCATCCTAGAGACTGTGGGTGTGTATGTAATACACAAATAACACTGGTAAGAACCACTTGGGAAAAAGAAATCCTCCAAGTGATATTGAAAGGGCTATGACAATAAGAATGGAATCAGGAGTTGGAAAAGGGAGGTAGAAAACCATAAGTAATCAGAAAATTTGAAATGGAAAGATAGTCATTTAAACAAAAAACACTCATTAGACATGAAAAACTCAAGACTGAACAGAGTTGAAGAGAAAATTAGTAAATTGGAAGATGTAATTAAGAAACTCACCCAGACGTAGCACAGAGAAAACAATGAAAAATATAAAAATGAGTTTGAGACAGAGAGCAGATCAAGAGTGCCAACATACATCCAACAAAAATTACTAAAGGATATCCTTATGCCAATATACCTATGCTTGGTGGGAATTAAATTAATACATACAAGGTGCTGTGGTAAGCAGCTTCCAAGACAGCCCCCAATGATCCCCATCTCCTGGTAACACCCCTTTGTGGTGTAATCCTCTCCCCTTGAGTATGGGCTAGAACTAGTGACTCCTAACAAATAGAATGTGGCAAAAGTGACAAGATGTCACTTCCAAGATTAAGTTCCAAAAAAGCCTATGGGTTCTCTCTTGCTGGCTCTCTCTCTTTCTCTCCCCCTCCCTCGCTCTAAGGGAAGCCAGAAGCCATGTTGTGAGTTGTTCTAAGGGAGAGACCCGTGTGGCAAGAAACTGGTGTCTATGGCCAACAGCCAGCAAGGACCTGATGACATGAGTGAGCCTGGAAGAGGATCCTTCCCTAGTTGCCTTTAGATGATGGTGGCCTTGGTGTATGCCTTGATTGTACGCTAGTGAGGGGCCCTGAGCCAGCACTACAAATTCAGCCATGCCCACGTTCCTGCCCCACTGAAATTGTAAGATAACAAATACTGGTTCTTTTAAGCCACAGAATTTTGGAATAACTTATCATGCAAACAATAACACAAGTACATAGAACAGTGCCTGGTATATGTAAATGGTCTATAAATGTTAGCCGTTTGCAATCATTTCCTCCATAGATAAGGAGGAGAGTGAGGCTTTGCAAAGTCTCCAAAGTTAGCTTCAGCAAAAGGGGAGCCAGGATCAGAATCCAGGAGTAAAAATTTCACTCCAGGCCAGGCACAGTGGCTCATGCCTGTAATCCCAGCACTTTCGGAGGTTGAGGCAGGTGGATCACCTGAGGTCAGGAGTTTGAGACCAGCCTGGCCAACATAGTGAAACCCCATCTCTACTAAAAATACAAAAAAAAATAGCCAGGTGTGGCCTGTAGTCCCAGCTACTCAGGAGGCTGAGGCAGGAGAATCACTTGAATCCGGGAGGCGGAGGTTGCAATGAGCCACGATCGTGCCATGGCACTCCAGCCTGGGCGACAGAGTGAGACTCCATCTAAAATAAATAAATAAATAAAAATTTCCTCCAAAGCCCCATTCTGCAAGGGTGTGACACTGCCACAAGTACCTGATGATGGCAGCCCCTGACCGGTCCTGTCCCTAGGGACACTGATGGTGGCCGGTTGGTAGACCTTCAGCAGATCTTTCAGCTTCAGGTCCTGGGCCATCAAGGAGTAGTTGTTGGCGATGGAATCACTGGGTCCACGGTGGTGATGCTGTTCTTTGAAGGGTGCAGCCAAGGTCCATGACGTGCGTTGCATCAAGGGCGGGTAAAAGCTGTGTGACATGACAGTCTACGAGGTAAGAAGTGCAGAGTGAGACACAATGAGGAACATCTCTCGATGAGCCTGAGCTCTGCTCACACTGAGGCTCACAAGAGTTCCAAGTGCCTTATGCTATGTTTCTGCCTTCTGCACATTCAGTGGAAAGATTGTCTGAACAGACACCAACTGTACTTCTCTGACCATTGTAAGCATGAATTCTGATGTCAGGGATAATAGCTTGCATTCACCAGTAATTTTGAGGCAGGTAATTGACATCTCTGGTCTTTATTCCTTATGGACATGACTACAAGGTACAAGCAATTACCCTCATTTTACAATGAAACACGCAGAAGTTCAGAGAGTTTAAATAACACAGCAGATCAGTGGACGGCCAGATTCTAATTCACCTTTGGACAATGGCATAGCTCTCTCTCCCACACTTCTGCAGCCTCTTCTGGGGGCAAAAGCGACCAAAGCTACTAATCCTACTTGTCAGGTCTGTTTGACTCTCCACCCTCATTGAGTACCTGCCAAATACGGAGAGAAGTGGGGGATGCACTTCACCTCCTCACCCTCAACAGAAGAGCTGGCAGCCAGGTGTGCATACCTGATAGAGTCCAGACGGTTCCTCATTAGCAGAAGCAGGCAGAGGAGGCAGCTCTGGCTGCCCCTGGGAGTGGCTCATGTGATGTATGGAGTCACTTTTGGCGATCTGTGGGACATGGGAACAAAGTCACCCTTCAAAAATTAGGGAAGATTTGCAAGCCTCTGAGTTGGTTAGGACTAAAGAGGTCCCCAGGAAAAGTTTTAGGTCCAGAGTTCTGGACCTAAAACAAAACACTCCTCTCATTCCCATCCATTATGTATGTTTCATTTATTTAAAAATTAACAGATAAGGGCTGGGTGCGGTAGCTCACCCCGGTAATCCCACCAGTTTGAGAGGCCAGGGAGGGTGGATCACCTGAGGTCAGGAGTTCGAGACCAGCCTGACCAATATGGTGAAACCCTGTCTCTACTAAAAATACAAAAATTAGCCAGGCATGGTGGCGTGTGCCTGTAGTCTCAGCTACTTGGGAGGCTGAGACAGGAGAGTTGCTTGAACCTGGGACGCGGAGGTTGCGGTGAGCTGAGATTGCACTCTGAGATGTATTGAAGTGTATATACATTATAGAGTGACTAAATCTAATTATCATATGCGTTACCTTGCATGGTTATTATCTTTGCAGTGAGAACACATCTACTCTCATAGCGTTGTTCAAGAATACAATATATTGTTAATTAGTCATCATGCTGTACAACAGATCTCTTGAACTTATTCCATCTAACTGAAATTTTATATCCTATGACCATCTCCCCAACCCTTCCACTCCTGTTTCTTTTTTCTTTCTTTCTTTTTTTTTTTGAGATGGAGTCTTGCTCTGTCACCCAGGCTGGAGTGCAGTGGCTCTATCTCAGCTCAATGCAACCTCTGCCTCCGGGGGTCAAGTGATTCTCCTCCCTCAGCCTCCCAAGTAGCTGGGATTACAGGTGACTGCCACCATGCCCAGCTAATTTTATATTTTTAGTAGAGACGGGGTTTCATCATGTTGGCCAGGCTGGTCTTGAACTCCTGGCCTCAAGTGATCTGCCCTCCTCGGCCTCCCAAAGTTCTGGGATTACAGGCATGAGCCACCACGCCCGGCCCCTGCTTCATTTTTTAATCATTCAGTGTCTCCTCCTCGGATTCCCTTCTATGAGCAAATTTGAATATTTTTCCCCCGTGGAAGAGCCCAAATTCTGAGGACATCCCCAGTACCCTACCCTCAGGTATGATTAAAGGAGGTGACTTTAAAAACATTGACTCTTGCATTTTTTTTTTTTTGAGATAGTCTCTCACTCTGTCACCCAGGCTAGAGTGCAATGGTACGATCTTAGCTCACTGCAACTGCTGCTTCCCAGGTTCAAGCAATCCTCCTGCCTCAGCCTCCCAAGAAGCTGGATGGGTGCCCACCACCATGCCTGGCTAATTTTCATATTTTTAGTAGAGACGGGGTTTCACCACATTGGTCAGGCTGGTCTTGAACTCCTGACCTCAGGTGATCCACCTGCTTCGACCTTCCAAAGTGCTCGGATTACAGGCATAAGCCACTCCACCAGGTGGACTCTTGCATTTTCACATGTGCAAAATTCCAAAGAGAAATTCACTCAGGCAGTGGCACTGAATTTTCTGTGTATTTAACACACACATAAGCAACTCTTTATGATTCCTGCGAAAAGAAAAAGTGTTATTTCAACAATGTGGGTGTTGAGTACTCCATTCCAACCAGTGAGTGCATACTGTGGAGTGAGCCTCAGGTAAGGGTCAACTTGTGGCTCCCACAATCACTCTCAGATTCCAAGTGACCCTCCACCTCTCCTGAGCAGAGAAGAAAGTGACTACATTATTGAATGAAATCACATGTGTTTTTGTCTTAAGACTTAGCCCCTATATGCAAAACAACCACTTCACCTGGGACTAGTGATGGAGAAACTGCAACTTGTTCCAACACTAGAAGAAAAGCTGTTGGCCTGGACTTATTGAGAGGTGCTGCCGTTCAGCACTTTAAAGGTGGTTTGAGGGATTTTCAAGGGCAATTTTGACTCTCTGTGATTTTCACCTTAGGCATTGACTTTGGACTTAACTCCTATATAAGATGAGCCAACATCGTATCAGTGTGATTTATTTGGGTGTGCAAATTATGACATGCAAGATCACTGATGAGGGTGGGATGGGGCAGGGGGCATATGACTATTAGCTGTCCCTCTGCCCCCAACCCCTTAAAGATGACTCAAATTAACCATCATTATCTCTCCCGGAGCACCTACCTCATTAAATAACAACAGAAAAACAACAACCGCAGCAATACTATCTACCATTATTCCAAACGATTATGTGCCAGGTACTGTACAACCTCATGAGATTTTTTTCATACCCGCATTCTAGCTGAAGAAAATGAGGGTGAGAAGATAGGTAACACATCCTAGCCATGTAATTGGCCGGCTTGACTTCTAAGTCAGTGACTTATTTATTATTATTATTATTATTTATTTTTTTTTTTTGAGTCCAAGTTTTCGCTCTGTCGCCCAGGCTGGAGTGCAGTGACACAATCTTGGCTCACTACAACTGCAACCTCCACCCCCTAGGTTCGAGCGATTCTCCTGCCTCAGCTTCCTTACTGCATCATGCAAACTGACAGGGACGCTGTTCTCGGGATAATGAAGAAAGCAAACCGTGAGCATTTTGCAGAACACAATGGAAAGAGGGAGAACCTCTGTAGAAACAAATTAAACTAGGCTATGTCATAGGCTTGGACTAAAACAAATACACAAACAGTCATAAGTACGCTGATAGCAGAAAGCATCCCAGTCTGTCGATCAGGAACACATGGGGCACACACAACATGAGCAGATCTAGGCATCAATTGCAGAATGGGGCTAAAAGAGTTTTCCTGGCAATAAATGGCTAAGAATCCTCTGTGGCACCTTCAAGAGATCGAGATTCTCATAAGAACTAGCTGGTTGTGCAAAATTGTTTGTTAAAAATATGAATGCTTGGCCAGCCGTGGTAGCTAATGTCTATAATCCCAGCACTTTGGGAGGCCGAGGCGGGTGGATCACTTGAGGCCAGGAGTTCGAGACCAGCCTGGCCAACATGGAGAAATCCCGTCTCTACTAAAAATACAAAAATTAGCCAGGCGGTGGCGCACACCTGTAGTTCCAGCTACTCAGGAGACTGAGGCAGGAGAATCGCTTGAACCCAGAAAGCAGACGCTTCAGTGAGTGAAGATCACGCCACTGCACTCCAGCCTGGATAACAGAGACAAACTGTCTCAAAAAAAAAAAAAGAAAGAAAGAAAAAGAAAGAAAGAAATTAATGCTTAAATCTTCTCTTTGGTAAATTTCAAGGAGCTTTCACTTCAGAGCATATTGGCTTAGTTATTATCTACAAATCCACTTTAGTTTTACAAAGTTTCTATTTAAAATGCTCCTCTGGGCACTTCGCTGTATGGCAACCTGGTGATTCAACACAGATACAACAGAAATTCTGGAACTTAGATTGGGTAGAACTGTCACTTTGGGCAGCTTATTGCTGATTACACATGTTGTATGTATGTTCTTCATGGAGGCCATTCCCAAATGCTCGTCTGAGGACGTGCTACACCAGAATCACTCTGGTCTTAGATAAAAATATAGATTCCAGGGCCCCACTCCAAATCTTCTGGATCGGAATCTAGGAGTGGGGGACCAAGACTCTATGTTTTTAAGATGCTCCCCAGAATATTCTAATGTTCAGCCACAGTCAAAAACTGATGGTTGGAATATATGGTCTAATGGGCTTGGAAGGGAAGGAAAGGGAAGAACGGGTGTCTATTCCCGGATTTTTCACAGCAAAACTTGAAGATTTCCAAAAGTCTAATTCAGCAAAAATGATATTTCAAAGCAGACAACAAAAAAATGTGATGAATACACTTGTTCAGTCAAGGGCATCTAACATGCCAATTGGCCCTCTTCCCACATATTCCCAACACATTAAAAATACAGGTAAATCGGCCAGACACGGTGGCTCACACCTGTAATCCCAGCACTTTGGGAGGCTGAGGCAGGCGGATCTCCTGAGATCGGGAGTTCAAGACCAGCCTGACCAACATGGATAAACCCTGTCTCCACTAAAAATACAAAATTAGCCAGGTGTGGTGGCACATGCCTGTAATCCCAGCTACTCAGGAGGCTGAGGCAGGAGAATCACTTGAACCCAGGAGGCGGAGGTTGCAGTGAGCCGAGATCACACCATTGCACTCCAGCCTGGGCAACAAAGAGCAAAACTCTGTCTCAAAATAAAAAATAAAAAAAAAAAATACAGGTAAAACAAGAAACGTCTTAAAATTCACACCTACCTTCTGAGATGAGCAATCCATGTCACCCATGGTGTCCACTCTAATTGTAGCTATTTTTTTAAAATGAATAAAGAGCTTTCAGCTTCTCCAGGGATGTGCCTCTCCTATCCAGTTGGTCTGAAATTCACACTTCCTTATAGCATAATGGGGATGACACCAACAATGGAACTTTCCAGATGTTCTGAAAGCTCTGTTCATGAGGTTGCCTCTCTGAGGTCATAGACTTTGGCCCGCTGAGGAGTTCCCTGGTAAAAAAGGAGAGAAAGGGAAGCTAGAGATAAGGGGACAGCACTGGGTTTCTGCTGCGCTTTTGGCTCTGGTTCCTAGTCCCCCAGCGGTGGCCACGCTTCCTTTCCCTTGAGTGCTTCTCTCTTGGAAATTTTCCAGAAACACACTGAGTTCACTGCAGAGGAAAGACTGAAGCAGAGTTACACATTAATACAGAGAAGAGGGAGACTCACCCCTCCAAACAACATCCTGGCAGCCCGAACTGTTCTCCCTCCTCCTCCCTGGACTCTTAACACTGGCAGTGCTTGTATGCAGGCGCTGGGCACAGTAACCATGTCTCAGCGTCTGTTGCTAAGGGAAGGAGGGGCCTCTGCGGTGCCTACATACAAGACTGGGCATGACCTAGCTCTGTGAGCTGGTGTCTCCCTTTGCTGGAGGCCCAGGTGGGCAGCAGGAAGTGTTGGTGACAGAAGGGAACATGGGAAGGTGTTTAGCAATGTTCCAGGAATAACAGAGGCAACAGCAATAAAAGACCTTTGGAGACGTCGAAAAGCACAGAGTATGGTGGTTAAGTTCTTGGGATCTACAATTGGACAGGTCATACTTCAGATCCTACTCTTCTCATTAATTAGCTGTGTGGCTTGGCAAGTTGTTTAATCTCTCCAAGTGTCCTTTCCGTCTGTAAAATGGCAATAATGTGAGTCCCTACTTCATAGGGTTGCTTTGAAGGGTTAACGGGATAACGTGTACAGAGCGATTTGCATATAGTAGAAGGATAACTGATATTTTCCCAGTTTTTCCCCGTTTTTTTTTTTTTTTTTGAGACAGAGTCTTGCTCTGTTGCCCAGGCTGCAGTGCAGTGGCGTGATCTCAGCTCACTGCAAGCTCTGCCTCCCGGGTTCACACCATTCTCCTGCCTCAGCCTCCCACCAGTGCGCCCAGCTAATTTTTTGTATTTTTAGTAGAGACGGGGTTTCACCGTGTTAGCCAGGATGGTCTCAATCTCCTGACCTCGTGATCCGCCCACCTCGGCCTCCCAAAGTGTGGGATTACAGGTGTGAGCCACTGCGCCCAGCCCAGTTTTTCCCCATTTTAACACTAAGTCCTGCATCCTGGGAGCAATCTCAGTCCTGGGCAAACTGGGATAGTTTGATCACCCAACACAGTCAATGCTCTATAAATGTTGTGGCTAACATCAATATTACGATAAACACAGAAATACATGTGCACATACTCAAAAGTAACAATATTAGCTGCCGCCCGAATATTAAAAGCACATGTTCCATGGTCACTGTGAAGTTCTCTCAAAACCAAGTTAGACTTAATGAGTTTTTTGGGGGTGCCATGCTTGCATATCTTTTTTTTTCATTCAATTTCCCCCCAAACACCACGATATTCCCATTTTAAGGATAAGGAATCAAAACTGAGAGATATGGGCCAGGTATGGTGGTTCATGCCTGTAATCCCAGCACTCTGAAAGGCTGAGGTGGATGGATCACTTGAGGTCAGGAGTTTGAGACCAGCTTGGCCAACATAGTGAAACCCCATCTCTACTAAAAATACAAAATTAGCCGGGCATGGTGGTAGTCGCCTGTAATCCCAGCTACTTGGGGGGCTGAGGCAGGAGAATCGCTTGAACCTGGGAGGGAGGTTGCAGTGAGCACAGATCATGCCACTGCACCCCAGCCTGGGCAACAAGAGCGAAACTCCATCTCAAAAAAAAAGAAAAACAAACAAAAAAACTGAGAGATACATAACTTTCCTAAGTCGACTTGACTCATAAGTAGCACTGATACAATTGGAACCTGTCCTGATGACCCCGAGTCCACTGCTCTTTCCATAACCTACCTGTCCAGAACACAAACATTCCCGAGTTCCTATGAAAAGCATTGCATAGTGAGAGGTGACAGCGTGCTGGCAGTCCTCACAGCCCTCGCTCGCTCTCGGCGCCTCCTCTGCCTGGGCTCCCACTTTGGCGGCACTTGAGGAGCCCTTCAGCCCACCGCTGCACTGTGAGAGCTCCTTTCTGGGCTGGGCAAGGCCGAAGCCGGCTCCCTCAGCTTGCAGGCAGGTGTGGAGGGAGAGGCGCGAGCGGGAACCCGGGCTGCGCACGGCGCTTGCGGGCCAGCTGGAGTTCCGGGTGGGCGTGGGCTTGGCGGGCCCCGCACTGGGAGCAGCCAGCTGGCCCTGCCGGCCCCGGGCAATGAGGGGCTTAGCACCCCGGCCAGCGGCTGCGGAGGGTGTACTGGGTCCCCCAGCAGTGCTAGCCCACCGGCGCTGCGCTCCATTTCTCACCGGGCCTTAGCTGCCTTCCCGCGGGGCAGGGCTCGGGACTTGCAGCCCGCCATGCCTGAGCCTCCCACCCCCTCCGTGGGCTCCTGTGCTGCCCGAGCCTCCCCGACGAGCGCCACCCCCTGCTCCACGGCGCCCAGTCCCACCGACCACCCAAGGGCTGAGGAGTGCGGGCCCACGGCGCGGGACTGGCAGGCAGCTCCACCTGCAGCCCCGGTGCAGGAGCCACTGGGTGAAGCCAGCTGGGCTCCTGAGTCTGATGGGGACGTGGAGAACCTTTATGGCTAGCTCAGGGATTGTAAATACACCAATCAGCACCCTGAGTCTAACTCAGGGTTTGTGAATGCACCAATCGACACTCTGTATCTAGCTGCTCTGGTGGGACCTTGGAGAACCTTTATGTCTAGCTTGGGGATTGTAAATACACCAATCAGCACTCTGTATCTAGCTCAAGGTTTGTAAACACACCAATCAGCACCCTGTGTCTAGCTCAGGGTCTGTGAATGCACCAATCCACACTCTGTATCTAGCTATTCTGGTGGGGCCTTGGAGAACCTTTGTGTGGACACTCTGTGTCTAGCTAATCTGGTGGGGACTTGGAGAACCTTTGTGTCTAGCTCAGGGATTGTAAACGCACCAATCAGCACCCTGTCAAAACAGACCACTAGGCTCTACCAATCAGCAGGATGTGGGTGGGGCCAGATAAGAGCATAAAAGCAGGCTGCCCGGGCCAGCAGTGGCAAGCCGCTTGATCCCCTTCTACAACGTGGAAGGTTTGTTCTTTCACTGTTTGGGTTCATGCCGCCTTAATAGCTGTAACACTCACGGTGAAGGTCTGCAGCTTCACTCCTGCGCCAGCGAGACCAGAAACCCACCAGAAGGAAGAAACTCCGAACACATCCGAGCATCAGAAGGAACAAACTCCAGACGCGCTACCTTAAGAGCTGTAACACTCACCGCGAGGGCCCACGGCTTCATTCTTGAAGTCAGTGAGACCAAGAACCTACGAATTCCAGACACAATAGAACCAAGTACTTCCATTTTCCCCCTTTTTCTACTCCTTTTCCTCAAAGTTGGGCTTTCCATCCTTTCAAAATAACCCTGAGCTTTTCCATCTCTTATATTATGCTCTTTATCACAAAGTATACATACGGTTTCAAATAGCATTTGGAATAATTGAGACAGTGGGAGAGCTGGAGACTCTGGTTTAGACGGAAATGGGAAGATTATCAGGTCTCCTATACTGGGTGTGAAACCTCATGTCCCACCAAAAACAGCAACTGTAATCCAATGAAGTGAAAAATTAGAATGGGGCCAGGCGCGGTGGCCCATGCCTATAATCCCAGCAGCTGGGGAGGCCAAGGCGAGTGGATCGCCTGAGGTCAGGGGTTCAAGACCAACCTGGCCAACATGGTGAAACCCCGTCTCTACTAAAAATACAAAAAATTAGCCGGGCGTGGTGGCAGGCACCAGTAATCCCAGCTTCTTGGGTTGCTGAGGCAGGAGAATTGCATGAACACAGGAGGTGGAGGTTGCAGTAAGCTGAGATCACACCATTGCACTCCAGCCTGTGTGACACAGCGAGACTCTGTCTCAAAAAAAAAAAAATTAGAATGGTCCTGATGTGGAGCTAATGGACCCTATGGCCTGTGTGTGAGTAGGAGGTATGCTACCATCTGAAATTTAGTGTGTTTTAAGTCTACTAGTGTTTAAAACTATCAAAACAATACTAATGGCTTTCGCTTATTGAGCATATACTATGCCCTGGGACTGCTGCTAGGCACTTAGTAGACATCATGTCTTTGAATCTTCTCAACAACCTAGAATATAAATATCAGTATTTTCACAAGTTTTATGATTGAGGAAACTGATACATTAAACTAACCTGCCCATAGTCACACAGCTAGGTCATCAGGAAAGCTTGAACTTGGTTATGAAATCTGTTCCATGGCTTCAACCGAAAACCTACATGTAATCTGAGGAAAGGTGGAAAATAAAGTATCTGCCAAAGAGAGTGAAAGTGACTTCCCCCAGGCCACCTCACCTGTACCAGAATTGTTTGTTGTCTGACAACTTTGTGTTGGATAATTCTTAAGAAAGGATATAGGCTTCAAGTTTCTCAATCTTCTTTTTCTTTCTTTCTTTTTTTTTTTTTTTTGAGATGGAATCTTGCTCTGTTGCCCAGGCTGGAGTGCAGTGGTATGATCTCGGCTCACTGTAACCTCCACCTCCTGGGTTCAAGTGATTCTCTTGCCTCAGCCTCCCCAGTAACTGGGATTACAGGCGTGTGCTAACACACCTGGCTTATTTTTGTATTTTTAGTAGAGATGGGGTTTTGCCATGTTGGCCAGCCTGGTCTCGAACCCCTGACCTCAAGTGATCTGCCCACCTCCGCCTCCCAAAGTGCTGGGATTCAGGCATGAGCCACCATGCCCGGCCTTGTTTCTCAATTGGGCTGCCAGACAAAACAGAAGGTGCCCAGTTAAATTAGAGTTTCAGTCAAACAATTTTTCAGGTAAAAGAATGTTTTAGGGCCGGGAGCAGTGGCTCATGCCTGTAATCCCAACACTTTGGAAGGCCGAGGCAGGCGGATCACAAAGTCAGGAGTTTGAGACCAGCCTGACCAACATGGTGAAACCCTGTCTCTACTAAAAATACAAAAATTAGCTGGGCGTGGCGGCACATGCCTGTAATCCCAGCTACTCCGGAGGCTTTGGCAGGAGAATCATTTGAACCCAGGAGGTGGAGGTTGCAGTAAGCCGAGATAGCGCCACTGCACTCCAGCCTGGGAGACAGAGCAAGACTCCGTCTCAAAAAAAAAAAAAAAAAAAAAAAGTTTTAGTATAAGCATGTCCCATTCAATACATGGGCTGTACTTGTACTTGTACTAAAAAGTTACCCATTATTTACCTGAAATTCAGATTTAATTGAGTGTCGTGTGTTTTTATTTGCCAAATCTGCCAACATGGGGAGCAGAGGTCAGCAAGGTTCCAAGTTGCCCCTGCCTCTTGTTATCAAGAGTTTAGGGTCTTAATCTGTTGCTAAAAAAATTTCACACATTTCTTATTCAGAGGCTGGTATTCCTGGCAGCTCATTCCTGAGGCCTAAAATAGTTGTTTAAGCAGAGCAACAGTTTCAATCCTTGGAGGCTACTATAGCAAAGTACCAAAGTCTGGGTGGCTTATAAACAAGAGACATTTATTTCTCACTGCTCTGAAGGCTGGAAGTTCACAATCAGGGTGCCAGGGTGGTCTGGTTCCAGTGAAGGCCCCCTTCCATGTTGCAGGCTGCCAACTTCTCATTGTATCCTCACATGGTGGAAAGAGGGTAAGAGAGCTCTCTGGGAGTTATTCTTATTTTATTTTATTTTATTTTATTTTATTTTATTTTATTTATTTTATTTTATTTTATTTTATTATTTTATTTTATTTTATTTTAATGAGCCAGGGTCTCACTTTGTTGCCCAGGCTAGAGTGCAGTGGTGCAATCTCAGCTCACTGCAGCCTCCACTGCCTGGGCTCAAGAGATCCTCCTGCCTCAGCCTCCCATGTAGCTGGGACTACAGGCATGTGCCACTATGCCCGGCTAACTTTTGTATTTTTAGTAGAGAAGAGGTTTCGCCATGTTGCCCAGGCTGGTCTCGAACTCCTAGACTCAAGCAATCCACCCACCTTGGCCTCCCAAAGTGGTGGGATTATAGGTGTGAGCCACTGGGATCTCTTTTATAAGGGCACTAATCCCATTTAGGAGGGCTTCACCTTCATGACCTAATCACCTCCCAAAAACCCCATGCCTAATCCCATCACATTGGGGGTTAGGATTTTAGAGGAACAGACATTCAGTCCATTGCAGCAAGTAATTGGGAAAGCATAGGAGAGGCTGCGCGTGGATTTTTTTAACCCAACCACTGCATGTTCCTTGAGGGCCAAGTCCTGATGCTATGGAGAGATGCTAGGATCCCAGCCCTGGAGGAACACATGATGTGATGGAGGAAGCATCTATCACACAAAGACAAGCAAAACTCTGCTGGCCCAGCCAAAAATGCCAGAGGTGGAAGGAATTTGAAGATTCACAGAGACGCCCCTAGATGGCACTCTTAAACAAAAATCCCAGTGGAAACCCTAACTCAGCTTTCCAAAGCAACTTCCATTTAGGGAATGATGATTGGAAGGCTGTAATCTAAGGAAACACACACACACACACACACACACACACAATCTTTTCCTGGGTGGGGAACCCAGCATTTTGCAGCTGAACAAAGTGCATGACGCCAGACAAGATTGGCTAAAACTTAAGAATTTAGGGATTCTTGTCTGTCCTATCCCCACCATTAGCTCTTCTTTCTGCTATTGTGGAATTACAGCAGGATTCTGTGGTTTATCATATCATTGTCGTGATCATCATCATAAATCATCATCCCAAGCAAATATTTTTGAGCCCCTACTCTGTGCCTCAATAGGTGCTAAGTTCTCGACAGCCACAGCCACACTATTGCACCAGTCCTCACTACAACCCTGTGATTGCTTCTTTTTTTTTTTTTTTTTTTTTGAGACAGGGTCTCACTCTGTTGCCCAGGCTGGAGTGCAGTGTCTTCACTGCAACTTCTACTTCCCAGGTTCAAGCGATACTTCTGCCTCAGCCTCCCGAGTAGCTGGGATTACAGGTGCGCACCACCATGCCTGGCTAGTTTTTATATTTTTAGTAGAGATGGGGTTTCACCATGTTGGCCAGGCTGGTCTGGAACTCCTGGCCTCAAGTGATCTGCCCACCTCAGCCTCCCAAAGTGCTGGGATTATAGGTGTGAGCCACCGCACCCTGCCAGCTTTTTGTTATCTAAAGACTTATTTTCCAGGTTGCTATGGCCACAGGCAAAGAGGAGAGGTCGGTCAACACAGGTCCCTGTCTGGAAAGTGGCTGAGAACTGTGCAACAGCAGACCAATGGTTGGGCTTATCCCTCTCTCTAATTTATGGTTGAAGCCATGGTTCAGAGAGGTTACTTAGTCACACAGTAAGTTGCCATCATGCTCTATAGCAGTGGTTCTCACCTCGGGACGATGGGGCCTTCCAGGGGACATTTGGCAATATTTTGAGACACAACTGGAGGTGGGGGGGGGCGGTTCTTGTAACTGGCATCTAATGGGTAGAGGCTAGGATATTGCTAAACATTCTACAATCCACAGCTCAGAAACAGAATTATTCCGCCCCAAATGTCAATAGCATACTATTCAGAAACCTTACTCTATAGGGCAGATTTGGGGCCAGGGGAAACAGGGGCTCCTGCTCCGACTTGGATCCATGCAAACCGAGGAATTTGGATTGATTTATCTTGTCTCTCTCAGCCTGGACTTTTTCATGTGTAAAATGGACATCCAATCCATCTGAAAGGATCTCACTGGCTTATGACATTCGCATTTGAGCAGTCATGGTTAAAAACTTCCAGCCAGGGTGATACTTCATCACGTGTGTGTCTTGAGCGCCAGAGACGTTCCAGAGCAGCTGGTTTTAGG
Organism: Homo sapiens; assembly: GCF_000001405.40. NCBI lineage: Eukaryota > Metazoa > Chordata > Mammalia > Primates > Hominidae > Homo > Homo sapiens. The sequence continues at coordinate 21,158,318 of NC_000016.10, forward strand.
CATACAGGAGGGGAAACCCTGACACCCTTGGAAAACTCATTCTCGGCTGCCAGTCTGCCTGTCTTGAAGGTGGTCTGAGCTTTCTCACTCCAAGCCAGTCGTGTGGGAAGGGACACTCTCTGAGCCTCAGTTTCCTCAGCTGTCAACCTCTCAGGGCTTGTTCTAGTGGCTCCGAAAGCCAGTGGGAGCGAGCGCGCTTTGCAAAGCCTTGGGCGCCGGGCCTTGGCGCGCCTTTGCCGGATCCTTCCGGCCACGGGCGGGGCGAGCCCAGAGGAGAAGAGCCGAGGGGCGGTGCCCGGGCCAGGGGGCGGAGGCAGGCGGCTCTGGCTCCCTCTCGGGACGCTCTTTCCTTCTTCCTCTTGTTCCTCCTCCTGCCTCTCTTCGCTTCGCCTGCAAACGCGGTGGGGGCTGCTCGGCGGTCAGGAGCAGGTGAGAGCTCGGAGCTTGGGGGTGGGGGTCCGGGTGCCCCGGGTGGCTAGACCCCTCTCGCCGGGCGGGGACAGAGGAGGAGCGCGGGGGCGACGGCGTGAGCGCGCTATCGGGGTCCCACGCCCGTAGCTTTCTGCCCCGGGGTTAGTGTAAGGGGCGTCTCCTGCTTATGAGTCGCCGGGACGGGGCTGGGAGCGCACGAGGAGACACGATTCCTCCCCACCCCTAAATGCACACTCACCCCGCCACCCCCCAACACACACACACATACACACACACACTACCACTAGATTAGGTAAAATGGTAGCTAGCACCACCACACCCCGAGACTGTGCCCCTTTCTGGGGAACCTGGGGAAGACGTCGAGGCAAACCTCCCTAGGATTATTGAAAACGGGCGCCTTCCTCACCACCCAGCCCCTCTTCTCCACCGAGGTCCCCTTCCCCATCGCTGCAGAGAGATCTGCAAGTATCAAAGGGGGCTTCTTTACCCCCAAATTAATAACTAAGTACTCGACTCCCCTCTGAGTTCCCATTATTCAGTCTCTGTGCCTTCTGGGACGCGGACCCCCTCTCCACCTGCATTTCACTCCCTTCCTCCTCTCCTTGGGTCTCCCTGGCTTTTGAACGCTGAAAGGCTGGGCCCGGATGGGGAGGGGCGGCCAGTGTGAGCTCGAGGCGCCCTGTAGCTCCCATCCCCCAACCAGAGATGTGACCCCTCCTCCCAGCTTGAACTTTCGAGGTAGCCGTTTTCCCCTGGAGGTTCGGGGGTGGGAGGGCCAGGAGATTTATTTGGAGCCTTGGAAGGGGAAAGGGTTAGCTGGTGTTGGCCTGGCCCAGTCCCCCAGGCGTGAAGAAGGCGGGGCACTCCTTGGCCGCGCCGGGTTCTCGCTTTCCCTTCTCGGGAGACAGCTCCGTGCCTGGGGAGGCCCCTCCGAGGAGTGAGTGACCAGGGGGTCTGGGAATTGGTGGCCAGGTAGACGCATTTGAAGGCTGTGGCCGATGGCATTCGCCCCACGCACTCTCTCATCGGACTCCCCAAACCGGTCTGGGTGGCACTTGAGGCTCCCAGGCCAAAGGAGACCTGTAAGGGGAACTCCGCTTGTTTCTGCTTGCTGCAGAGATGAGATTATGGGAACTGAGTGCTGGGAACATCCCAAGTTCAAGACCTACGCCAGAGGCAGCTTCAAAGAGAGAATGTGGGGTGGTGGGATTAGTCCCCTCCTCAACTTTCCCCTCCAAAGGGTTTCTTGTTTTACAAAAGGGAAGTAGCAGAGGATGTCTAGCTGGGATGATTAAAATGTGCTTTAATTTGCATACTAGACCCTGTACAGCTTAGTAGTAGATAAAATTACCCCCTATATGATAAATAAATGTGAGGATCTCTCAATTAATTTTGGCCACGTGGACACAATCTTTTAAGCATTTGTACTGTAGGTCAGGTCAGTTTAAAGGGAGAAATGGAAAAGATATCTCTGTGTCCAGCCAGTTCTGGGAAATATAAAATAAGAATGATTTTTTTTTTATATTTGAAAACTCAACAAGGGTTAAAAAATATATCTAATTTAACCAATTGCCTTTATTAAAAATAAGTAAAAATTGTATGAGATTGGGACACCCCTCAAAATTCCAGGCAGTTTAGTTAGAGTATAATTACTGTGGTGAGGTCTGCCCCCGAGGTGCAGTTCTCCTTAGCAGGGATAGACTTACCCACAAGTAAGTAGATGATGATGTATGGAATGATGGAATTGGGAGCCAACCTGTACAGTAATAAAGAAGAGAAACAGGTCAAGGCTACTGTTGTACAAGGAAAGCTTTCTAGGGAGAATAAAAGGCAATGAGATTTGAAATAGTGTGTTCAGCTTTCTTGCTTTCTGTATATTTTCAGCATTTTGTCAAGCTAAAAAATAAACATAAGCTGTCAGAGATAATACTATTAACATTTTATCATCTTTTTTTAAAAGTATCATACACATCTTTTCACATCACTAAACAGTCACACTATCATTTTAATGACTGAATTTATCATTATTTAACCAATTTTCTCCTAATGGAAATACAGTTAGCTACTTTCCAATGTTTTGCTAGTCATTATATGTTATAAACAGGGATGCAATGCACAGCCTTTTAGTACATTTTGAGATACCTGTTGGATTATTTCCATCATGTTCCTGGAATATAAATTCCTGGATTGAAGTGTGTGCAATCTGAAATTGTTGTGAATATTGCCAGGTTACCCTCCGTCTGCATGCCCACCATCAAGGTATGAGGATGGTAGAAGCTCTCGTCGAACCAGATGGATGAAGACCACTAACGGCTTTTGTTTCCTCTGGTAACAGCAAGAGACAGAGCGACATGAGAGATTGGACCGCGGGCTGCACTGGAGAATTTACTGGTAGGATAATTCATCCCTAAAGAGATTGAAGTGAGCTTCAGAATGGCAAAAGAGGAGCCCCAGAGTATCTCAAGGGACTTGCAGGAACTGCAGAAGAAGCTGTCTCTGCTGATAGACTCCTTCCAGAATAACTCAAAGGTCAGTTTCCAATCACTATGTATAATGGAAAATCCCAATATAACACTAGCATAAACAAGATAGAAAGTTATTTCTTTCTCCAGTAGAAGGAATTTGGAGGTAAGTCAAGAATCTTTCTGGCTTACCGCCCTGCCATGTCTATGCTGTGACCTTCAAACTCCTTGTCTGAGATGACTGCAAGAGCATCAGCCATTGTATCCATCTTTCAGGCAACAGGATTTGAGGAGGGGGGAAGAGAGAAGTGCAAGCCACCTACAATTTAAGGAGACTTCTGGGAGTCGCACACAATACTTCCAATTACATCCCTTAAGCCAACATTGAGTCATTTGCCACTAATGGCAAATGCAATTCTTTAGCTGGATAAAGAAGTCTGTGCAACAGATATCATCCTTTTTTTGGTTTTGTTTGGTTTTGTTGTGAATTTTGCCCTATCTGTTACCCTGAAAATGAGAGACAAAAGCCTACTTCAAGATTTGAGTTCATTGTTCCACTAGGAATCCAGGTCCGATAGAAATATGATGTGAGTCACGTATGTAATTTAGAATTTTTCTAGTAGCCACATGTAAGAAGTAAAAAGAAATAGGTAAAATTAATTTTGGCTGGGCATAGTGGCTCCCGCCTGTGATCCTAGCACTTTGGGAGGCTGAGGTGGGTGGATCACTTGAGATCAGAAGTTCGAGATCAGCCTGGCGAACATGGTAAAACCCCATCTCTACTAAAATTACCAAAATGAGCAGGTGTGGTGGTAAGGCCTGTAGTCCCAGCTACTCGGGAGGCTGAGGCAGGAGAATCACTTGAACCCAGGAGGCGGAGGTTGCAGTGAGCTGAGATTGTGCCACCGCACTCCAGCCTGGGCGACAGAGCGAGATTCCGTCTCCAAAAAAAAAAAATTATTTTTAATAATGTTTTTATTCAACCTAAGATATCAAAAATATTTCAACATGTAATCATTTATACAAAATTATTAATGAAAAAAGATTCTTGAAACATTGTACCTTCTTTTTTGAACTCCCTCTTCAAAACCCCCCGTGCGCATATTTTACACTTCTAGCACATTTCAATTCGAGTTAGCCACTTTTTAGGTATTCAGTGGCCACTCAGTGGCAATGAGACTTCAGATAGCGTTATGTTTTCTTGCATATTTATCCTTATTGCTTTCTTCTATATGTCTTTCAGCATTTTGTCAGGGAAAAGAAAACAGCTTTCAGAGATAATACTGTTAACATTTTGTATGTCATTCTAGACCTTTTTTCTATGCAATATACCTATAAAAATACATATGTATATGTAACAAAATGAACTATTTTGTGGTGTATTTTTTTTTGTATTGGATAGCACAGCGGGTCTACTCGAAGAGATGCTTGTTTGCAATCTACAACAATAAATTCTGGACTTGCTCCAGAATTTATTTGGCACTCTTTGTGGATTTACCAAGCTATTTTTAAATTGGACAAGCAGCTTTCTCGCCAGCTGGCGGGGACTCTTGTTATTAAAAGTTAGCTCAGTAAGAAGGGTCCTCCTGCCTGTTCCACATTTACAGCTGATTCTCATTAACCATGGTAGTTACGTTCTATAAAGTTACTGCAGACACTGAATTAGCACATACCAAACCATCGCTCCTAGGGGAAATACAGGATTCAGTTGCTGTGAGCCTCCTGTTCACAACATTTTTGTCAGCTGATCAGTACATAACCTCGTTTTATGTGTATTTCTGTTTAAAGACATGTTAATATATATTGTTGATCATTAACGTTGAACTCAGGGCCAACAACAGTACTATGACTCATGTCTTAAACAAAGCTAATCACACACATGTATTTTCTGCATAAGGCACATCACAGCCTTCTCATGGTTAGGAACGCTAGAGAACACTTCAGCACTACACTTGGGGACCATTTTCAACAGTAAAATCACCAAACTAAAGCATAAACGTGGCACTAAATAGACCACAGTGACACTTGTTTAAAGGATGAAACAGGAAGGCTCGGTGTCACCTTGCTTGACCTCAGCTGGGAATGTACGTGGCAGGTGACTCCACTTTTTGCTGTTGTGGACGTGTCCACTAATGACCTCAAAAGCACTGCAGGCCAGGCGTGGTAGCTCACACCTGTAATCCTAGTACTTTGGGAGGCCGAGGCGGGTGGATCCCTTGAGCCAGAAGTTCAAGACCAGCCTGGCCAACATGATGAAACCCCTTCTCTACGAAAAATACAAAAATTAGCTGGGTGTGGTGGTGTGCGCCTGTAATCCTAGCCTCTTGGGAGGCTGAGGCACGAGAATCGCTTGAACCCAGGAGGTGAAGGTTGAAGGGAGCCAAGATCACACCACTGTACTCCAGCCTGGGTGACAGAGCAAGACTCTATCTCAGACAAAACAAAACAAAACAAAAAGCACTGCCAGTATTCATTTTGAGGTTACAAATAAATTTCAGTGAGGAGGCAAATTTACAAATATGGAATCATGAGTAATAAGGATTGACTGCATATTTCTTGGCACTGACTGTATGCCAAGCACTGCACTAGGCATTCACCCTGGCCCTGTCTGAACTTAGTTAATAGTCACGTTCACCTGCCTTTTTTGTTTGTTTGTTTTTGTATTTTTAGTAGAGACGGGGTTTCTCACCATTTTGGCCACGCTGATCTCCAACTCCTGACCTCAGGCAATCCACCCACTTCGGCCTCCCAAAGTGCTGGGATTATAGGCGTGAGCCACCGCACCTGGCCACCAGTGGTTGTAAATGGTCCTGACCCTTCGTCTTTCTCCTGTTAGGAAGAGATAATGAATCATTGATTGTTTTTTGCATTCTGATACCAGGGAATTTGCCTGGCTCCTGAATCATCCAAGTTTCAGTCTTCATGTTCTCAAATACTGGCCACTTTGTCCCTAGTTTAGAAGCCAACCGCCTTTGTCTGACCTTGGGCAAGTCACTTAGGCTCACTGAATTTCCATCTCCTTTTTTAAAATTTTTTATTTATTTTTTATTGAGACAGAGTCTCACTCTGTCTTCCAGGCTGGAGTATAGTGGTGTGATCATGGCTTACTGTAGCCTCGAACTTCTGGTCTCAAGCAACACCTCCAGCCTCAGCCTCCTGAGTAGCTGGGACTACAGGTGCACACCAGCATACTCAGCTAATGTTTTATTTTATTTTTTGGAGAGACAGCATCTTTCACTGTGTTGCCCAGGCTGGTCTCAAACTCTTGGCCTCAAGCAGTCCTCCTGCCTTGGCCTCCTGAAGTGCTGGGATTACAGAAGTGAGCCACCATGCCCAGCTGCCATCTCCTCTTTTCTAAAATGAGCAATGTCAGGCTCAGAGGTTTGTTATGAAGATTATCTGAGATGCTGTTTGAAGCTTTAGCACAGAGGGTGGCGCATAATGTTGTCAGTCTGTCTCAGCCTGGCCTTCCTGGGCTCTGCAGTGCTGCACTGTGCTTACAGAGCCTAGATTGGGTAACCTGTGTCTACCTCCAGGCTGGTGATGGAAAATCACAGTGCATGTTACTGAATAATAACCTCTCCCACTTTCCATCTTTCCATTGCATCCCCCTCTGTTGCCATGAGAATGAAATGTTAATTGCTACGTTCTACCCCCCTGAGTTTAAATAGTGTTAGGTCGTTCTTTTTTACCTACCTCGTAGCATTGTAGGAAGAAATAAATGAGGAAATAATACGAGAGGTGCTTAAAGCAGTGCCCAGCACCTGAGTGTTTAATGAATGTTCTCTGTTATTATTAGGTGTGGTTGAATCGTGTCCTCCCCTCCTGGGACAGACTGGCTGGAGCTCAGCTGTACTTCCTGGGAGAAGACAATTTCTGGGTTTAATCATCTGAATCTTGGTCTCTTTGCATATCTAAATGACTTTCTCTTTGATTATAGAGCCCAGACTCGGAAAAGACTAAGAATGGCGGGGCATGGTGGCTGATGCTTATAATCCTAGCACTTCGGGAGGCCGAGGCGGGCAGATCACTTGAGGTCAGGAGTTCGAGACTAGCCTGGCCAACATGGTGAAACCCCATCTCTACTAAAAAATATAAATATTAGCTGGAAATCGCCTGAACCTGGGAAGCGGAAGTTGCAGTGAGCCGAGATCATGCCATTGCACTCTAGCCTGGGCAATAGAGTGAGATTCCATCTCAAAAAAACAAAAGGCTAAGAAAAAGGTGGATTCCTTAAGGACTGAAGTGGAACAGTCTTGCCTGTTTCCTTTTATATCCCTGTGCCATACAGTCCCTAAGTCCTGTGTATTCCTTCTTTTGTCATTCCACTTTCATACCCATCTACCCCTCCCCCTTCTCTTCCCTCTCTGCCATCAGCCTGGACTTGACCACAGTATATCTTGCCTGATTTCCTGCAAATCTTTCTACCTGCCTCTTGCACATGATTGCTAGGTTCATATTTCTTAAATCATTCCTTTAATCATGTCATAGTTCTGCTCAAATGACAGCAGTTTGTTCCCTGTTTTTTTTTTCCCAGATGAAATTTAAATGAGTGCTGTCTAGCAGAAATATTATGTGAGCCACATATATAATTTTAAGTTTTTTAATAATTACATTAAAAACAAAAAGAAACAAATGAGATTAATTTTATTTATTTATTTATCTTGAGATGGAGTCTCGCTCTGTCGCCCAGGCTGGAGTACAGTGGCGTGATCTCGGCTCACTGCAACCTCTGACTCCCGGGTTCAAGTGATTCTCCCGCCTCAGCCTCCCAAGTAGCTAGGATTACAGGCACGCACCACTCTGCCTGACTAATTTTTTTGTATTTTTACTAGAGACGGGGTTTCACCATGTTGACCAGGCTGGTCTTAAGCTCCAGATCTTAAGTAATCTGCCCACCTCAGCCTCCCAAAGTGCTGGGATTACAGGTGTGAGCCACCGTGCCCAGCCAGAGATTAATTTTAATAATATATTCTCAATTTAACACAATATATCCAAAACACTATAATTTCAACAGGTAATATAAAAAAGTATTAATGAGATATTTTGCATTTTTTTTTCTTACACTTAAAGCACATCTCAATTCTGATGCCAAATTTTCATTGGAAATATTTAATCTCTATTCAGATTTTATAAAACTTACAATTCAGCGAAATAGATTCACATACCCAACCTATTGGAAACATACTTAAAATTTTTCCAACAACTGAATCAAGTCTCAGCTTTAAAATTTAAATTAAATTAAATTGGAAATCCAGGCCATCAGTCACAGGAGGAGCATTTCAAGTGCTGAATGGCGCAGGTGGCCTGTGATGGACAGCCCGGGGATAAGCTAGCAAGCCCAGTGTCCTGGTGTCCCAGCCTCACAAGTTCCTTCCGCTGCACAGCCCTTCCCTCGCTGGCGCAGCATACTCACGGGTGTACTGCTGCCTCCCTTTCCTGGAGAGCCCATCTGCTCTCCCCACTGTGGTTCTTTGGATTGTAAAGATCAGGTGACACAGGGAGCATCAAATAAGGATGCATGTGGATTCGAACTGGAAAGAAGTCAGGACCTGAGACAGCGCAAGGGACCAGCCCACATTCTGTGTGGTGACTCCCACGGCTCCTCCGCCTCTCTTTCTCTTTCAGCTGCCCCAACACAGCAGGATCTCACTGGACTCTGATGATGGAGTGTCCAGGCTGGGCAGTGCTGGCTCCAAGGTGATTCCTGCTACAGTCATCTCTGGCTAGAGAAGCGGAATAGCAAGCTCTTTGGTGGCTTTTGTCAGAATGGTGGGGTAGCAGGAGGCAGTGAGGTCAGCGGGCATTATGCCGTCCTGTGGCCTGGCAGGGAGTGAAATTGGCCATGCCTCGAGAGTAATCCTTAGGAGACCACGCTGAAGCCCAAGACCAATGGCTGTGGCTTCTTGGCATGGCCTCTTTTATTTAAGCAGGGTGCAGCTTGCACTTTAGTTCCTTCAGCATGAACCACAAACCCCTCCTGCCTTCCAACTCGCCCTGAAAATCCCACTGTTTAAACCACTTGGGTAAACTCTTCTTCCTAGGAGGCACATGTGTTTTGGGGACCTGAATTATGTCTTCTTTTCATCTGTTGGCCTGCAAGGCCGTAGGGATGAGGCTCAGGAAGGACCAGTTATGATGGAAGGAGGTTCTGGAATAATGGTTCCTTTCAAGTGAACAGGATCTAGAATACCAGTACTGAGGAGAGAGAAGGCGTGGAGCCTAAGGAGGAGAGGGGGAAACCCATCTTTGCGGATTTGCCTATGGCCAGCTCTGCGTTAAAGCAGTCTCCCTCCATTGAGTCAGATCGAAAATTCCTTTTTGCCCGGTGAAGGAAAATAAACTATTAACACAACATAAACTTGCATTAGTCACAGGCTGTGGCCAACTATGGTAACCAGGTTGATGACATAAAAGCATTTTTACTTGATGTGGTGGCAGCTGTTGCAAGCATTGGACATTCTGAGTCCAAGACCTTAGGTTTGTTTTTTTTTTTTTGAAAAGGAGACTTGCGGTGGGGCGCGGTATCCCACGCCTGTAATCTCAGCACTTTGGGAGGCCAAGGCGGGTGGATCGCCTGAGGTCAGGAATTCGAGACCAGCCTGGACAATATAGTGAAACCCTGTCTCTACTAAAAATACAAAACTTAGCTGGGCGTGGTGGGGGCGCCCGTAATCCCAGCTACTCGGGAGGCTGAGGCGGGAGAATGGCTTGAACCCGGGAGGCGGAGGTTGCAGTGAGCCGAGATCTTGCCATTGCACTCCAGCCTGGGCGACAAGAGCAAAACTCCATCTCAAAAAAAAAAAAAGAAAGAAAGAAAAGAAAAGGAGACTTGCTCTGTCATCCAGGCTGGAGTGCAATGGCGCCATCTTGGCTCACTGCAACCTCCGCCTTCCAGGCTCAAACGATTCTCGTGCCTCAGCCTCCCTAGTAGCTGGGACTACCAGCACGCGCCACCATGCCTGGCTGATTTTTGTATGTTTAAAAGAGACAGGGTTTCACCATGTTAGCCAGGCTGTTCTTGAACTCCTGACCTCAGGTGACCCGCCTGCCTCCACCTCCCAAAGTGCTGGGATTACAGGTATGAGCCACCATGCTGGCCAGGCCTTAGCTTTTAATGCTGAGATTTTGCCACTTGGAGGCTGTGCGACTCTAGACAAGTGATTAGCTTTTAATGCTGAGCTTAGCTTTTAATAGACAAGTGAATAGACAAGTGATTAGCTTTTAATGCTTACTAATAGACAAGTGATTAGCTTTTAATGCTTAATAATGCTTTTAATAATAATGCTTTTAATAATTATAATTATAATAAATAATATATAAATAATATAATACATATTATAATTATATACATATATAAATATAATATATTTATATAATATATAATAATGCTATATGAATATTGATAACTAATATTAGTATAATATATCTAATATAATTATACAATATTATAATTATGATTTTTATATTACATTACAATTATATTTTTATATATAATTATATATATATTTTTAATATTATATTATATTTTTATTTTATATATTATAATTATAAATATTTTTATATTTATATTTTTATAAATATAATTATATTTTTATATAAAATTAAATATAATTTAATTTTATATAATTATAAATATTTTTATATTTTATATTTATAATTATAATTTATATTATATATTTATATTTATATATTTATATTTATTTATATTTATATATTTAAATATTTATATTTATAGTATATATAATATAATATATTATATTATATATAATTATAAACATATATAATTATTATATTATAATTATAATTATAATGCTTTTAATAGTAATAATACTTTTAATAATAATAGACAAGTGATTAGCTTTTAATGCTAATCACTTTAATAATGCTTTTAATAATAATAATGCTTTTAATGCTTAATAATAGACAAGTGATTAGCTTTTAATGCTGAGATTTTGCAACTTGGAGGCTGTGCGACTCTAGACAAGTGACTTAGTTCATTGCTTCTCAAACTTTAATGTGTATGCACGACACCTGGGGAATCTTGTTTAAAAGGCAGTCTGATTCATCAGGGCCTGAGATTCTGCATTTCCTTTTTTTTTCCCCTTTTTCTGGAGACAAGATCTCCCTCTGTTGCCCAGGCTGGAATGCAGTGGTGCAATCCATAGTTCACTGCAACCTCAAACTCCTGGGCTCCAGTGATCCTCCCACCTCAGCCTCCCAAGTAGCTAGGACTGTGGGTATGTGCTGCTATGCCAAGCTAGTTTTTAAATTTTTTGTAGAGATGGAATCTTGCTGTGTTGTCCAGGCTGGTCTCAAACTCCTGGCCTCAAGCAATCTTCCTGCCTCGACTTCCCATAATGCTGGGATTACAGATGTGAGCCACCACGCCCAGCCAGATTCTGTATTTCTAACAAACTCCTAGATGATCCAAGTAGCTAAGCCTATTTGTGTCTGAGTGGCTTCAACTATGAGAACCTCAGCTGTAAAGTAGGAGGCAGATGGTATGTACCTTACATCAATGCACCTTTATGCCGAAGAGGTCTTCTCAAGAGTGTGTTTGGCAGGAGAGCCATGACTGGGTCTTTCCTCCTTTCACAAGGCTTGACCTTGGGTGGGGACCTCAGACTTGCCACCTCTCCACAGCTGCCTAAGATAGCTGCCTGGGTGACTCATGTCTTGGGAGAAGTCTTGTTGTAGTGACTTTTTTTTTTTTTTTGAGACGGAGTTTCGCTCTTGTTATTCTTATTATCATTTTTGAGATGGAGTCTTGCTCTGTCTCCCAGGCTGGCGTGCAATGGTGTGACCTTGGCTCACTGCAACCTCTGCCTCCCAGGCTGGAGTGCAATGGTGCAACCTTGGCTCACTGCAACCTCTGTCTCCCAGGTTCAAGCAATTCTCCTGCCTCAGCCTCCCCAGTAGCTAGGATTACAGGCACACACCACCGTGCCTGGCTAATTTTGTATTTTTAGTAGAGACGGGGGTTTCATCATGTTGGTCAGGCTGGTCTCAAGCTCCCAACCTCAGGTGATCCGCTCGCCTTGGCCTCCCAAAGTGTTGGGATTACAGACATGAGCCACTGCACCCGGCCTGTAGTGACTTGTTAATGCATAAGCCTTCTGGCTTTACGACTTCTGCCTTGTAATTCCCACAGCTTGGGCAGATTCATTCAACCTGGGGTTCCGATGTGTTACTTATCCCTGGCTCTTTGTCCTTTGCCTACAGGTGGTGGCCTTTATGAAGTCTCCAGTGGGTCAGTACTTGGACAGCCATCCGTTTCTGGCCTTCACCTTGCTGGTGTTCATTGTCATGTCGGCCGTTCCTGTTGGATTCTTCCTGCTCATCGTGGTGCTTACCACCCTGGCTGCTCTGCTGGGGGTCATAATATTGGAAGGTAGCCTGTTCCGTCATTCACCCCTTTAGAAAATAATTCAATTGGGAGAAAAATACTTTTGGGGCCATTTAAAAATTTTTTTAAGGGGCGGGGTCTTGTTATGTTGCCCAGGCTGGTCTCAAACTCCTGGGCTCAAGTGATCCTCCCACGTCGGCCTGCCAAAGTGCTGGGATTATGGCCATGGGCTACCATGCCTGGTTGTCTGCCATTCTTGTCAAAATCACATCAAGCAAGGCAACTTATCAGAGTAGGTAAAACATAGACTCTGGAGCCTGCATTCAAATCCCACCTCCACCACTGTGATTTGGGGCAAGTGGTTTACCTCTCTGAGCCTTAAATTCTTAATATGTAAAATGCAGATATAATAATACAATCTCAAAAGGTTGTTGTGAAGATTGAAACTTATGGCTCCATAAAGTCCTTAGCACAATACACAATACATGTCACAGAGTAGCTTCTCAATGAATGCTAGCTATTATTATTAAGCAGAGAGGCCATTCATTCCACAGTGAGTTATTGGGCACCTACTGCATGCCAGATGCCTCGCTAGGTACTGGAGACCACCTTCATCCTTCCTCCTGAAGTTCCACTACCAACAGTCAACTTCTCCCTGTATTCCTAAGTTAAAATTACTGGGAAAGCAAATCTGATTTGCTCACTTTGACTTTTCAAATCAGATCACACACCCCAGGCAAGTGGCCAAAGAGATGGTGGCCAGTGGGTCAGGTGATCACTTCTGGTCCATTCCGTGGCTTCCCAGAGCTAAGAGCACCCAGGGCTGTTTATTTGCCCCAGGGACAAGGCAGTTTACACTTGAAGGAGAAAGTAGGCATGGTCAGTGGATGAGCCAAATACAGCCTGGCAGAGTGGTTTTTGAGTAAATGTTGATAGATAGATGGGTGAATGCATGAATGAATGGATGGAGGAATGAATGAGTACCATAAGAAAGGAAATTTATAGAGAAAGGAGAGAGCCATTACATTTTGGTGGTACCATGCAAAGCTTTACAGCAGACAAGACTTTAAGGATGCATAACAACTTTGCCTCAGGGTGGGCAAGGAAGGGCCTTTTGGACAGGGGAACAGCATGTGCAAAGCCTCTAGAATAGTGGTTCTTGAACCTGAGTGTATTTAAATCTTTTTTTTTTTTCTAGATGGAATCTTACTCTGTCGCCCAGCCTGGAATACAGTGGCATGATCTCAACTCACTGCAACCTCTGCCACCCAGGTTCAAGAAATTCTCCTGCCTCAGCCTCCCAAGTAGTTGGGATTACAGGCATGCCCCACCATGCCCGACTAATTTTTGTATTTTTGGTAGAGATAGGGTTTCGCCATGTTGGCCAGGATGGTCTTGAGCTCCCGACCTCAAGTGATCTGCCCACCTCGGCCTCCCAAAGTGCTGGGATTACAGGTGTGAGCCACTGCACCCAGCTCCAAGTGTGTATAAATCTTACTTTCTTTATCAAAATACAGACTTTGGATCTTTTGAGACCAGGAGTTCAAGACCACTCTGGGCAACATAGCGAGATTCCCTCCATCTCTTTAAAAAAAAAAAAAAAGAGGCCGGACACAGTGGCTCATGCCTGTAATCCCAACACTGGGAGGCTGAGGAGGGCAGATCACTGGAGGTCAGGAGTTCGCGACCAGCCTGGCCAACATGGTGAAACCCCATCTCTACTAAAAATACAAAAAATTAGCCGGGCATGGTGGTGGGCACCTGTATCCCAGCTACTTGGGAGGCTGAGACAGTAGAATCACTTGAGCCTGGGAGGTGGAGGTTGCAGTGAGCCAAGATTGCACCATTGCATTCCACCCTGGGTGATAAGAGTGAGACTCTGTCTCAAAAAAAAGAAAAGAAAAGAAAAAAGAAAGAAAGAAAGAAAAAAGTGGTGTGTGTCTGTAGTCCCAGCTACTCAGAAGGCTGAGGTGACGGGATCGCTTGAGCCCAGGCAGTTGAGGCTGTAGTGAGCTATGATCATGCCACTGCACTCCAGCCTGGGCAACAGAGCAAGACTCTGTCTCTTAAAAAAAGAAAAAAGAGAAAGAAAATGCAGACTTCCAGGCCTCATCCAGAGAGTGTTGTTTTAGTAGGTCTGGAGTGGGGTTTAGAAATCTGAATTTTTCACGAGCTTCCTTGATGCACCTGATTCTGATGCAGGTGGTTGGCACCACACTTTGAAAAACGCTGATCTAAAATTTTGCGAATCTTTATGAACAGGCAGCACACCTGTTGATGTTCTCTTCCTTCCAGCCTTTTCAGGGTCCCTCCCTGAAACCATCACTGTGGCTGTGGGAGGAGCACTGGGCTAACTGGCCACTCACAAAGCAAAGGGAAGGATGTCAGCCATACAATACTTGCCATGTTACTTGTTCTTCATGATCTTTTCCTTCTACCTTTTATTCTTTTCCCCCCCACAGGCCCCACATTATGAAAAAATGTATTTTCCTTGCACGTATTAGATGGTAATTCATTAATATTCCTATTCAGAGTGGGAATGGTATATTAAAATGGCATATAAAATGCTCCATAAAAATGACCAATCAGACCTTAAGATTAAAATGTGATGGTTTACAGGCTGGATTTTCAAGGATGCCATCAAAAGCTGCATTTAGATTTTGCTTTAGCCTGCATGACCTTTATACCTATAGCTTGTAGGTAAGAGTAAATAATGGCATTTATTATGCACTTTGAGACATTAGAGATAATTTACCTCCCCCAGTACTGCCTTGGCTGACTCCTCGAGGGGATCCCTTTGGAAGTCCATCTCTGACCTTGAGGGTAAGGGAATCTCAAACTCCAGCACTTATGGGCAAGACAAAATGAGCAGGCTGGTTGTGGTGGCTCACGCCTGTAATCGCAGCACCTTGGGAGGCCAAGGCAGGTGGATCACTTGAGGTCAGGAGTTCAAGACCAGCCTGGCCAACATAGTGAAACCCCATCTCCTCTAAAAATATAAAAATTAGCTGGGCGTAGTGGCAGGCACCTGTAATCTCAGCTCGTCAGGAGGCTGAAGCCGGGAATCACTTGAACCTGGGAGGCGGAGGTTGCAGTGAGCTGAGATTGCGCCACTGCACTCCAGCCTGGGAGGCAGAGCAAGACTGTCTCAAAAAAGAAAAAAAAAAAGACAAAATGAGCAAAGCAGCCCATGTGTGATGCAGTTTGGGAATTGGGGGGACTGGAGGCAACGGGAGGGCCAGCCAGTTGTTGCCATGGTTTGATGCCCACTCAGGTACCCATATCGCCTCCTTTTTTTAAGTGATGCTAGAAATCTGGGTTTTTGTGGGAAATCTTCTTACTTTAATAATCTGAGTTAGCGGTTGTTATTTTAAACAGACTGACCCAGGGTCTGCCAGTTTTCAACCTGTTTGAGATGAACCCTTCTCCTAACCACGTTCTCCTCCTAGGATTGGTCATCTCTGTGGGTGGCTTCTCACTGCTCTGCATCCTCTGTGGTTTGGGCTTCGTATCACTCGCCATGTCGGGGATGATGATAGCATCTTATGTAGTGGTCTCCAGCCTCATCAGCTGCTGGTTTTCTCCCAGGTAAATACATGTCCATGAAATAATTTATTTTTTTAATCTTTCTACTTTTTTGTTTTTTTGAGACAAGGCCTCACTCTGTCACTCAGGCTGGAGTGCAGTGGCATGAACATAGCTCGCTACAGCCTCAACCTCCAAGGCTCAAGCAGTTCTCCTGCTTCAGCCTCCCAAGTAGCTGGGGCTACAGGTGCATGCCATCATGCCCGGCTAATTTTAATATTTTTTATTTTTTGTAGAGACAGGGTCTTGCTATGTTGCCCAGGCTGTTCTCTAATTCCTGGGCTCAAGCAATCCTCCTGCCTCCACCTCCCAAAGTGCAGGGACTACAGGCATGAGCCACCACACCTTGCTGAGTAATTTAATCTTTGCCACTTGAGGGGATTTTCACAAATAAAACCATAATCCTAGTTGATGTCCAGAAGGAAACTTGTAAGACCCAGGTGTTTCTCATAGTTCCCCATGTATGCCAGGCATCAGGTGGGAATTTACCATGGAATTTTAAACAAAGCAATTGCTGTCATTTTCCATCACGTATACACATTTCATTGTCATAGCAACTCTATCAGTATTATTGATTCCTTTTAAAAGATGTCCATTTAATTTACAAATGTCAAATTAGGTGGTTTTCTTTGGCGGGGTGGGGCAGAGAGGCACAGGAGAAAAATGACCCACGAGACATGTCTGTCACCCAAAGCGGTACAGTATGGGAGCCGTGAATCTTCTGTCCCCAAAGTCTGTCAATCCCCTCTGCTCTTGAGAATGTGAGTTTCTCACCAACTGAGTGTGAGCCTCATGTTTGAATATATAGATTTTTGTTCCTACAATATGGCTCTTCAATGCCAGCTACTTCATCTGGGGCCTTGAGTGAAAGAACAGCGATCTACTTAAATGCTGGAGGGAAAAGCCAGCTATGTTGGCATTACTGAGAGACTCTGTGTTTGTCTACAATGTGCCACCCACCTAAGGGATTTTCAAAGGAGATTTATTTTAATGCTTTATTTTTGTCCTTTGTGTTGATTTTAGAATCTAAGTCCCAAGTTCATCATACTTCATTTAAGCTCCTGCTAAATTGATGATAGTGCTACTGAGCACTTGCTCTGTGCCAGGGACTCTCTTAAACACTTTCCAGGCCTTATGTCATGTAATCCTTAACAATTTAGCCCCTTTCTATTATAAGGAAAATTAAGCCAAGTCCCTTAAGCTGAGAGTAGCACAGAAGGGACTTAATTCCAGGTGAGTTAATTCCAAAGCCCTCTTAATCAAGATACAAAGTGACTCTCTAAAACAGGAGTTGGCAATTTCTGGAAAGGGCCAGACAGGAAGTATTTAGTAAGTAATATAGTCTCTACTGGAATTTCTGGAAAGGGCCAGATAGTAAGTATTTAGTAAATAATATAGTCTCTACTGCAGTTAGTCAACTCTGTTGCCGTAGCATGAAGGCAGCACAGACCAGGAAGTAAATGCATGGGCATGGCTGTGTTCCAGTAAAACTTTATTTACAAAGACAGGCAGCTTGCTGGATTTGGCCAACCATTGCTCTATAAGAACTGATATCCTGAGTTTTGTTTTTCTACAAAACAGCCCTTGAACTCCTTACCAAAAGTTTATCCTGTTATTATTCCTATGTTGAAAAATAAAGGGTGAAGTGGGTATAATATAAAATTGCTCAAGGATGGCTCTTATAGGATTGCTTAATTGAATCAACCCTGGAGTCATAATCACCTTTTCAAAAATCGCTTTGATCACTCTTAGTCTTTTGTTTGTTCATTTGTATTTTACTTATAAAATGGGGTCTTGCTGTGTTGCCCAGGCCATTCTCAAACTCCTGGCTTCAAGCAATCCTCCCCCGTTGGCCTCTCAATGAACTGGAATTATAGGCGTAAGGCACTAACTCACTCCCAGTCTTAAAAGATGTAAAAGGAGAAATATTGGCCTATTTTGCATATTGAGGGTGATGCTTCTGAAATAAAATTCCTCCCTGCCTCTGAACGCTGCTGTAACAGGGTGAGTTCTTAAAGATTATACCACAGGAAGTAGCAGAATCTGACTCCCTACTTATCAATGAAGAAATTGAAAAACAAATCCAGGATTTGTACTTGATCTCCTTATCTTCCCCTATTGCTGCCAACCAATTGTTTCCACGTGGGCAGAGGTTCTTAAGCTTTTTGTTCTCAAGTCCCATTTTACCTTCTTAAAAATTATTGAGGCATCTGAAGAGATGTTATTTATGTGGTTAATTGTATTAATAGCACTTTGGGAGGCCAAGGAGGGAAGATCACTTGAGGCCAGGGGTTTAAGACCAACCTAGGCAACATGGCAAGACCACATCTCTACAAAAAATACAAAAATTAGCCAACTGTGGTGGTGCGTGCCTGTAGTCCCAGCTACTCAGGAGGCTGAGATGGGAGGATCATTTGGGCCCAGGAGTTCAAGGCTGCAGTGAGCTGTGATCACACCATTGCACTCCAGCCTGGGCAACAGAGCAAGACCCTGTCTCAAAAAACAAATGAAATGAGCTGAAATATAAAATAAATAACTAACATGACATAAAACTATATACAATAAAATAAATTAAAATAAACATAACATAAATTACATTAAATCAAATTAAATATTAGCTGGTGCATGCTTGTGGTCCCAGCTACTCAAGAGGCTGAGGAGGGAGGATGGCCTGAGCCTGGGAGGTTGGGGGTGCAGTGAGCTATGATTGTACCACTGCACTCCAGCCTGGGTGACAGAGCTAGACTCTGTCTGGAAAAAAAAAAAAAAAGAATATTAATAATTATTTCTTTTTAAAAAATTTTCTTCCTCATTGTTTCTTGTTCTGAAATAATTATTCTATGAGAAATCATAGCATAAATTTTAAAAATATCTATTCATTTAAAAGGAACAATATTACCTGTTGATATAAATAACAAATTTTAATGAAAAGTAACTATATTTTCCAAAACAAAATGAAATTTGTGAGTGGTATTATTTTACATTTTACAGATCTCTTTCATATCTGCCTTAACAGTTGTCAGCCGGCTTCTCGTTTGTGTGGCTGCATTCATTCTGTTGTGCTATGTTGTCCTGTTTGGAGTATTTGAAGAAGACCTAGCATCACTAACATGCGGTTGGGAGAGGGAGGCAAAGCTTTTTTAAACGATTGTGGATATTCTATGATAGTCCACCAAAACTCCGTAAGTGATAGTTTCTTAAAGGTTAGCTGAAATGTGAAATTTTTCTACTCTATTTTATTGAAATCTTCAGGTCTGTGTCACACTTTAAATTGATCTTTATCATGCATGATTTTCTAACTTTACCCATTGGTCAATGGGAGAATATCAATTCATTGAGTCATGCAGATCTTCCAAATATATTTTGAAAAATTGCACTGTTCCCTTGTGAGAGAATGTGAGTGAAAAAGGCATATAATAGGTCATGTTATTGTGAACATGGTTTTCATCTGAGAACCCTTGCATTAGCGAATTCTTTTTTTTTTTTTTTTTTTTGAGACGAGTCTCACTCTCACCCAGGCTGGAGTGCAGTGGCTTGATCTTGGTTCACACAACCTCTCCCTTCTGGGTTCAAGCAGTTCTTCTGTCTCAGCCTCCCGAGTAGCTGGGATTATAGGTGTGCACCACCATGCATGGCTAATTTTTGTGTTTTTAGTAGAGGTGGGGTTTCACCATGTTGGCCAGGCTGGTCTTGAACTCCTGAGCTCAAGTGATCCACCCACCTCAGCCTCCCAAGATGCTGGGATTATAGGTGTAAGCCACTGTACCCAGCCTGCATTAGTGAATTCTTTATAACTCAAAAAAAGATAACTCCCTCATTAAATGATCGAAAGCATGGAATGGGGGGAAGAGGAGCTATATAATTTATTTCATGATTTAATGGAATTTTGGCCCTAAAACATAAAAGATAATACAGCTTAAATTTTTAAAAAAGAAAAGAAAAAGGAAACAAAACTGTAAGTTTCCCTTACATATGAAACCCAACTAAACAATATTTAGATCAAATACACTGACCTGCCTCCTATGTAGATCAGCTAGCCTCTGAGGGGCAAAACCACACTGCTTGGTTATGGAGACTGCAAGACCTTCCAGGGCCTGCAGCTCAGGAGAAGTAGGGGCCCTGGGCAGCTGTGTTTATTTGCAGAGCCACCAAACTCACTACCCCATATCATAATCTTCCAAACCAGCCTGAGCATAACTAGCTTCCTTACATCTTTACTAAGAAAAGGAAAGGCTTCTTTCTTAGTTTTTTGTTATCAGGGAGGAATGGTTTAGGTGGCAAATAATGAAAAAAACCAAAGTAGATACTAGTTTAAACACACAGGGAACTTTTTTTTATTGCTTAATGAAAAACTGGAGACAGCCCAGGGCTGGTGCAGCCAGTGTGGTATCAACATACCAGGCACCTTTTGCCTTCCTGTGTTGCTATCCTTAGCCCATTGGTTTCCTACCTTATGGCCACAAGATAGCTGCTGCAGCTCCAGATCTACCAGCTACCTTCAAGGCAGCAGAAAAGGAGAAAAAAATGGAGTCTGACCCTTTTAAAAATGTGAATAAAATATTTCCCAGGACCTCTCACCACTATACTTCAAAAGACTTCATTGACTAGAACTTTGTCAGATGGCCGCTGGTTGCTGTTCTCCTGATTGTAGGTCTCACGAGATCTGATGGTTTTATAAAGGGCATTTCCCCTGCACATGCTCTCTTGCCTGCCGCCATGTAAGAAGTGCCTCTGATCTTCCTTTGCCTTCCACCATGATTGTGAGGCCTCCCCAGCCATGTGGAATTGTGAGTCCATGAAACCTCTTTTTCTTTATAAATTACCCAGTCTCAGGTCTTTATTAGCAACATAAGAACGGACTAATACAATCCTCCCCCGAACTCCTTTCCATGGAAGGTGTCAAGAAACTAATTGAAATCAGAAGATATGGTCTGAATCCCCGCCCTGCCATGTTTTCAGCTGTGTGGTCTTGAACGGGCTGCTTGACTTCTCTGATTTCAGTTTTTGTCCATTGGTAAAATAGACAAAATGGCTACTCTTAATCTACCATTCTCACTGGGTTGTTGTGAGGACACAGATAATTAAGAAAAACATAATAAATATCCAAATTAGAAAATGGAAAAGGGGCCGTAACCCTACTCCTAACCTGGTCATTTTAACCTCCTGTGCCCTCAGTTTCTTCATCTGTATAATGGACATAGGCCTGGTGTGGTTGCAAGAAGCAGCTAAAAATCAGGAAAAAGAACATCATGTATTCAGCTATGCACACTTCCAACGTTGCTCTTTACTGAGGCCCTAGAGCTAACGATCTCTTCTTGTTATCCGACAGGCCACTGACACAGCAAAACACCAGTTGTGACTTTCTGCCAGCCATGAAGTCTGCAGAATTCGAGGGGCTTTACCAGGAATGAGTGACTGCTCAGAGGCCGGGCTTCTTTTCAAGTACTGCTGGATCATACTCACCCCTTGGGATTATGGCTTAGAAGAAGGGGGCTGGGTAGGCAAGCACTCCTTGGCTGTGTCCTCTCGCTTTTTCACTTACTTGTAGGATCCCGCAGCAGCCAATTTAGGGATTGTGTTGTTCTTGTGTTGGTTCCCATGTAAAGAAGCAGCAGAGAAATGCGATGGTTCAACAGCTCGCCCTGCCCCAAGTATGCAGACTTGACCTTGGCGGGGTCCTGGGCTTCTAGAGTCTAGCCCGTTGACCCCAAAGCCTCAGGGCTTATGTCCAACGGTCCCATTGGGAGCAACAGTGATTGTTTATAGTTTTTTGTTTTCAGAAATGAGGGCAGCTGTTAATTTTTTCACTCATGTGAAACAAAATGAAAAAAAAAATCCAAAACAGAACAAGCCCTTCTGTGGTATTTGCTTTTTATCAGAAAGAACAGCAACATTTGGCCTCTCCAAGTTGGAAAATAGAGTCCAAATGTAACTTTGTGGCCAAGAGTATTTTCAAAAAAGTCTAAAGGTGTAGTTTCCACTGTAACTGTTGAGTACTGTTAAGTACTGTTAATCTTTTACATATTTGCACTTGGTACTGTTGTATTGTTCTAAAGAGCTTGTCCTTTAAGTAATTTCTTTCTTTTTTTTTTTTTTTTTTTTTTGTGACGGAGTTTCCCTCTTGTTGCCCAGGCTGGAGTGCAATGGTGCAGTCTCGGCTCACTGCAACCTCCAACTCCCAGGTTCAAGTGAGTCTCGTGCCTCAGCCTCCCAAGTAGCTGGGATTACAGGCACCCGCCACCGTGCCCGGCTAGTTTTTTTTTGTATTTTTTTTAGTACAGATGGGGTTTCACCATGTTGGTCAGGCTAGTCTCAAACTCCTGACCTCAGGTGCTCCACCTGCCTTGGCCTCCCAAAGTGCTGGGATTACAGGCGTGAGCCACTGTGCCCAGCCTAAGCCATTTCTTAAAATAAAAATGCTAAAGGACTAGTAAGTAAAAATAAAACTTCCTATGGGATTTCCCAGTGGAATTACTGAGTGGTTTATTTGCGTGGCATTTCATTAAATATTTATTTGGGTGGGCTTTTTTTCTTTACTCTTTTTCCCTTCTGCTCCATACATCAGACCTGCCTATTCCTCTGTCGATTTCATGACTGGTGCTGGGTAATAGGGATTTTTTTAGTTGCTCGCAATAGACACCCAATTCCACATTACTTTAAAAAGAGGGGTGGTAGGGAGAAGGATTAGTTTCACTCAACCAAAAAGCCAAGGGGTAGATCTTGAGGTGCTGCTGATTCCAGGGGCTCAGGTGGTGTCATTAAGCATCTCTCACCCCTCATCTCTCAGTATAGCTTTCCTCAGTGTGAGCTGCTTTTGCAGGCAGGCCCGCCACCCCTTTCGGAGGTCCCAGGAGCTCCATCCTGGGCAAGAAAACTGCTTTTTTCCAACAGTATATACAAATATTCTGGGTTTGGCTCTGATTGGATAGACTTGGGTCATGTGAGCGACCCCAGACCAATCATGGTGGCTAGGAGGATGGGATATGCAGATGGGACAGGGCTGGGATGGTGGCCATTCAAGAAACAGGGGAGGCGATAGATCAGCCCACTATTAATATAACTATTAATATTAACAGTTACTGTTTATTGGATGTTTCCTTCATTCATACAACTGTCTGATATTATCTCTCTATGCTATCTACCCAGCTGGGTTCTGCAGCTTTAATAATGAAGAATGCAATGGTCTCCCTTCTGAAGTTTTCTTTCTAATGCAAGAGTGAGTGAGCAAGCATATCTGTTGCTATGTAACAGTTTACCAGCAACTATTGGCTTAAAAGAACAGGCATTTCTTATCTCACATTCTTCATGTGTTAGGGGTCCAGGCATGGCTTGGCTAGATCTTTTGTAAGCCTGTGATCACAGTGTCATCAGGGCTGTGTTCTCATTTGGGGTCTGACTGGGGAAGGACCACATTCCAAGCTCACATGGTTGTTGGCAGCATCCAGCTGGCAACACGACTTAAGCCCTCCATTCCTTGCTGCATATTCCCCTCCCCATGACAGTTCAGTGTGGTCAATGGCTTCTTCAAAGCCATCAAGGGAGAGCCTCTCAGCAAGATAGACGTTACATTCTTAGGGAACGTAATCATGCATGCACAATCATGAACACTGGATCACTTTATCTGTGTTCTGCTGGTTAGAAACGAGTCCCAGAAACCACCACCCACTCTCATGAGGAGGGGATCACCCAAGGGCAGGTAAACCACAGAGGGGACCATGGGCTCTGCCTTAAGAGTCCTTACTAGGGTCCTTAGTAGTCCACCTTGCTACAACAAGTAAACAAAATATTAGACCAACTCCGCTGAAGATAAGTAAAAGGGTGGTAAGTAATTGGGAGAGCATGCTTTAGCCACAGCAATCAGAGATTTCTTCTATTTGAACCAAAACATGAGTTGTCACCATGCCAAGCACACAGGGAGGGTGTTCCTAGCAGAGGGCACAGTATCCCAAAGGCCCAGAGATGGGAAGAAGCTTAATGTGTTTAAGGGAAAAAAATGATGTCAGCATGGCTGGGCCTCATCATGCAGGACCTCATGGAGTGAGTTTACACCAGGGGTCCCCAACCAGTACCGGTCCTTGGCCTGTTAGGAACCAGGCCATACAGCAGGAGGTGAGCAGCAGGTGAGCAAGCATTGCTGCCTGAGCTTCACCTCCTGTCAGATCAGCAGTGGCATTAGATTCTCATAGGAACATGAACCCTCATGTGAACTGCACATGCAAGGGATCTAGGTTGCATGATCCTTATGAGAATCTAATGCCTGATGATCTGTCACTGTCTCCCGTCACCCCCAGTTGGGATTGTCTAGTTGTAGGAAAACAAGCTCAGGGCTCCCACTGATTCTACATTATGGTAAGTTGTGTAATTATTTCATTATGTATTACAATGTAATCATAATAGAAATAAGCTGCACGATAAATGGAATGCACTTGAATCATCCTGAAACCACCCCCCTACCCACGCCTCATCCATGGAAAAATTGTCTTCCACAAAACTTGTCCCTGGTGCCAAAAAGGTTGAGGACCACTGGTTTATGCCAAAGAGCAAAGGAAAGACAATGAAGAATCTTACATGGGAGAGTGACGTGATCAGACTTGGGTTTTTAAAGATCACTCCATGGCCAATGGATTTAAAGCAGGAAGGCTAGTTGGGAGGTCTATGGAGGCCCAAGAGCAGAGAGGATAATTGTGACTTAAAACTTACACTAGGCTGAGCACAGTGGCTCATGCCTGTAATCCCAGCACTTTGGGCGGCCAAGGATCACTTGGGGTCAGGAGTTCAAGACCAGCCTGGCCAACATGGTGAAACCCCGTCTCTACTAAAAATACAAAAATTAGCTGGGTGTGATGGCGGGCACCTGTAATTCCAGCTACTCAGGAGGCTGAAGCAGGCAAATCACTTGAACCTGGGAGGTGGAGATTGCAGTGATCTGAGATCGCACCACTGTACTCCAGCCTAGGCGACAGAGCGAGACTCTCTCTCAAAAAAAAAAAAAAAAAAAAAAAATTAGGGCAAATGTAATGGAGACCTTCCTCATTTTGAGGGCCAGCAGCACTTGGTGATGATGGAGAAGGAAAGGGGGACACAAGGTGGCACCTAGGTTTTTAGCTTGAGCCAGTAGTGGATAGTGACACTATTGTAGGAGTGAAGGACAAGCTTCCTCTCTACCCTCTGAAGGATCCCTGAAATGAACTGGCAATAGACAGATGAACAGGAGAAAAGGCATATTCAAATTTATTAACATGCACATGAACACAGGAGTTCCAAAAATATGAGACTCAAAGAAAGGCCAAATGATTGAAACTTACATAGAGGGAGATGGGGGAAATGTAGGCAACTTGAAGGATTGTAAATGATTTTTAGGGGAATTGAATGGACCCAAAGAGCAAACCACAATGAGATACCATCTGAAACCAGTCAGAATGGCTATTACTAAAAAGTCAAAAAATAACAGATGCTGGCGAGTTTGTGGAGAAAAGGGAATGCTTACACATTGCTGGTGGGAAAGTAAATTAGTTCAGTCACTGTGGAAAGCACTATCACAATAGCAAAAATGGAATCAAAAAATGTCCGTCAATGGTGGATAAAGAAAATGTGGTGCCATATACATCACAGAATACTACACAGTTATAAAAACGAATGAGATTGTGTCCTTTGCAGCAACATGGATACAGCTAGAAGCCATTATCCTAAGTGAACTAATGCAGGAACAGAAAACCAAACACCATATGTTCTCACATATAAGTGGGAGCTAAACATTGGGTACATATGGAAATAAAGATGGGACCAACAGACATTGGGGCCTACATGGAGGTGGAGGGTGGGAGGAGAGTGAAGATAAAAAAAACTATTGGGTACTATGCTTATTACCTGAATGATAATCTGTACACCAAACCCCTGTGACATGCAATTTACCCATGTAACAAACCTCCACATGTACTCCTGGAACTAAAATGAAAGTTAAAAAAAAAAAGCAGACAATAGTTTGTAAATTATTTTCTTTAGAAACTGAATGGGACAAGTTATGGGAAGGTGAGGGGCAGAACTGCACTGCAAACAAAGGTAGTCTTATTATGCAGATTAAGTCTTTTAGGTAATCTCTCAGAATTACTCTCGGCAAAATAGATGAAAAGCCCGAGCATGGTGACAACTTTTAGTCTCTTCTGCAGTGGTTAATTTTTTCTGGTTATTTTGGATGCTAATCCACCACGTTGACTTCTGATTAACCCCAGTCCCATGAATGCCTCCTGATTCCTACTTCACTGTTCCTAGTGTAAGAACATGTTGACCTTGATGTCATCACACAAATTATAGGCTATGATACATTCAGCATTCTTGCCTGTCCTGAAGGGTTGCCTTTAATTGGCTTGCTGGAGCAAGCATACCCTTTCCCTATGGTATATGCGTAGCCCTGGTGTGGGGAGTAACAGTGCAGAGAGCTACCTGTCCTGCCACCACCTAAGACCACACTTGTGTCTGTAAGTTCCTTCAATGAATCACCCAAAGTCAACACAATGGATCTGTCTGCCTCCTTCTTTGGTTCCTCGGCTCCCTCAGCATTTGGGAATCACTTTGCATATTCACAGAAATTAAGACAATTGCATTTCTTTTGGAAGAAATTTTCCTCGGTCAGATAAGGGAACTTCCAGAGAAAGCCTGATATGGTTAGGCTGCGTCCCCACCCAAATCTCATCTTGAATTATAGTTCCCATAATCACCATGTGTTGTGGGTGGGACCAGGTGGATATAATTGAATCATGGGGGGTGGTTTCTCGCATCCTGTTCTCCTGATAGTGAGTCAGTTCTCATGAGATTTGATGGTTTTACAAGGGACTTCCCCCTTCACTGGGCACTCATTCTCTCCTGCCGCCCTATGAAGAGGTGCCTTCCGCCTTGATTGTAAGTTTCCTGAGGCCTCCCCAGCCATGTGGAACTGTGAGTCAGTTAAACCTCTTCCTTTATAAACTACCCAGTGCCAGATATTTCTTCACAGCAGCCTGAGAACAGACTAATACAGAGCCCCTCCCTGCACTCAAGATGGCAGAAACAAGAGAAGGTTAGAAAATCCTTGGTTCTGAAGCAGTTTCTAAGGCCTTTCATTTTCCTTTAACTCAGAAGTGCTCTGCATGCCAAAGTAACAGACTTTGGGGTATCCTTGTCTGTGTCTCAATGGGGGCTGTGTGAAAATTCAACCCCTGCTTTGCTCATATTAAGTCAGATATGCCTCTTGGATACTAAGAGGATGTGTCAAGTAGACAGCTGGCTTAGAGGGTACGTTTGGGCTGGGGAGTATTTTTGGTGCTGAGAGCTTTACACAGCCTTCATTTGGGATGCTCTCCCAGAGAGTAGCCAGGAGATCATTTCATAGCATAGTTCTGATCACATAAACACCTTACTCCAACCTCTGCCAAGGGCAAAGTGCTTTCCCACAGCACTTAGAAGTGCTAACTCTTTCCCCTCATGGATCAATCCATGATCAAAGACCAATCCCAGCTGGGCACAATGATTTACACCTGTAATCATAGCACTTTGGGAGGCCGAGGCAGGTGGATCACCTGAGGTCAGGAGTTTGAGACCTGGCCAACACAGTGAATCCCCGTCTCTGCTAAAAATACAAAAATTAGCTGGGCATGGTGGCACATGCCTATAATCCCAGCTACCCGGAAGGCTGAGGCAGGAGAATCGCTGGAACCTGGGAGGCGAAGGCTACACTGAGCCAAGATCACGCCACTGCACTCCAGCCTGGGTGACAGAGGGAGACTCCCTCTCAAAAAAAAAAAAAAAGATCAATCCAAGCTTCTGCTTCCTGCTACTTCTTTATATGCCATCGGCCTCTGGATATGAGAGAGAAAACTAAAGTTCAAAGGACTCACCCAATTCAGCTAAGAAATGTGACATCTAAATCAAGGCTGTGCAGTGAGGTTATTCATTCAGGTTCTGTTCTTTACATGGTCTGGGCCTAACCTTCACCGATCAAATGAAGTGAAATAAGGTGCAGAACCCTAGCACAGTGGCTGACACCAAACAAGCCCATCAAGAATAATTGTCAAGGACGAGGCTCAGTGGCTCGTGCCTGTCATCTCAGCACTTTGGGAGGCCAAGGCGAGAGAATCACTTCAGCCCAGGAGTTCAAGAGCAGCCTGGGCAACATAATGAAACCTCGCCTCTACAAAAATGAAAAAATTAGC
This sequence comes from Homo sapiens, assembly GCF_000001405.40. Taxonomy (NCBI): domain Eukaryota; kingdom Metazoa; phylum Chordata; class Mammalia; order Primates; family Hominidae; genus Homo; species Homo sapiens. Next base: position 21,186,331 of record NC_000016.10, read on the forward strand.
TGGGGATAGTGTTACATGCCTGTGGTCCCAGCTACTGAGGGACTTAGGCAGGAGGATCACTTGAGCCCAAGAGGTCAAGGCTGCAGTGAGCTACGATGGCACCACTGCACTCCACACTGGGGAACAATGAGACCTTGTCTCCAAAAAAAAAAACAAAGAAAAGTTGTCAAAATGCATGGCTACATGAGTCATTTAAAACTGAGTGAAACAGGAAGATGTAAAAGACCTGTTGTTAACCAAGCTGTGGAGGACCGTTAAGGACTTCGGGCTAAGGTCCTTACAAAGATATCCTTAGCCTTTTAGACACACAGCTCAATGTGTGGCCGATTGGAAAGGTAATTAATCCCCAGAGCATAAAAACGATGACTTTTTTACAGTTATAATGTTAATTTATCAGTATGTCCAGGTTTCTTGTTTGTTTATTTTTGAGCATTCGCCATGTGCTGGATGCTATTTTTTTTTTTTTTGAGACAGGGTCTCATTCTGTCACCCAAGCTGGAGTGCAGTGACATGATCATAGCTCACTGCAGCCTCGACCTCCCAGGCTCAGATAATCCTCCCACCTTAGCCTCCCGAGTAGCTGGGACCACTGGTGCCCACCATCATACTCAGCTAATTTTTGTATTTTTTGTAGAGACAGGGTTTCACCATGTTGCCCAGGTTGGTTTTGAGCTCCTGAGCTCAAGTGATCCTCCCGCCTCAGCCTCCTAAAGTGCTAGGATTACAGGCGTGAGCCACTGCGCCTGGCTGCGGGGGGCTATTTTAAGCCCAATACACAGCAATACATGTTTCCAGTGCGTCCTCACTACCTCCCATTTTAGAGATAAGGAAACCGAAAGATTGACAAGTTAAATTGCCTAAGGGCCCATAGAATTAGAAGTGGGATTCTAACTGCAGTTTGTCTAACTGCAAAAGACATCCTAGGCTGGGTGCAGTGGCTCATGCCTGTAATCCCAGCACTTTGGGAGACTGAGGCGGGTGGATCACCTGAGGTCAGGAGTTCAAGACCAGCCTGGCCAACATAGTGAAACCCTGTCTCCACTAAAAATACAAATATTGTTAGCTGGACATGCTGGCGGGCACCCGTAATCCCAGCTACTCGGGAGGTTGAGGCAAGAGGGTTCGCTTGAACCCAGGAGGCAAAGGTTGCAGTGAGTCAAGATCATGCCATTGCACTCCGGCCTGGATGACAAAGTGAGACCCCGTCTCAAAAATAAAACTAACTAACTAAATAAATAAATCTAGATCAGCAGTTCTCAGTTGGGAGTGATTGTTCCCCGCCCCCGCCCCCCGCCCCAACCCTCAACCAGCACCCCCAGGGGACATTTGGCAATGCCTGGAGGCATTTTTTTTGTTTGAGACAGGGTCTTGCTTGGTCGCCCAAACTGGAGTGCAGTGTCAACCACAGCTCTCTTGACCTCCCAAGCTCAAATGATGCTCCTGTCTCAGCCTCCTGCATAGCAGGAACTACAGATGTGTGGCGCCATGCCTAGCTTTTTTTTTTTTTTTTTTTTTTTTTCAGTAGAGATGGGGTCTCACTGTGTTGCCAGGGCTGGTATCAAACTCCTGGGCTCAAGTGATTCTCCTGCCTTGGCGTCCCAAAGTGCTAGAGGCATTTTTTGTTATCACGATATGCGTGCCTGTGTTGGGTGCTGCTGGCATGTAATGAGTAGGGGCCAAGGATGCTGCTCAACATTTTACCAAGCCCAGGACAGGCCTCCACAACCAAGAATTATCTGGGCCCAAATGTCAACAGTGCCAGTCTTGACAAACCCTAACCTCAACAAATAATAAGAATTAAGAGAATTAGGCCAAGCAAGAGCACAGCTGGTGGAGAGGGGGTCAAAATTGACCAGGTCTGCCCCAGAGTGACCAGTGGCAATCGTGGCATCATGGAAACACACAAGTTCACAGTTGTGAAATGGTTCAGGTTGTCAAAGAGTTTTCGTATCAGTTACCATCCTTACCTTTCATAACAGTCCAGAGACGTTATTCTGCTCTCATTCCCATCCCCTACTCTTCAGCTGATGGAAGAGGAAAGCAGGGTTAATGGATGAGTCACCTGTGGAAGTTCTCAGAGTCAGCAAATGACTAAGCCACAGAACCCGGTTATCGGCCTCCTAGCCCACGTGCAGATCCTTTCCTCCCCCTTCTGCTGCCTTTTTTGTTAAAGCAGAAGTGACAACGACGAAACGTTCGGAAGATGGACTACAGTGTCCCATGGCAGTTGGGAGTCAGCCATCCAGGGGGTCCATACACTGCAGAGGGCATGCTCCGTGTATGGACCTCCAGGCTGGAGAGGACATGCTCCGTGTATGGGCCTCCAGCAGCACACATTGTTTGTTCATGTTTCCAAAACTCAGGAGGAGACTCAAGCCCCAGCCACATGCTCTAGGAGTCTCTATGCCCCTGTTAGGAGCTCCCGTGCTGGAGTTTCAATCCCCAGCTGGAAACCTTAGAAAAACCATCAGAAGGAAACGCAACTGTTTCCTAATGAAAGCGTTTCATCTCTGAGCCAGTAGAGGGAGCGCACATCCAGGCCATCCGAAGCTGGCTCAGCCGAGACTTCAATAGCACCGAGGGCTGGAAGAAGCATTCAACGCGCGATCCTTGAACTTGAATGAGCCTATGCATAGGAGCCTGTTAAAAGCCAAATTCGCGGGCGGATCACGAGGTCAGGAGATCCAGACCATCCTGGCTAACACAGTGAAACCCCGTCTCTACTAACAATACAAAAAAAAAAAATTAGCCGGGTGTGGTGGCGGGCGCCTGTAGTACCAGCTACACGGGAGGCTGAGGCAGGAGAATGGCGTGAACCCGGGAGGCGGAGCTTGTAGTGAGCTGAGATCGCGCCACTGCACTCCAGCCTGGGCGACAGGTGACAGAGCAAGACTCCGTCTCAAAAGAAAAAAAAAAAAAAAAAAAAGGCCAGATTCTGGCCGGGTGCGGTGGCTCACACTTGTAATCCCAGCTACTCAGGAGGCTGAGGCAGGAGACTTGCTTGAACCGGGGAGGCGGAGGTTGCAGTGAGCCAAGATTGCGCCATTGCACTCCAGCCTGGGTGACGAGAGTGAGACTCTGTCAATAAATAAATAAATAAGGCAGATTCTGAGTCTGTAGGTCTGCATCAGGACCTGAGTTCCTGCATTGCTTATCAGCCACCAGATGAAGCCTTCCACCGGCCACACCTTGAGTAGCAAGGTAATAGATAACTTCTCCCACCCTCTCCCATAGATGGTGGACCTGAGGCCCAGGGAGTTTAGACTGCTTACTAGAGGCCAAACAGAAAGACTGCAGTGCTGGGGCTAGAACCCATGACTCCTACAGCTGGTGCTCACTTCATAGCATCTTCCCTGCCCCTCTGACCCTGAAACAGGATTCAGGGAAGAGGATCCCTAAGTGTGGGTGAGGAGTAAGAGACTATACTATCTGCTTTGAATCAAGCTTCTTTATACTCTATTTTTGGTCAAGTTACTTCCCTTGCAGAAGTACCAATAGAAATTCAAAGATGAACACAAGCAGACTCCAATTCTTTTGGGCCTGAGGGAGCCAAAGTAAAATAGATTTGTTAGTGAAGTCCCTCTTATTTTTGGTTAGTACAAATTTGGCAAGTCATCCAAAGAAAAGCTTACATATAACTTGGTATGTTTTTATGAATGCAAATTATAGCCATAGACTTTCTCCTAAGAATGAAGTTTCTTAGCTTGAATCAGTTTAGATGAAAAATGCCTCCCTTAAAAAATAAGAGCTCCTAAACTCTCACTAAACATGAAATGCAGAGGCAAGTGGTTCTAGGGTTGATTTGGGGAACACAATGAAGTTATCAAGGATTTAGGCTTTCCATTTTTTCGCTCCATCGTTCTCAGGGTGTCTTTAGGGTTATTTCCTCATAGTTACAACATGGCTGCCATAGCTCCGGGAATCACATCACATAATCATATCCAAAAGCAGGTAGAAAAGGGGTTAGCTGCACATACCTTTTTTTAAATAAGGAAAAAGAAGCCCCCTCTCAACTTCCCCTTAAATCTCATTGAACAGAACTGTATTACATGCTCACCTCTAAACAGAAGGGAAATGGGACGTTATCTTGGCTATCTCATGCCAAGCAGGATTGTCCCCCAGGGTGTGCTGTGCAAACAAAGTCCAGGTTCTCTTAGCAAGGAAGAAGGGGATGAGGTGGGAAGGAAAAAGAAAGGGCAAGAAAATCCCTTTTAATTAAGCCCTACACTATCTGCCCCAGTACACTTGTGTTTTCGCTGTATTTATTCACAAAGTAAGGGTCTTCATGTGCTGTGTGAGCAAAGGTCAGGACCAAGGAGGATTTAGTTAAATCTGGAATCTCAGTCAGGGGTTCATACTCTTGAGATAAGGAAAAGTAACCAATGCTGCCTAACAGCCCAGCACCCACACTGCAGTCCCTAGACTTAGCAGATGGAACTTGCTATAATGAGGACCATATGTATTCATTTGCTAAGGCTGCCATAGAAAGTACCACAAACTGGGTGGCTTACACAACAGACATTTATTTTCTCACAATCCTGGAAGCTGGGAGTCTAAGATCAAGATGCCAAGCAGGCTTGGTTTCTCCTTGGCCTGTAGAGAGCTGTCTTCTCCCTGTGTCTTCTGCCTGTGTCTGAATTTCCTCTTCTTATAAGGATAGCAATCCTATTGGACTAGGGCTCATCCTATTAACTCATGTTAATGCAATTACCTCTTTTTTTTTTTTTTTTTTTTTTTAGGCAGAGTCTCACTCTGTTGCCCAGACTGGGGTGCAGTGGCGTGATCTTGGCTCACTGCAACCTCCATCTCCCAGGTTCAAGTGATTCTCCTGCCTCAGCCTCCTGAGTAGCTGGGACTACAGGCCTGCACCACCATGCCCGGCTAGTTTTTTTTTTTTTTTTTTTTTTTAGTAGAGACAGGGTTTCACCACGTTGGCCAGGCTGGTCTCGAACTCCTGACCTCAGGTGATCCACTCACCTCAGCCTCCCAAAGTGCTGGGATTACAGGCGTGAGCTGCTGCACTTAGCCACAATTATCTCTTTAAAGACCCTTCCTCCAGCCATATTTTGAGATTCTGATGTTGGGACTTCAACATATCGATTTGCGGGTCACACAATTCAGTCCTCCAATTCAGCGAGCATACTTCTATTTCCTCTGCAAGTCTGATGTGCACCTTGCTTTAAAAGAGATACGATTATCATGCTTCTCATCCTAATTTTCAAAGGGCTTTCTATCATGTGTGAATCTCAGGTTCCAGTGAATGCCTTCTTCGTGTCTGTGGATGTCATCATATGAGGGTATTTTTTGACCTGTTTCTGTGACGTATTCATAGAGTTCCTGTAATCGAACAGTCATGGATCAGCATTCAGAATATATAAAGAAACCCTAAAAATCAATAGGAAAAGGACTTTTAAAATCTAGTATAAATTAAACAAAGGCTATAAACAGACAATTCAGAGGAAGGGACTGCTTCCTGCTGTGCAGATGGTCATCTTGCGGTATCCTCACATGGCCGAGAGCAGAGAGAGGAAGCTCACTCTCCTTTCTCTTCCTTTAAGGGCACTTATCCCCTTTATGAGGGCACCATCCTCATGACTTAATTAATTCCCAAAGCCCCACCTCCAAATATATCACACTGGGGGTAAGGACTTCAAAAACATATACACTGGGGGTAAGAACTTCATGTGAACTTGTTGTGGGGGGACACAATTGAGCCCACAACACCGAGAATAAGCCTGAGCACACACCTTGTGCCACAGGCTGCATGTTCTACCTTTCCGCAACCCCTGTGCTGCCCACGATGAGACAGCTTCCCACTCAACACATCATCACTTTCAAACCAGAAGCAATGTTGTGCTGTGGATTTTCTGGTTATTGACACAGTGGTGGGCACTATCAGAGGTAATTCACATCTTTGCATCCAATGGGAGAGAAACTAAATTCCCTGTTGACTTAAAAGGGAGAAACTGAGGCAGAATTAAAAGTAGAGAGTTTTTTGGGGCCAAGTTTGAGGATTGCAACCCCGGAGCATGGATTCAAGTTGACATGAGTTATAGACTCCTATTAGCAGCATTTACAAGTGGATTTCTAAAGGCAAAAAAGGGGGGACAGGGAGTGAGCTGATGCACAGTTCTTTGTCAGGAATTCTCATTGTTTTTCAGAAATAACATTGATGTGTGATTGGCTATACATTGTTAAGCTATAGGGTGTGGTTATATGTCTGGTGCAGCATTATTAGGTTAACTTAAAGCTACTTGTGGCAATAGTAAGCAGTTTCAAGAGATGGATACTTAGCTCAAGGGAGGAGTAGGATGTGATGACTGTCTCATCTTTTTTCCTTTTTTTTTTTCTTTTGAGATGGAGTCTCACTCTGTTGCCAGGCTGGAGTGCAGTGACATGATCTTGGCTCACTGCAACCTCTGCCTCCCAGGTTCAAGCAATTCTCCTGTCTCAGCCTCCTGAGTAGCTGGGACTACAGGTGTGCGCCACCATGCCCAGCTAATTTTTGTATTTTTAGTAGAGACAGGGTTTCACCATGTTGTCAGGATGGTCTCGATCTCTTGACCTCGTGATCTGCCCACCTTGGCCTCCCGAAGTGTTGGGATTACAGGTGTGACCCACGGCACCCAGCTGACTATCTCATCTTACTGTCTCTGGCCCTGATAGTTTAGAAGGACTTATATTTCTCAGATCAAAGTTCTTTTCTTTTCTCACCCCTGTCTCAGGACCTGTATTCTCAGCAATGCCTCTTCTTTCAACTACGATACATCACTGTTTGGAAATGGAACTAGTTGCAACTTAAGTGCCAAGTTCCTGAAGCTATAAACTGCTCCCCATGCTTTTAGATCCTATGTGCAAGCAACAGTGTGTGTTTGTAATGTGTTGTCTGTGATGAAGTGTGGTAGGCTCTGCCTTCACTAGCACAGTGATTTCTATCCAGGGATATGTGTCAGAGTCATCTGAGGAGCATGGATTAGTTTTCTTTCACTGCTTAGACAAATTATTACAAGTTTAGTGGGTTAAAACAACATAGATTTATTCTGCTACAATTCTGAAGGTCAGAAGTTTGAAATCACTTTCACTGGACTAAAGCCAAGGTGTCGGTGGAGCTGGTTCCTTCTGGAGGATCTAGGGGAGGATCCATTTCCTTGCATTTTCCAGCCTCTAGTGTTCCCCTGTATCCCATGGCTTATAGCCCTTTCTCCATCTCAAAGTGCATCACTCCAACCTCTGCTTCCATCATTGTACTGCTTTCTCCCCATAGTCAAAACTCCCTCTTACAAGCACACATGCAGTTATATGTATGGCCTACCTGGATAATTTAGATAATTTCCCCATCTCACCGTTTTACCTTAATTATGACTGCAAAGTCCCTTTTGCCATATTAGGGAAAATTCACAAGTCCCAGAGGTTAGCACGTGAATATCTTTGGGGCCATGATTTAGCCTCCTATAGAGCCTAAACATGCTTAGACTCCACTCCCTAAAGATTCTAGTTTAGTAGATGGTGTCTAAGTTTTTGTTTTTTGTTTTGTTTTGAAATGGAGTCTACCTCTGTCGTCCAGGCTGGAGTGCAGTGGCATAATCTTGGCTAACTACAACTTCCACCTCCTGGGTTCGTGATTCTCCTGCCTCAACCTCCCAAATAGCTGGGATTACAGGCACCTGCCACCATGCCCACCTAATTTTTTGTATTTTTAGTAGAAACGGTGTTTCACCATGTTGACCAGGCTGGTCTCAAACTCCTGACCTCAGGTGATCCGCCTGCCTCAGCCTCCCAAAGTGCTGGGATTACAGGAGTGAGCCACCATGCCCAGCTGATAGTGTCTAGTTTTGTAGGTGGTGTCTCCCTAAAGATTTTAGTTTGGTAGATGGTGTCTAGGCCAGAGGTCTGTACAATCAGGTGTACATTCTACCACATATGCACTTGATTACATATGCCTTGGTATATAGCACACAGACTTATTCAAGTCACAGTTATTGTCCATAATGTTATCTGAGTTTTTATTTAGAGTTAGAACAGTGCTATTTTCTTGATGTTGAGATACTCCAATGCTGACTGGGCAGTGCCTACATCAATACAACGGTTATCTTGTTGAACCCTCACACGCTTCCAAATTAGGTTGTGTTCCCTTTTTACAGATGCGGAAGCAGGCTCAGAGATTGTTCTATCTGCCCGAGGCCACACAGCCAGGGAGACGTAGATCCCGAACCCAAACCCAACTCTTGCTCTAGAGCCTGCGCATCCCACAGAACTTCCTAATGCAGAACAGGGCAGGGGAAAGTAGTACATTACATTACAGGTGCCTTCCCAGGGCACACAAGTCTGTTTTCAACTCCTGCAACCTCCACCATCAATCAGAACTGCTCAAACTATTAGAACCCCAAAGCTCCATCATTCTACTCTTGACACCTGTATGACAATTACAGCCCATCACTACGTGATAAAGGAGATTGCAAGCACACTAACGTGGTTGAAGCAGCAGTCTCTCAGGATTTAAGCTCGACTCTCTTCCCACACAGTTCCTGTCTGAGGAGGCTGCCTCCCCCATATATAGTAGGATGCCTACTTTCAGAAGGCAAGAACACGACTTTAGTCAACTGCTCCCAGGCTACCATGGCAACAAGTGTTCATCCCGGCAGCTGCTCCACACCAGCTTGGCTTTCCACTCTCAAAGTTCTGCTTTAGCATTTTTGGCAAACACATCAGAACCAAGTCACGCTGTGGGCTGCCTTGAGACCCAGGGGACTTTGATTCCCAATATGACTCTATACAAGTGGACCAACTTGCAGCTGAGAGGCTCTAGCTCTGAAATCAAGGGGCTGTGACATCCTGGACAAGCTTCTTTAGGGCTCAAGTTGCTCATCTGTAAAATGTGCACTTTTAAGCCATGTTTTTCAAGTTGTGGGTAGTGACTCAGTATTTTAATTTCCTATTGTTGCTGTAACAAGTTTGTTTCATGCCGTTAAGCTATCTCACAATTCTGGAGGTCAGAAGTCTAAAGTGGTACAGCAGAGCTGTACTCTTTCTAGAGGCTCTATGGGAAGATATTTTCTTGTTCCCCTACTAGAGGCGGCCTGTGTTTTCTGTGACTCTCTATCATTCCAATTTCTGCTTCCATTGATACATCCTATTCTGACCTTGTTTTTATTTTGAGACAGAGTTTCACTCTTCTTGCTCAGGCTGGAGTGCAATGTCGCAATCTCGGCTCACTGCAACCTCCAACTCCCGAGTTCAAGCAATTCTCCTGCCTCAGCCTCCCATGTATCTGGGATTACAGGCGCCCGCCACCATGCCCGGCTAATTTTTTGTATTTTTAGTAGAGATGGTGTTTCACCATGTTGGCCAGGCTGGTCTCGCACTCCTGACCTCAGGTGATCCACATGCCTCAGCCTCCCAAAGTGCTGGGATCACCGGCATGAGCCACCGTGCCCTGCTGACCTTCTTGTTTTATAGGGACACTTGTGATTGGGCCCACCGGGATGATCTTACCATGTCAAGACCCTTAGTCACATCTGCAGAGTCCATGTTGCCATGTAAAACTAATATTCACAGGCTCTAGGGATTAGGATGTAATTCCTAGACATGGGTCGGGGGTAGGTGTCATTCAGGGTCAGGAAGTCATTTAAGTGGCCATTTTTAAAAATGCCATTAAAAAGCATGGTACGTGAGATTTAGTTATGATATACAATGCAACTTGATAAAGTCACACAGAATTTTGAATCTAAAACTATTTAGCAGAATGCCTTGGATCCTTAAAAGAAGGTCCAAAGAAGGCTTTTGATGAGACAATTTGAGCTTTTGACCCTATTACTCTAGAAATGCCAGACCCTCTACATAAGGTAGGTGTGGTTCTTTCCCTACATCAGAGTCTTATCTGTAAGACCTAACCAAAGGATTTAGAAAGCTACCTTTTAAGTCTGTGTGGCAGAATTCTAGAACAGGTGCCGGGCACGGTGTCTCATGCCTGTAATCCCAACACTTTGGGAGGCCGAGGCAGGCAGATGACCTGAGGTCAGGAGTTTGAGACAAGCCTGGCCAACATGGTGAAACACCATCTCTACTAAAAATACAAAAATTAGCTGGGCTTGGTGGCAGGTGCCTGCAATCCCAGCTACTGAGGAGGCTGAGGCAGGAGAGTCACTTGAACCCAGGAGGCGAAGGTTGCAATAAGCCGAGATTGCACCTATAGAAAACCACAAGATGACCAGATAGACATCACGATATTCAACCTCAAGGTTAGATTTTTGAAAAACCCAAGAGTATAATGACTGAGCTGACATTTAAATCCAGCCACTAGAAGCTTTCATCACTTATTCTTCCTGCCATACGTAGATTTGAAATATTTCCTTGCAAAAATTTTAGACTCAAGTTTTCTAGAATACAAGTGAATTTCCATATATCTTGAAGGTCTCTAAGAGCTGCAGTATAAAGCAGACACTAGTCATGTTGATGACATAATTACTTAGAATAAGACTGGCTACCCTCAGGACGAAGGCCTCAGGAGACGGTCAAGATCGAATGCAGGTAATGGAAAACTCACTCTAGGCTCAGTTGAATGGTGGAGTCTGATTCTTGGAATGTTATAACTGAGCCTTAGGACTCTGGCACTTTAGTATTCCTTTCCCTACCAAAGAAAGATTGCTTGTCTTTAGTTATAAGTGGGAAGGTAACTAAGTCCTTTTAAGCTCAGGAAAGTTGTAAGCTTGAGTGTAACTTGAGTTAGGAATTACCTTGAAGTAAGTTCTTATATTACTTTCTTAGGAACATCTGGTTTCCCTTCCCTTAAAAGAAGGGGGGTTGGATTTATGCCAGTGATCATGGGTAGCTTGCTGGCTTCTTATCCTGTGTAAGAGCTTGTAGACTCAAGTGTACCCCCAGAGCTGGGCTATAGCTAAAGCCCTACTGTTGACTGGGAGTGTCAGAGGACTCATGTATTGGGGTTAGAGGATCAGAAGGGGCCAAATGACAGGAAACAATTATACCATGAACTTCCCTATTTGTATCTATATACAAATCCTGCCCAGAGGATTGTGGCTAGGTACTGCCTCTACACTGAGGAACAAAAGAAATGATCCCTTGTCATCTAATCTTAATAAGAATGTGGAAGGCAAGAGGCTTATTTTGACTGCTTTATTTAGAAGCCCATTTAGTGATTTGACACAGTCCTTTTCTCGTACAGGTAGTAGATGAAGCCTAGAGTTGCCACCACACCTGCAAAGGCAGCCACAGCAGCCACAGCTTTGGAACCAACATCTCCAGCAGTCTTGTGCCCTTTGGTGTCCATAGCACCTACAAAGGAAGCAGACATTTGAGTCTTAAGTATTTTTAAATAAGGGTAAGTGGAAGCCTTACATAAGGCTCCCCAGAGAAGGGGGTAAAACTAAGCCTTCAACAGGCTTATTTCAGAAGTTTGCAACATTGAATAAACTTACCTCGTGAGCCAACCTCCTCCCCTGTTTCACTCCTACTCTTCTCCCCACTGCTCCCACTTGCTTTTAGATCAGATGAGCCGACACCTGGGAAGAACCTGAGAGTTTAGTACAACATCTTCATGCTAGTCGATGTGGTTAGCTGTCCCCTGAGGGTGTGATCCCACAGGTTGTTCATTAAGGCTATCTCAGGTAAGGGTATGTGTTAACAGGCACAAACTAATACACACTTAAGTTTGGCCATAGCATGTTAAGATGCACATGCTCTGACCTAATCTTGCTAGAAACATATCTTAAATCTTTGACTACTATACAAGAAATTCAAGAGGATTTTTTTTTTTTTTTTTTGTGGCCGGGTGTGGTGGCTCACACCTGTAATCCCAGCACTTTGGGAGGCTGAGGCAGGCGGATCACTTGAGGTCAGGAGTTTGAGACCAGCCTGGCCAACATGGTAAAACCTTTTCTCTACTAAAAATAATAAAATTAGCTGGGCACAGTGGCAGGTGCCTGTAATCCCTGATACTCGGGAGGCTGAGGCAGGAGAATCACTTGAACCTGGGAGGCAGAGGTTGCAGTGAGCCAAGATCACACCATTGTACTCCAGCCTGGGTGACAAGAACAAAACTTTATCTCAAAAAGAAAAAAAGAAGGATTCTAGTATGGACTGAGGACAAAACTAGAAATAAACCTATAGATATCCATGAATGAGGATCATGACTAAGGTAGAGCCACGTGGAATCCTAAGGGTTCTTTGTACAGATATAAGGTAGATAAGACAGATTAGAGACCAAGTTCTAGATCAGTAGGTAGAAGCTATGATCCTACTTGTGTTGAAGTGATTTCTAGAAGGGTACACAGGAGACTTAATAGAAGCCTACTTCTGGGAAGAGACTTAGTCTTTTATTCTTCTATTGTTTAGACTCACCACGGGTACATAGTATATGTAAGCACTGACCGCTTGGCATAAAAAGCTAAGAACTTGAATCCAGGAAGTACTCCAGGCTTTAGGTCCATACCTCTGAATGAGGAGTCATCTGACAACAGGAGAATGGGTCCTGGGAGGCTGACTGTCATTTTCTCTGCTTCAGTGGCCCCTGTGGCTGGAGACAGATGATCAAGTTTGTGTTTGGCCTCTGGAATAGTGGTTCGAGAGGTGTGTCAATGGAATGCTTAGAAGTAGAAGCTCTCTGGAGTATTTTGTTCATGTGGTTTGTCTTGCCTTTGCAGGCGAGGTTATGCCCTTTACTGTAGAAGTGGGATGGATTCTTGGGGTTGGGTGTGGTGGCTCATGCCTATAATCCCAGCACTTTTGGGAGGCCGAGGTAGGTGGATCACCTGAGGTCAGGAGATTGAGACCAGCCTGGCCTGGCCAACATGGTGAAACCCTGTCTCTACTAAAGATATAAAAGTTAGCTGGGTATGTTGGGGGGGTTCCTATAATCCCAGCTACTTGGGAGGCTCAGGCAGGAGAATCATTTCCCTTGAACCCTGGAGGTGGAATGAGCCAAGATCACACCATCTTACTCCAGCCTGGGCAACAAGAGCAAAACTGTCTCAAAAAAAAAAAAAAAAAAAAAAAAAAGGATAGATTCTTAAAGAACTCATCGTCTATAGAACTAGACAAGAAACTGTTCATCTTAGACCTGTCACATGAGTAAGGTAGACTGGACCAAGTTTTGACTGGGCCAACAAGAGCTCTGGGCAGTAAATAAAGTATGAGTTATACCAGTCCTTAAGATCTTCTATTCTAAAAAGTTGATACTTGCTTTGAATTAGACTCACAGAAACAGGAATTTGAAGTTTTTACCTCGCCTGTGCCTAGAGGACACAGGGCAGGTCACAGAACACAGTGGGGAGTCAGGGGAGAGTCGATTACAGATTAAGGCACTGCAGTGGAAGTAGACCTGGAGACAGAAGAGAGTTACATGGAATCGATGCACTAACATTTAACCTGTCCCTGGTGACTTCTGAATCACTTACCAGGCTAGAGAGCACGTGGGCTTCTGATACAAAGGCAAAAGCCTTCATGTCAAACCTCTGATAGTGATCAGGATGGGTCACAGAGGAGCCGACTGGATGGAAGGTGGTCTGGTAGTTGTCCAGGTCATATGCACAGCTAGGAGGTATGCACCAGGGAGGGATGTCAGTCATATGCATCTTGGAGTCAAATTCAATGTCTGCCCAGATTTAGTCATACGTAATATCTTCAGAACTATTGCCATATTTACCTTCTACCAGCACCTTTGTTTTACTCAGCATTTCTTACCTGACCTATAATACCTATGAAATCATAAGTTGTATAGACTAGTTATATTTTAACTATTTTAGCAGTACCTGTTTGCCAACTACATGAGAAGTACAAATTATATCATTTCAGAAGACACTGGTTTCTTGGCCAGGTGCAGTAGCTCACACCTGTAATCCCAGAACTGTGGGAGGCTGAGGTGGGCAGATCACCTGAGGTCAGGAGTCTAAGACCAGCCTGGCCAACATGGTGAAACCCCGTTTCTACTAAAGATATAAAAATTAGCTGGGCATGGTGGCAGGCACCTGTAGTCCCAGCTACTTGGGAGGCTAAGGCAGGTGAATCGCTTGAATCTGGGAGGCGGAGGTTGCAGTGAGCTGAGATTGTGCCATTGCACTCCAGCCTGGGGGACAAGAGTGAGACCTCGTCTCAAAAACAAAACAGAAGGCTTAGTAACTGAGCTACCACAGCTTCAAGAAAGCAAAGGTGCAGTTTTAGCCAAGTACACACTATTCCATAAGAATGGGTGAGATCCAGTTGTAGGACAGGACACGGCAGGAGAGCTGTAAGGTTGAACACCTATGTGTACAAGTGTGTGGCTGCAACCTCAGAGCATCAGTGCTCAGATTCTAGAGTCAGATGGATATTCTAATACAAGCTCCATTGTTTAAGTATTGTTTTGGGCTGGTTATTTAGGCAGCAAGCTGGGGTTTCTTCATGAAAGACGAAGACTAGTACAACTAGTGGATGTGGAATACATAGCACTGTGCCTGGCATATGGTAGGTGTTCAGATGGATAGAGGCTAGAGACCAGTCTTTCCAGATGATCAACACCATAGTAGAGTCAGACTTTCTGGGGCTTTGGAACTCATTCCTTAAGATTCAAGAGGTGATTGGAAGGCAGCATGTGGCCAAGTGTGGTGGTTCACACCTGTAATCCCAGTACTTTGGGAGGCCAAGGTAGGTGGATCACCTGAAGTCAGGAGTTCGAGACCAGCCTGGCCAACATGGCAAAACCCTGTCTCTACTAAGATAGCAAAAATTAGCTGGGCTTGGTGGTGTGCCCCTGTAATCTCAGCTACCCAGGAGGCTGAGGTAGGAGAATTGCTTGAACCCAGGAGGCAGGGGCTACAGTGAGCTAAGATCATGCCGCAGCACCCCAACCTGGGTGACAGAATGAGACCCCATCTCAAAACAAAAAAAAAAAAAACAGAAGGCAGAAGAGTCCCAATTAGAAAACAAGGACTAAATCTGGATCTCACATGACTGAATGCTGCTCTAAAGCCCAAGAGGGTTTATTCCCATTACTGGCAAGTTTTGATGGATTAGCTGGGTAACCTGATAGTACAGGGAGTACCTACCCATCCACGACAACGTTCCACTGGGGGAAAGAGTCTGGATCCATGGTGGACGTCGCCCAGCAGTCATCTAAGACCAGCTTGATGTTGGGGTCATCCCTGTTTAGGACTCTCACTTCCATGTAAATTGGTTGGCGGAGGAATCTCACTAGAGGGTACTCGTTTTCCCCATAAGGTTGTTGGTAGGAATTATCTGAAATTGAATGGTATTCAAGTAGTTAATGGCTGCAACACAGATTCATAGGTCATCACTGCTCCATTAGTCTGGCAGTATCAGGATGTTCATTTTAGGGAGAAGTTTGAGATCATTTAAGCAATTTCACAGACTGCAATCTCTTACCTGGGTAGCTTTGCAGGATCAAGGTAAATGGACCCAACTTCACTGAGGCCACTGGAGGAGTAAGGCTTTCAACGTTGATGTTTAGTAGCATGTCATTCCTGCTATAAGAACACTTCACTGTCATTCTGTAAGAGTTTGGAGGGAAGGTAGGTACAGAAAATTTCAGGTTAAAAAATTGCTTGAGTTTAAACTAGAGCTTAAGAGTCAAATAGCAATTTTATCTCACCTGAACTCACTGTCTCTAGATATTTTGCTTGGAGGAAAATCCGTCCAGAGAGCATGTATTTCGTTTTCATAGACGACTTTATCATCTTCGAACTTAAATGTCAGAGAAAGTGGGTTAGCAGCCAGTTATGTCAAAGATGAGACTTAACCTCGTGCCATCTGCCAGTACTAACCTTATATCTCGTTCCACATCCATTCAGGGGTATGTGGAACCGTACCAGCCCCTGAGACTGAGCCTCAAAGACAGGCTGGCAGGATGAGTTTCCCACCCTCAGAGTACCCAGGTCAAGAGCTGGTTGTGTTTGGTAGCTGTAGACCTCGACGTCCATAAACCCATCCTGGGTGCACAGCTCCCCTGTAACTAGACAGCGGTGAAAGTTTAGAGAAAATAAGTTTGTCTGCCCTGTGATACTGTCATCTCCCAACCTGATATGCTACGAGGGAGAAATTCTAATTTAGCAGGAGGCATCAGAATCTGTCTTGAAGTCTTTATGAGGGAACCTTGATCAGCAGCTTGAATTACAAAGGGAGCTGAAGTTAGTTGATTGTTCTATGTGAGAGTAGGACTTTTCATCCAAAGGAGGGACCAGTAGATGTAGGAAGAAGTGCTATATGGTATAAGACCAGTGAGAATCCTGATGAAGGGCAGGAGTTGACTCAAGGTTAAACTTAATGTGGCTTTAAGTACAGCGCCTATGTTATTGTATCCTTTCTTTGTATACTCACAAATCCTGAGTAGTTTGGGGAGAAACTGAGGCAGGAGCTGGTTTTCCTATTTGATCTGACCTGTGCAGATCACATTAAACAGAAGCACATGGTGGAGGCAATGCTAAACAAGAGATATTCACTCTATTTAAGAATTTGTAGGAATTTTGGGGTGGGGGGGTACTTAAACTTAATTCTAATTAGAAGTTTGAATATTCTTACCTAGATGTCAGGTTCAGGCTCCTAAGCCAAAATATCTAGATTGTTTAACCATGGAGCAGTTGCCATAAAACCTACCTATGTAGGGATCTTAAAAATATCATACTTAGGACCCCATCGTAGCAGCTACACTGTTTCTAATCTGACTAGTCTTTAGTTTCTTCAGTCTATAAGCAATAGATCAGAATCTGACCTTCTATACATTTGCCCACATGTACAAGAGCCAAGGGAGAAAAAAGGTAGAACATGATTTTAATAAAAGGTCTTTACCTATAGAAACGGGTGACTCACAGAGACACTCAGGATAGATCACCATGGATACTGTCTCTGGCCGAAGGAGAAAGGTCAGCTTGAGTGAAGCTAAGTAGAACTGATGGAGTAGGCATTTTTCAGATAACTGAAATGAGAAAATGTCAATTAGCAGCCACAGTCCGTTGGGGCCCGGAACCGTCACAGGGAGGCAGGAAGCAAGTCCACTAAATACTTGCAGGACACACTCCAGACTTATCTGGGCTCCCTTTAAACCAAAACAAGAGAGACCCTATCACTTCCTCAGATCTGGATGTATCCCCAGGCAGATTTATTGCTTTAAACTCATGCCCTGGAGTACCCAGCACTGTACTCTTTGTACGAGGCACTAAAGCTTGAATTAGCAGATCAAATTCCAAAGAATAGTGGAATCCTCTGCCAAGCCAGGTCTGAGTCAAAAGGACTCTACAGATGTTATAAAATGGTATTGCATAATATGTACCCCCAACCTAAGATTATTCTCTGGTATCCCTGGCAGTTCTAGTGAAGACTAACCTCAACAGCAACAGTACGGGACCCTTTTGTTTAGATCAAGGTGTCCTGTTCGTTGACCAGGACAGATTCATCATTAGGTATTTGACAAGTAGTTGCTACTACTCAGTTGGGGCCTTAGACAGTTTTAAGACTTAGAAAGACTTAGACGATTTTTCATGACAGAAGTTAAAGAGGTTTTGTGTTAGAGAATGAACTTTAGTTACTTGATATTTCACTTATACAAGATGATCAAATGAGGCCTTTTGGAGTTTGAATCTGTTATGTTGGCAATTAGAGCTCACGGGCAAGTTATCAGCCGTATGAGGACTACCCACAAGAGTATACTTCAAGTCAGGACCCGGTGGAGTTCAGTGGT
Organism: Homo sapiens; assembly: GCF_000001405.40. Lineage (NCBI taxonomy): Eukaryota > Metazoa > Chordata > Mammalia > Primates > Hominidae > Homo > Homo sapiens. Next base: position 21,204,014 of record NC_000016.10, read on the forward strand.
TGACAATTGAACATACTTTCGTTTTGAGCAGAGTTTTGCTGAAATGCAATTTCATGCCATTTGTTGCTTCTAGATCAATTCCATTGTCATGCAGCTGGCTCACATCAATGTTCTGGTTTTCAAAGCTCACAGACTTAAGCTTCCCAGGAAACTCTGGTATGGTGAGAGTCATGTGTGTGGCATTGCAGGTCACAGGATCTAGAAGGAATGACAACAGAATGCCCATTACCAGCCTTGATTAAGCTTCTAGGACAATGTCTCCCACACTGAGGTTGCAGCTATCTGGGACCTTACCTGGTGCACAAATAGCTTGTGAAGAGAAGATCACCTTCTGTCCAGGAGATATAAATGTAAGCTTCAGAGACACCATGTAGAGATGACTGTTACCTTGCTAGGGGGAGAAATAACAGTGATCTTCAAAAACATTGGTTACTTGAATCTCTAACCAGTAAGAATCATCTTGGCAAGTATATATCCAAGTAATGGGCACTACTTTGACACAAGTAGGATTTAAGCATTTGTCTAATGACTAATTTGTCTAATCTGGAGGTATATTAGTTTTAACCTTGTTCTAACATCTGGAAGAATGTTGTCTAGATCACCTGTAGCCAATGACTTCTAGGCAGATAAGATCTGTCCTTACCCCATATGACTATTTTAAAGTATCAGCAGCCAGACAATGTTTTCAAGCCTCAATCCATTTGTGTTCTTACTGGGAGATAGGACTGTTCTTGAAGTGGTTGGCATTTGAGCACTTACATCTCAGGACCTGTCCTAAGTACTTTAGGAGATTAATTCATTTAGTGCAGTGTTCAGACTATTGGCCTGGAAAGCACCAATACTTGCTATAAAACAATATAGGACAATGACAACCCAAACAGAACCCCTTAACCCATAAAGCTTTCAGGAATATGCTTGTTCTGTGTTGTACTATAGATTTAAGACTATGGGAAAGAGACTAGATTGAGGTAAGGATTATGTATTTTTGAGAAATGGTCTCGCTCTGTCGCCCAGGCTGGAGTGCAGTGGTACAATCTCGGCTCACTGCAACTTCTACCTCCTGGGTTCAAGCGATTCTCCCACCTCAGCCTCCTGAGTAGTTGGGATTATAGGCATGTACCATCTCACCCAGTTAAGTTTTTGTGTTTTTAGTAGAGACAGGGTTTCACTAAACAGACAGGGTTGGCCGGGCTGGTCTTGAACTCCTGACCTCAAGCGATCTGCCCGCTTCAGCCTTCCAAAGTGCTGGGATTACAGGTGTGAATACCCAGCGAAGTGTTTGGCACTTAATAGGCATTAAAATGGGTTGTATTATAAATTAATGTGAAGACATGGTTGAGATCATGCTTCAATTTAGGAATACTGGCCTGTGCTTTGGTGGTACAAAGCCAGACTTCCACACCTACCACATAGTGAGTCACTCCAGTGGCATTGAATGGCACATGGAAGGTCATCCTGTGGTTGTCAATCAAGAGGCTGAAGCCTTCCTTCATGGCCTCTGGCAGGGTCAGAGTTTTGGCTCTTGCACCATCACCAACCTCAATGCTCCATCCCATCTGAACTTTGGTCCCCTGAAGTCAAAAAGCTTTGTTTAGAGGGCTGGTGCTCCCTTAACCAAGTCTCTGGTAGTCTAACAATTTATCAGGTTAAAGGTAATATCACCTTTAACATAGAATTAAAGGTTATTAAGGTCTGATTTTTAAAATTTGCTTCATACCTTACTGTCGTCAGCCAAGCCAGAGAAGACCCGTGGCAAGGAAAACTGGAAGAAAAGAATTGTGATGTAAGACTTTGATTTGGAGGTAGATGTTTCCGAATTCATGCCAGAAATTGCTGTGTGGTTGTCATACCAAAAGGCCTGCTGTGGGATGCAGTGGAAGAAGCACATGAACCCTGACTGTGCCCTTAGATGTCATTATACTTCTTTGAACTTCTGATCCCAAGAGGCAGCTGGAAGATCTAAGCTCCTTTCCAGTTGTAAGTTGGGACACATTTCTCCCCCCAAGATAGAGTTTCGCTCATCGCCCAGGCTGGAGTGCAATGGTGCAATCTCGGCTCCCTGCAACCTCCGTCTCCTGGGTTCAAGCGATTCTCCTGCCCCAGCCTCCCAAGTAGCTGGGATTACAGGAATGTACTACCATACCCGGCTAGTTTTTTGTATTTAGTAGAGATGGGTTTTCACCATGTTGGTCAGGCTGGTCTCAAACTCCTGACCTCAGGTGATCCACCTACCTCAGCCTCCCAAATTGCTGGGATTACAGGCATGAGCCACCATGCCTGACCAGGACAATGTTCTTAAACGTTTGCCCTTTCACCAATGTCCATAGAAATCAGGTACTATGTAAAAGCCATGCAGTTCTATCATTGTTATTGAGTTGCTTTTATGTCAGTGTTATTTTTAGTTGTCCATTGTTGACATTAGCCATGTTAGACTCTAAACCCATGAAGATGTGACTGGGTCGTTTTGTTCACTTATTGTATCTTAGCATCTAGGGTAGGGCCTGGAACATGGCATGTATTCCATTTGTCAGATGATTAGTGTGAGTGCAACTACCAATAAAACCCTATTGCCATGCATGATGTGCCAAGTACCATGTATATACCCTCAGTAAATTCTTAGAGCCACCCTGAGGTAAGCATTATTGTCCCATCACTTTGGACTTGGAAACAAAGCCTCAGGGTAAAGTTAAACCTCATCACACAGAAAATTAGCAAGTACAGGATTAAATCATGGTCTGATTTCTAAGCCCCGCCCTGGTTAGATCATCATCATATTCCCCCTGCAGTAGCCATATACCCCGAGCAGTCAGCCCGTTTCACTCACAGACATGAAATCCTTCTGGCAGATTGTAGATGCTGAAAGCCCCTGGGTCTCTTCTACTTGCATAGCTGGACAGAAGAACTGATACATGACAGCTCCGTGTCTTAAGGCAGCACTGTTGTTCATGACTCTGATGGTCATCTGGTGTCCACCATGCTGTGTACAGATAGCACAGTGGGAACAGAGTAAGTACTGTACCCCCATGGGATTCTAGAATACCATCTGACCCATCTGAGTGGGAAAACCCTTAAAGTTACTAATACCACAAGTGCTGGAAGGTACCTCATTCCCGTACCAGGAGACTAGCTAGCCCATTGTAATCTGTTAGTGAAGACTCATGCTGATAGGCCAGTTTTAGCATCAGGAAATGGAGTTCAGTTTCTATTTCTCTTATGTGTACCCTATGTCTCAGTACCATGGTCCTGGCTGAATGGGGTTGGTATGGGGCTTCTACCCAGGTTATCTGAATACTTGTTAAGCACCTAAGTAGCTGCCATTGTGCTGGGTAGAGCTACCCTTGCTATTACCCCTGACCTTAGGAAACTCAGTCTAAAAGCAGGGGTCAGCCAACCTTTTTCCATTATGCATTAGCAACTGTTTTAGACTCATGTGAGCCACATGAAATCCATAGCATATTTCCTTAAAAGAACTTTAAAAAGATAAAAGCCAGCTGGGCATGGTGGCTCATTGCCTGTAACTCCAGCACTTTGGGAGGCTGAGGCAGACTGACTGCTTGAGCTCAGGAGTTCAAGACCAGCCTGTGCAACATGGTGAGAGACTCCATCTCTATATATATATTAAACACACACACACACACACACACACACACACACACACACACACACACCACAAAAGTTAGCTGGGTGTGGTGGTATATGCCTGTGGTCTCAGCTACTGGGCAGGCTGAGGTGGTACTGAGACATAGGGTAGGGGATTGCTTGAGTCCGGGAGGTAGAGGTTGCAGTGAGCCGAGATTATGCCACTGCATGCCAGCCTGGACAACAGCAAGACCCTGTCTCAAGAAGATTAAGAAGATAAAACCCATTCTTAGTTTGAAAACCAAACCAAAACAAAAACAAACAAAAACACAAAAAAAACCCATGAACTAGGCACAGTGGTTCATGCCTATAATCCCAGTGCTTTGGAAGGCTGAGGTGGGAGGATCCCTTGAGGCCAGAAGTTTGAGGCCAGCCTGGACAACATGGTGAAATCCCCATTTTGACAAGACAAAGATTAGACAGGCATAGTGTTGCATGCCTGTAGCCCCAACTAGTTGGGAGGCTGAGACGGGAGAATCCCTTGAGCCCAGCAGTTCTAGGCTGCAGTGAGCCATGATTGCAGCCACTACTTTCCAGCCTGGGCTACAGAGCAAGCCTGCCTCAGAAAGAGACCATGGACTGCGTTTGGCCATCCACAGGTTATGGCTTGCAGACCCTTAGTCTAAGGGAATGCGACTCCAAGACCTCTAATGTTGAGAAGGTCTGTTTTAGAAGGAAATTATCAGGTTTTTCATGAAGGACCTATGATTACTTCATTGATTGATCACAGAGGGCTTTAGGGGACCAGATGACTTACAGTTCAAGCCTGTTTACAGAGTAGGGTCTAAGACTGTATCTGTACAAAGCTTAGACTGCTGACCACCTGCATCGTAATCAGATGGTATAGACTGTTAGATATGCAGATTCCCAGAACTCACCCCAGGCCTATGTCCAACTAGTCAAACCCAAACTTTCCAAATTACAACTTGCTAGCTTCTGCTTAGACAGGTTGCTTTTATTGCTCCTAATATTCCTGATTGGGCAATACTGTTGCTTGGCAATAGAAAAACCCTTACTGCTTAGCTGCTGTTTGCCTTTTAACACCTGTTTCTATAGGTCAGATTTCTATTTGCTAGCACCAAAATAGCCTTCCATCTCATGTTGGGGTTCACAGATCAAAATAGCTCGTGTTTCATCACTTGTTGTATCCAGGTTCTGCACCAGGTCTTAATCTGTAGAACATCATTAGTCTTCATTACCCCCATGGAGCAGGCACCATTACTCTCATCTTCTAATGGGCAAACAGGCTTGAAAGGGCTCACTTGGTGGAAATTACACCTGATTAGTGGTAGAGCCAGGGCTCAAGGGCTCAAGTACTTGAATGCCAGGGTTTCTCATCCTCAACACTGACATCTCAGTCCTGGTAATTCTGTGTTATGGGGAGGAGACTTGGGTAATGTTGGTTGTCTGCCAGCATCTTTGGCTTGTATCCATTAGATGCCAGTAGTAGCTCTTCTACCTTCAGTTGTGATAACCAAAGATGTTTCTAGATGTTGTCAAATGTCCCCTGGACAGATTCCCCCCACCCTCCTCCAGACAGTTTTGCTCTTGTTGCCCAGGCTGGAGGGCAATGGAGCAATCTCAGCTCACTGCAAACCTCTGTCCCCTGGGTTTAAGCGATTCTCCTGCCTCAGCCTCACAAGTAGCTGGGATTACAGGTGTGTGCTACCACACCCAGCTAGTTTTTTGTATTTTTAGTAGGGATGGGGTTTCACCATGTTGGCCAGGCTGGTCTCAAACTTCTGACCTCAGGTGATCCACCCGTCTCAGCCTCCTAAAGTGCAGAGATTATAGGCGTGAGCCATCACACCTGGCCTAGACAGATTATAATAGAAAAGAAGAGCCACACACGAGACACCACCCCCTTGGTTGAGAGCCACTGCTTTACTCCAAAGAGAAAGTTCTTAGCCAAGTTTACTGCCAGTAACTCTTAGGTTACTACGTACTTCCCCAAGAACTGCTCAAAGCAATGACTTACCACTCTCCTGGTACAGTTATCATAGGTAGCCCTCAGGGTGAGCTTTTCTGGGTCCAGGATGTAAGTGCAGTTCGGCATGTCGAGACCAAGAGGATCTGCCAAGGCCAGAGCAGGTTAGACAGGATGGCTGAGTACATTTCAGTGACAGTCCAAAGCTATAGAGTCAAGACCACCAGTCCATTTCTAAGGTACTTCAGTCCCTTCACTTCCGCCCCAACTCAGTGATAGAACTTGAGCTTTGAGATGGTATGACTTGCAGCCAGAGGCTTCCCAGAGATGCTGGCATAAGACACACTTTCGAAGACAGACAGGTCTTCCATGCTGGGTGGCTTCATGCAAATCAGGTATCCCCATGGCATCATGGGAGTTGGATGCCGTTGCTGCAGGAGTTTGGGTACTCTGCTCCCCAAACAGGATTGACCTAAGCCAAAGGCTGTCTGCTAATCAGGACTATGAGGAGATAACACACGTTACCTACCCACCACAGATGCATGCCATTTCTTGGTGCCAGGACTGCTTGGGAACTCCACTGTTATTTCCCTTTCATCGCAAGTGACAGTGCCTAAGGAGCAAAGGAAGCATTTGGGGGCTTTGAGTCATGAGTGATGCAACTCCTACAAAAGTGTATAGACTCCTCTCAGATGGGAGGGATTCCAGATGAGGGAGGCAAGAATCGTCCCCTACCCTGGGAGAGCTCACAAACAAGTGACCAAGACAACAATACAATATGCCAAGAACTGTAAGGAAAATATCAGGTACCCAGGGCTTTTGAAGTGTTCCAGTAAGAAGCCCAGGTTAGGGTTGACAAGCAGGTCTGTAGGAGCCAGGTCAACACCTTGACAGTGGAGCAGATGGAGGCAGGCCCGAAAAACTGACAAAAGCTTTGTCAACAGGTTTTGCAAATTGATGTTAAACAAAGTCCTGGGTAAGTCCCAGGACTTTTATTTATTTATTTATTTATTTTGAGACGGAGTCTCTCTGTCACCCAGGCTGGAGTGCAGTGGCACGATCTCAACCCACCTCAACCTCCGCCTCCCAGGTTCAAGCGATTCTCCTGCCTCAGCCTCCCAAGTAGCTGGGATTACATGTGCCCACCACCACACCCAGCTAGTTTTTGTATTTTTGGTAGAGATGGGGTTTCACCACATTGGCCAGGCTGGTCTCAAACTCCTGAGCTCAGGTGATCTGCCCGCCTTGGCTTCCCAAAGTTCTGGGATTACAGGCGTGAGCCCCGGCGCCTGGCTGCATTTTTTTTTTTTTTTTTAAAGATCAAGTTTTGCCCATCATCTGCTACTCTGCAGCCTCTGGCTCAGGTGAACGTCAAGTGAGCAGCTCCAGTTTTGCTTGTTATGTCGATGTTTTCCTTAAGCATGAGTTTGTGTTTGAAGATTGCTGCTCCTAAAGATGAGGGCTTAGTGTGGTGGTTTGCTGTTCTGTGGATACCATAAAGCTTGAGGCAGTGAGGGATTGGAAGGCAGTGCAAGTGTTTGAGTTTTCATTTAGCAGGTATAGTGAGTCTACAGGTTAGCAGAAGAAAGATCCAGTAACCTGACCAAGGTAATAAAGGGGGTGAATGGAGGTTGTCTGAGCCAGGCCTGTGTTTCTTGGCCAGCTAGGCCTTCCAGCTGCAACCTGTTTTCTCTGCTAAGAAGACTTCTGTCACCCAAGAGACATACCTGGAAAGGCAGGATTTACCAACTGAGAAACATCTATGGAGTTCCCTGAAGTCACAAGGGCGAAGAAGAGAGAAATCGACCTGTAGGTGCTGGAAAGAGACAGGGAGATAGTCAAGGAAGAATGGACTTTAACAAACAAAGCTACCATACCCCCTCCCTCCACTTCCAGAATTACTCACCTCCAGCCTGCATTGAACCAGCCTGAGGGACTCCAAGAGCCTCCTCTCTGCCTGCACGCCATAGCAGAAGACACTACCAGATCAACCAGGTAGAGGGTAGGCTGCTCTGTGTTTTTATAGCAGGAAGCCAGCCGCATCCACACCCTCTCCCCATTGGGGGCACCTGAATCTTGTCCCATTCTCCCAGCTGAAACGGAAGGATTGGGGAAGGAAGTGGCCTCTGATTCCTGACAGCTTGCGCCGGGTATTCTGCCAGCTGCCCTGTGGGCCAGGCATGAAATCAGAGTTTGCTGAAATCAGCTCCAGGTGAGTGAATTGGTGTTTTCCCTATAACTATGGGGGAAATTAGGATCTTTTGGGCAAATTATTTACAACTGCAATGTAGAGCCAAAGAGAATCATGGGCTTTATTGAGAAAAAAACAAGTCTTGTTCACACCACTACATTTTTTTTTTTTTTTTGAGATTCAGTTTCACTCTGTCACCCAGGCTGGAGTGCACTGGTGCAATCTCGGCTCACTGCAACCTCTGCCTCCTGGGTTCAAGCAATTCTCCTGCCTCAGCCTCCTGAGTAGCTGGGATTACAGGTGCACGCCACCACACCTGGCTAATTTTTGTATTTTGAGTAAAGATTGGGTTTCACCGTGTTGGTCAGGGTGGTCTCGAACTCCTGACCTAGGTGATCCACGTGCCTCGGCCTCCCAAAGTGCTGGGATTACAGGCGTGAGCCATTGCACCTACCCTAAAACCTTTTAAGTAACATCTAGTCTTCTGGCTACTGCAGAAGTTACCCTGATAATGCACAGGAAGTGTCTTTAAAAAAATGAATGAAGCCTTGTTGACCCCCAAGTGTAAAAGCTTAAGCTTACCGCAAAGATACAATTTCAGAAGGATACAGAGAAAAGGCAAAAGTCACTCATAATAGTGCCACTGCTAATATTTAGGTGAGTAACTTTAGACATGTTTCTACAAACACCACACACAATTTTTTTAAAACACTGGGAGGAAAGTTTAAATACTGTTTTGTAATCTGCTACTGTCACTTTATAACTATTAAACATAAAGCTCTCTGTTACCATTTTAGGGTGGCATAATATTCAATTTGAGATAAATCTGTGTTTATATAATTTCCTTAATTATGAGCATAAGGTGGCTTGTAATTTTTCATCATTATAAGCAGTAACATGATGAGCATTCTGATACATATCCTTGGGTAACCCTCAAGATAAATTCCTCAAAGTAAAACTTCTGGGTAAAAGGGAGTAGTGATCTAATAAGAATGTTATATTGTTGTAAAGCACTTGGAAGTTTCCCAGTGGGGAAACTGAGGCAAGGCAACTTGCCCCAACAATGTCAGGGACCAGGTGGAGAACTCAGATTTCCTGAGGCCTGATGGTTGTGTTTTTTCAACATCTCTCACACTCTTTGAGATAACTAGATGTCTGCAGCCCATGTTCCAAAATAGGTGGATATAAGGCTTAGACTCCATTCAAGTGGTGGGTGACACTTGCAATTATTAGGCTGGTGCAAAAGTGATTGCAGTTTTTGCCGCTACTTTTATGTATGTATGTATGTATTTGAGATGGAGTCTTGCTCTGTTGCCCAGGTGGGAGTGCAGTGGCGCAATCTTGGCTCACTGCAACCTCTGCCTCCTGGATTCAAGCGATTCTCCTGCCTCAGCCTCCCGGGTAGCTGGGATTACAGGCGCCCACCACCAAGCCCAGCTAATTTTTGTATTTTTGGTAGAGACAGGGTTTCACCATGTTGGCCAGGCTGGTCTCGAACTCCTGGCCTCAAGTGATCCAACCGTGTCAGCCTCCCAAAGTGCTGGGATTACAGGCGTGAGCCACTGTGCCCGGCCCTTTGCCACTAATTTTAATGGCAAAAACTGCAATTATTTTTGCATCATCCTAAACTGTATTGATTCATGTGTTGCCTTTGAGGTGTAACCTGAGGCATCTGAAATAACATTGGAGATTAACTGTTTCCCTGACTTCCTTGATCAAAAGGATCACATGGAGCTCTCATTAATATCACAGATTCCAGGGTCCCACCCAAAAGCTGCTGAATTAGACTCTCCAGAAGATGTGCCTGGGAAATATTTACTTAACGAGCACCACAGGTGATTCTTATAATCAGGAAAACCTGGAAAATACTTGGAGGGAGCGAGGCGAGAAAATCTGTGGTGGCCAGTGGTTAACCTCCTTACGGGAATTGAGTAGATTACATCCCAGCGGAATTGGGAAGAAGGAGCAAAATACAGATAAGTTTTTGG